>NC_000006.12:36726666-37029696 GCF_000001405.40 Homo sapiens
TTGTGTTATGAAACATAGGAAACAACCTAAATGTCCATCAATAGGGGACCAGTTAAATAAAGGAGGGTCAATCTACCCAGTATAACACCATAAAGCCACACAAAGACTGAGGACTCTCTTTATGTACTAATAGGGATTTTTTTTTTTTTTTTGAGACAGAGTCTTGCTCTGTCACCCAGGCTGGAGTGTGGTGGTGTGATCTCAGCTCACTGCAATCTCCACCTCCAGGGCTTAAGTGATTCTTGTGCCTCAGCCTCCTGAGGAGCTGGGACTACAGACACATACAACCACATCCAGCTAATTTTTGTATTTTTAGTAGACACAGGGTTTCACCATGTTGGCCAGGCCGATCTGGAACTCCTGACCGCAAGTGATCCTCCTGCCTCAGCCTCCCAAAGTGCTGGGATTACAGGCGTGAGCCACCGTGCCCAGCCCGATAGGGAAATTTCTCCAAGACATCCTGTTAACTGGAAAAAAACAAAATGCAGAACACTGAATATTAATGAGTATGATGAATGTTTTACACTGTATTTGTATAAAATAGAGGGGGAAAGATGTATGTGTATGGGTGTATATATGTGTGTGTATATATATGTATATACGTAAAATGCCTCTGGAAAAATATTTAAGAAACTGATAACCCTGGTTGCCTCTGGGGAGGGGGACTGGGTGGCTCCAGGATGGGGCAGAAGGAAGGAGACTTTTCATTGAGTTCTCCTTGAGACCTTTTGAAATTTGAGCCATGAGAACTGTTACCTAGTCAACAATAACTACACTGTACGAAGAAAAGCATACGGACATGCTCTGTGGGAAGCAATTAGAAGTAGGATAGGTTACTTCTCCCACTTTGCAGAGGCCAGGGCCTGGGGTCTGGATGCCTGGTGTGGCCTCATGCAGACTCTCTGGGCAGGTACCACAGTATGACGCGACAGCTGCTCCGCAAGGCTGACGGGGTGGTGCTCATGTACGACATCACCTCCCAGGAGAGCTTTGCCCACGTGCGCTACTGGCTAGACTGTCTCCAGGTGAGCAGATGGCTGCTGGGGTTGGCCCCAGTCCCTCCAGTCAAGAGGGATCTTATATCCTGCCCACTCCCTCTTTTCTCCCAGGATTACAAATGACATGACAGACATATGGGTGACACCACCCACTGAGGGCATGTGGTTGGATGAGCTGGGAATGCAGTAGTACAAAGAAACCACAACCACATAGTACAGACTTCAAACCAAACTACTTCCTTTATCCTGTGAACATTCTCTTCCTACATATGGCAGCTGTTTGTAATGTCTTCTTCTTACACTTGAGGCTAATGTAGTTCTTGTGCCATTCCATGTGGTAATTCCTCTGTTCACACATCTCTAGTTTTTCCCCTGCTTACTTCCTCAAAGCATATATACTGAAATTCTGCAGTGTGTACTAGCACAGCAGAGGGGTGTGAAGTTAGCCATGTTGCCTTCTCTCTGGAAGTTTCTAGTTTAGCAAAAGAAGCAGGATAAGGTAATGTGTGAAGAGGGGAGCTGAGCACTGGGGTCTGACAGGACCTACATTTGAATCCCACCCACCCGAACTCTGTGACTTTGGACAAGTGAATTGAGTTCTCTGAACTTCAATTTCTGGAATTCTCTCATAGGGGAGTTGTGACAATTAATTGATAGAATTGCTTTCAGCACAGCACCTGGTGTATAGCAATCACTCACTAATCAGAAACTATTATTATTATTCATGAGACAATTGGGAAAATGTATAATCAAGTGCTGGACTGTTCAGAACAGGCAGGAAGAGAGGACATGGGCAGGAACAACCCAGGAAGGCTTCCTGGGGGAGGTGTTCTTAAGGTTGGCCTTGGAAAATAAGTGAGATGTTTATCAGCAGAGAGGAAGGATGGGGGAAAGGGTCCAGGTGAGAAGGTTATGGAGTGGATGTGGCCTGGGAGGGGGAACATGCGGGGGACACAGTTCAGCTTCTAGGAAGGCAAATGTGCCAGGAGCCTGGCACACAGTGGGTGTGGCTGACAGAACATGTTCTGTGTGCAGGATGCAGGGTCGGATGGGGTGGTCATCCTTCTCCTGGGAAACAAGATGGACTGTGAGGAGGAACGGCAAGTGTCCGTGGAAGCTGGGCAGCAACTGGCCCAGGTAAGCACTTGGGCATCAGCCCGTCTCTGTGCGTGGACTGGGCAGACACCTCCCTGGCAGGTGGTGGATAGGCATCACCTGACCTGGGCAGCCGAGAAGAACCCGTGGCCCATTCCTGCCCCTGCCCCAACCAAAGGCCTGTTCAGAGTGGACAGCAGCCTAGCCACCTCTGCCTCCCACACAGCCCTGGCCTCTGGAGATGCGCTTTAAGCCCAAACCCAAGGCTGGAGTGGCGGGCGTGACACTGAACCTCACTGTTGAATTAGCACATTCCCACACCATGTCCCCACCTACATAAGAAATAGCTTCAGAGTAAAAAGGTTTTGAAAGCTTTGCTTAAAATTCCCAATCAAATTTTAATTTTATCTCTGGTCTCTAATTAACGTGCTGCCTTCTAAGTTCTCCTATTTTAAGACTCAAATTCTCCCTTGGGATGATTACATCAAAAGCCCCACTGCCAGACAGTGAACACTATCTATTCATGAATGGCATTTAACCACATTCCAGAAAATCTGGAGAGTAATAAAAATAGAGGGAAAAATCACTCCTCGCCCCACCTCTCACACAACCCCTCTTGGCATCTTCCTACTGTATTTCCTTCCTGTTTCTCTTCCCACTTCCCGTAAATTGTGAGGTCATCATTGTGGCTCCTGCTGGAAGGGAATTTTTTTTCTTTCTTTCTTTCTTTTTTTTTTTTTTGAGATGGAATCTTGCTCTGTCACCCAGGCTGGAGTGCAGTGGCACGATCTTGGCTCATTGCAACCTCCGACTCCCGGGTTCAAGCGATTCTCCCACCTCAGCCTCCTTAGTAGCTGGGATTACAGGCATGTGCCACCACGCCCGGCTAATTTTTGTATTTTTAGTAGAGACGGGGTTTCACCATGTTGGCCAGGCTGATCTGGAACTCCTGACCTCAAGGGATCTGCCTACCTCGGGCTCCCAAAGTGCTGGGATTACAGGCGTGAGCCACCATGCTCGGCCTTTTTCTTAAAAGTAGTAACTCATCCCTTTGACATAGTAATTTATCCTCTAGCAATTTATCGTAAGGGAAGACTCAGAAGTAATAATCCCTAAAGGAACACCTAATGGATACCCATGTATAACGTACAATCGAACAGGTTTATATGAGGGTTTTCAAATATTATTTATAAGAACAAACATTTGGCAGCAATTGGTGGTTAAACTGTGGATGTTCATGTGAGAGGTTAGTATTTGCCATTAAGAATCCTGTCTTGGAAAAATATTTAAGGGTGTGGGGGAAATGCTTACAATATAATAGAAAATCATATAAGCAGCTACAAATCTAGATATAGGTTAGGTTGAAACATATGAAATTGCTGATATTTGACTGGAGCTTGCCAAAAATAGCAATTTCGTGTGGTTTAACCTAACTGTACAGGACAGTTAGCCCCCGCCCCGTAAAAGGGTTATATAAAACAGAATGGCAATATCTACCCAAACACTAACAGCAGTGGTTTAGATATTGAGCTGGTACTGTCTTATACTATATCTTCCAATATTCCCCCAATGAAATATTTCTGAAATTAAAAAACATAACTAACATTTATAAAATGTCTCCAGGGGCATTTCTCCAAGTTGGGATGCAGGCTTCCCATGCCACTCCGAAGGCTGTGAAATGTCTCTTCAATGCATTCCTTGACACCTTGGCCAGCCGGGGTGAAGGGACAGTGGGCAAAGGGCTCCAGGCAGGGACCGTGGCCCACGCTGAGATGGGGCTGTCTTGCTCGCCACTGAGGTCAGCTTAGGGATGCATTGGGACTCTGATGGCCGGGACTTTAGTGGCGGGGTATGGCCTGGCCTTTCAGTTGTCTCTCCCAAGGCACATATGTCCCTCCCTGTCTGGCCTGCAGGAACTGGGGGTCTATTTTGGGGAGTGCAGTGCCGCCTTGGGTCACAACATCCTGGAGCCTGTAGTAAACCTGGCCAGGTAAGTGCTGCCCGCCCCCCGCCGCCCCCACCCCCCCCCTTGCAGAATCCTCTGGGACAGCTCCGGCCCCACTCTTGACTCCCAGGTGGGACAGGAAGGCCCATTCTGAGGAAATGGGTCAGGGAAGCACCTAGTTAAAGACCTGGGCTCACCAGTCTGAGGGGAGAGAGAGCCCTGCACTGAGAGTCTCCTGACTCCAGCTCTGCCCTTCCCGTTCGCTGAATCACTCCCCACAGGCACTTAGGCTCTCTGAGCCTCAGTTTTTTCATTTGCAAAGAGGGCTGAGAAAAGGAGTGTCTCTCTTCTGCTCCCAAACTTCCAGTAGCTTCCATTAAAATCCAAATGCTTTGCAATGGCCTGCAGCATCTCTAGTGCCATCTCCCCCACCCCTACACACACACACATTCACTCACACCCACACACACTCACACTCTTACACACACTCACACTCACACACACACACTTGCCAAGTTCCAGCCACTCAGAGACTCCCTCCCTGATCACCCACCTGCCATCACTATTTTGGATCACAGCCCCTGTTTGTGTCCTTCATGGCCCTTCTTGACACGACACATATTAATGATATATGCATTTATCTGTTTTCTTGTTGTCCAGGAAGGCAGGGCCATGTCTGTTTTGTTCAGCCCCTCTCCCCATACCTGGGACCTAGGTGCTCCATAAATGAATAAAATGAGTAAGGCATGAGGGGAGCTAGATCAGATGAGCACCATCTGGCACACAGTAAATATATCACGAAGAAATGAATGGACTTCTTTTGCTTCCCCAGCCTCCAAGCTCTCTCGGCACTGAGCCGCGCCATGGCCCTCTGCTTGGGATGCACCTCCCCCACCCTTTCTGCTGGCATACCTTGTCCATGGCTCAGTTCGGTCACCATCTCCTTCCTCCCCAGATCCCTCCAGGACCTGGTGTGAAGTCCCTGTGTGCCTCCCCATCATTCCCGGGCTGCAGTCACCCCTTTTCCTGTCTGTCTCTCTCACTACTCAAGGGAGGGAATGGTGGCTTCTTTGTCATAGTCAGAGTCCTGCACAGTGCCTGGCACATAGTAGGCCAGAAAGAGAAGGTCAAAGTCTCAGTGACTCAATTCTTCGGGTCTCATGTGGAATGCAGGGCAGGGGCAGAGCTGTTGTGGGGGTTGTGGGTGCGGCCTCCCACCCCCCAGCTGCACCCATGGGCCCATCCGTGCTGCCCGTAGGAGGTGAGAGAGAGGCCTGATGCCTGGCACTGTCACATAGGTCACTCAGGATGCAAGAAGAAGGCCTGAAGGACTCGCTGGTGAAGGTGGCCCCCAAGAGGCCGCCCAAGAGATTCGGCTGTTGCTCCTGATCACCTGTCCTGTCCTGGGTAGGATGGACACCCATGGGGTTTCCTGTCCCTCAGCTCCTGTCCTTTGTTCCTGGACAGCAACGACACAGAGGACCAGCTTGGAGGTTCAGGAAAACCCTTCTCAACTCAGGACTCGGATCCCAGAGCAGGGCCGCATCACCTCTGCCTTTCACACTCCAAAGGAGGGCTTTGCTGAGTGAACAAGGCTTGAGGGGCAGGGGTATGGCAAAACTCTCCAAACAAAGAAAGTCTAGAAAAACGACTTAAGGAAAATACACCAAAATATTGGCCGCACATCTGTGGGTGTAAAATTTTAGGGAGAATGTGGGGGGGGGGTGTTACTTTCCATTTTACACATATTTGTATTTTCAGATTTTCAACAATAACAGTATTCAATACATAATCAGAAAAAAGAGATGTGGAGGAGGAGGAGAGAAACTTCCCAAGGAGCTCCCTTGGGTGCTGCTGGCTCCTAATTAGTGTAACCTGTTAATCACATGTTGCTCGGTGTTAGAGCGGTCCCTCTGTGCTCTGCTTGGCAGGGCGCTGTTGGCCTGGTCTCCCTCGCTATTTCTATTTGCAAGCATGGGCTTTCTTCCCAGCAGAATCTGGTTCCTGGGAAGAGTAATGTTCCAAAGGCCTCTGATATGCCTCGATGCCCTCCTGTCTTCCAGAGCCCCAACCTCACTCCCTTTCCCCACCATACAAAACACACCTCCCAGGGGTCACATTTGGGGGTCCCGCCCCCTGCTCCAATGCCATGGTGTCCCCAAGCACAGGGCTTTGGCCTGAGTTGTCAGTCTCTGGATGCATTTGAGGGGCAGCTAGGGTGTGGCTGGGGGGTCCAAGCAGCTGGGGAGCCGAGACTCAGAATCATTCACACACTTCTATTTGGAGCTTTTGTGGAAGTTTCCAGAATTCCATAATATTCACCTCCTGAATGGTGGCTGCCCCTTATCAGCTAGGGCTGGGGTTTCCAGTGCCCTCGGAGAGCTTGCTTTAGAGTCTTGGAGAGACGGCCATGGTCTTCGTTTGTATGTCTGTCACATCTTACCATCATCACAAATTGAATATACAACATGTGCCAGGCACTGAATTTGTTTGTTTGTTTTTTGAGACAGGATCTCTCTCTGTTGCGCAGGCTGGAGTACATTGGCATGATCGCCACTCACAACAGCCTCAACTGTCTGGGCTCAAGTGATTCCCCCACCTCAGCCTCCCAAGTAGCTGGGACCATGGGCACATGCCACCACATCCGGCTAATTTTTTAGCTATTTGCAAACACAAGGTCTTGCAATGTTGCTTAGGCTGGTCTCAAACTCCTGGGCTCAAGTGATCCTCCCAATGTGCTGGGATGACAGGCGTGAGCCACCGCCCCCAGCCTGGGTTTGGTATTTTGTAATCCTTCAGGTACTGGGGAATTTCCTGGCTGAATCAATGGAAACCCCAGTTTCATAGGGGGACAAGCAAAGACAGTTCAAGGAACAGAGTTACAGAGAGAGAGAACGAAGGAGAAAGAGGGAGCAACAGAGGGCTGTTGCATCACACAGTCTTAGGCCCTGGCCCCAACCCCTCTTCTCAGTTCTGAAAGGAACGTCTCAGCAGCAGTGAGCCTTCCATCACCAGAGGCGCACAAGAAGACAGGTAATGCTTGGCAAAGGTGAGGTAGAGAAGATCCCAGCATCTGAAGCTGCCAAAGTTGGATTAGATTCCCTTAATGGACCCCATTCAACCTCCAGACTCCATGTGGATGATTCCCATGGTCCAGCTGATTCTTTGTGTGTTTTTGTTTTGTTTTGTTTTGTTTTGTTTTTTTGAGACGGAGTCTCACTCAGTCGCTAGGCTGGAGCACAGGGGCGCAATCTCGGCTCACTGCAACCTCCACCTCCCGGGTTCACGCCATTCTCCTGCCTCAGCCTCCCAAGTAGCTGGGCCTACAGGCGCCCGCCACCTCACCCAGCTAATTTTTTGTATTTTTAGTAGAGACGGGGTTTCACCATGTTGGTCAGGATGGTCTCGATCTCTTGACCTCATAATCCACCCGCCTCGGCCTCCCAGAGTGCTGGGATTACAGGCATGAGCCACCGCGCCCGGCCCTCCAGCTGATTCTTTTACTGGGCCCTTCACTGATCCTTTTTACCCCAATGTCTTCTCCCATCTCAGGTCCCCTCCCGCAGCCCACAAGCCTGCCCCTGAACTGAGCAGTTTCTCAGTGTGCTCAGAGAGAGAGAGAGAGAGAGAGAGAGAGAGAGAGAGAGAGAGAGAGAGAGAGAGAGAGAGAGGGGTGTGGGCTGCAGTGAGTGATGCTGGCCCTGGATAAGGATGGGAAACAGGTCCTATAGTTGCTAATGGCTCTTTCTCTGGGGCCCAGGGACCTGGCAGGCACCAACATCTCTGTCCTGTAGGCCAGGGAATTAATGAGGCAGGTAGGCAGGGTGTGATTCCTGGGAGAGGCAGTAGAGCAGACAGCCCCTGTCGTTTGGGGGCCCGGTACGGGAGTGGCCCCCAGGCCTCCCCGTCTCAGCTCAGCTCTGTTGTGGCCTCAGGCAACTCAGGTTCGCAGGAGGTGGAGTTCTGGGAGGAACTCCACACTGCCCAGCACCCTCTTTTGGCTTTCTTGGGCCGGATCCACCTGCTGGGCAGGGCACAGCTGTGCAAGGACCACCAGCCTTTCCTGCTGTCAAAGGGCTCACAAGCCAGGGAACAGGACCCAGGAACCTCAGAGCAGCACAAAGTAGGCAACGACAGCAGCAGGAGAAACTTGAGGTAGACTTCAGAGTGAACTTCCAGGCAAGTGGTGAGTTCTTGGGGCATGTCAGCCAAGGAGGCTCTGATTTAGGCTTAGCCAGAGTCTGATTAAGAAAAGGAGGGTGGGACTGGGCTGATGGGACTCAGGCTGTGGAGTGAGAAGGGAGGGCATGGGGAGAGAAGGAAGGCTGGGCAGGAGCTCTAAGAGAAGAGGGCTTTTGGGAGCTGAGGGTGAGCAGGGGCAGAATGACATCCCTCCTTTACCCAGTGCCTACCGTATGCCAGGCACTGTTCTGAGCACCTAGCTCGTGTTAATTCATTTAGCCCTCACACCATCAGGCGTGCTCCCCCATCTTACGGAAAAGGAAAGTACTGCATAGGGAGGCTGAGTAACTTCCCCGTAGTCACGTAGCAAGTAAGTGCTGGAGCCAGTGTTAAACGCAAACGCCGATACCCATAGACTTAACTCTGAAGTTATGCAACTGCTTACAGGAAGATGCGGATGCTTCGGGGAAGGAGGGGCCAGGTCCCTGAAGCCTCGTATTGCTCCCTGCCAATTCCTCTCCAGTAATAGTCCATGTCATTGGTGGGTGTGGACCAGGAAAAAGAGACGAAAAGGCAGTGATAAATGCCAGGAAAGTGGCTGGATGACAGCCTTCATCCAGGACAGGTCCTTCATTTCCCCTCCTCCTGCCGTCTCTGAAGCTGGTGGGACCCGGGAAGGTGGCCGACATCAGAATTCACAGAGGCCCCCTCTCCAGTCTCCCCTCAGCTGCCCTCAGGCACGTTGCTGCCCTGGGGCCCCAGAGACGAAGCCAAGTTCCCCAGGCTGGGGCTCTGCAGGAGGGACTCAGAGACTCCTTCAAACCTGGCTTTGAGCCCGCAGGAGAAGAGTGTCTCCAGCCCCCACCCCGGTGTGGTAGAAAAGGGGAGGGCAACTCCAGTAAGGACTCCTCTGCTATGTCTTGTTTGCTGCTGGATTCCGGGAACCTGGTCCAGAGCAAATGCTCAGGAAATATGTACTGAGTTAGCAGGCAAGCCTCCAGCTAAAGCTCCCGGGCCCTGGCCTGGCCTGCAGGGCGGCCAATGGTGACATCAGCCACTGGGCTGGCTCTAGGATGTCTACATCCCATCTTGTAGCCAGAGTCCTCCCAATCGGGGACTCCCCCTGCCCTTGACATGTGGGACAGAGTGGGGGTGAGAAGAAAGGTCTGACCACTGGGTGCAGACTCCCCCACTCTGCCAGGGGCCTGCACAGCATAACCTAGAGGGCAATGATTCCCAGGCTGGTCTGCCCTTAGAATTATTTGGGATCTTTCAAAAATGCTAAAGCCCAGACCAACTATGTCATGTCTCTGGGGGTGGGACCCAGGCTTCTGTATTTGTGAAACTCCTCAGGTGATCCCAAAGTGCAGAGAAGCTTGGGAACCACTGGAAGGGGCTTCACACCTTCTCAAAGCCCTTTCAGACCCACTTTTCCATTTGAACCTCAAATTAAACCTGCTTGTTTCACAGGGCAGGGTTTTTGTTTTGTCAAAAAATAGATACATATGTGTGTGTGTATGTATGCACATATATATTTATCAGATTATGAAAACAATGTGTACTCCCTGCAGAAATTTTAGAAATAAATTTTAAAGAAGAAAATGAAAATTACCCTAGTCTTACCACTTATGATAGTTACTATTGACATCTGTTTTATTTTATTTCCTTGCTTTCTTACAGCTGAGGAAACTGAGGTAGAGAAACATTAAGTAACTCTCCCAGGGGCCAGGTGCGGTGGCGCCTGTAATCCCAGCACTTTGGGAGGCCGAGGCATGAGAATCGCTTGAACCTAGGAGGCGGAGGTTGCAGTGAGTCAAGATCTCACTCCAGCCTGGGTGATAGAGTGAGATTCTGTTTCTAAAAAAATAAATAAATAAATAAATCCCAGGGTACTGGAGCTAGCAAGCAGCAGAGGCAGGATTTGAACCCAGGGTACTAATGGAGTCCATCCCATGGGGTTGTCATGAGGTCTGCAGGGGCTAATGTGTGCCAAGGACAGGCCTTATCTGGGCCCACTACATGCAGGGGGTCTGTGAAAAAAGGAGGCTTAGCAGGAATGGGGAAGGCGGCCTTTGGGGCTGGCTGGTTTCTACTTTGTCCTTGTGTGTTTGAAACAGAATGGAGCCCAATGCTACGTTCACCACGCAGCTCACGGCCACACCTGAGCGACTGCTCCGACTCATCTCTGCTGGGGTCTGTGGCCTCATCCTGCTGGTGGGGCTGTCAGCTAATGGGCTCATGCTGCTGGTGGTGGGCCGGGGCCCGGGCTCCCCCCACCCGCTCCACTCCCTGACCCACAGCCTCATGATGAACATCACGCCATCTGACCTGCTCTTCCTGGCCTGCGTGGTGCCTGTGCTGCTGCTGAGCTTCCTGCAGCACAACTGGTGGCTGGGCCCTGCCATCTGCACCATTAGCCAGGCCACCAACACAGCCACCACGTTCTGCATCTTCTATAGCATGGTGGCCACAGCTCTCCTGCGCCATGTGGCTGTGGCCCGGCCTGACCTGGCCTTCCCAGCCGGCTGGGGCACCCTCTTGCTGCTCTGTGGGGCCATGTGGGCCCTGGGCCTTACAGAATCCCTGCCCAACTGGCTGTTCCAGAGGGTGGCAGTGGAGGAGGAGACAGCGGGGGCTCCCAAGACCCAGGCCTGCCTCTTGCTCCTGAGCCCTGCTGGGACCTCCTGCTACATCAGCCTGCTGGGAGCCCTGGCCTTCCTGCCATGCACGCTGGGGCTGGGCTGCTCTTTCAGCCACGTGGGCTGGCTCCTGTGGACCCAGCCCCAAGGTCCCATGGGAGAGAGCATCCAGGAGCATTAAGAGAACATAGGGCTCAGCCTTGTGGTGCTGGTGGTTTTTGTGCTGATGTGGGGGCCCTGCTCCATGCTGGGTTATGTGGCAGCCATGGGCTACCTGCCTGCCACACCGGCTGCTTTTGTGGCCTCCAGCCTCTGCACCATCCTGGCCTACTCCAATTGCGCTGTCAGCCCTATCCTCTGCTTCTACCTCTCCCGCCCCTTCCAGGCAGGACTCAGGGACCTCTTCTGCAGGCCGATGATGGCCAGGCATCCCAGAGGTGTGGGAGTGGCAGCCTCAGTGGTGGCGACTGTCCAGCCTGGCCGTGACAGGGCCTCAGGAGGCCTGTGGGGCCTGGCGGGGGTCTAAGAGTATAGGCTGATGGATGCGCTGAGATTCAAGGGAGATGGGAAGACCCTTAGGGACCTGACAGCCCATCCCCTCTATTTTACCAGTGGAGAGACTGAGACCCAGAGGGCAGATGGCCCAAACAAGGTCACAAAGCAACTAAATGGCTCAGCTAGAGCTCACATCTCTAGGTAACCAGATGGATCCTCCCACTCCACTTTCAGGCTCAGATCTCTGTAGGCTCCACTGCTCTCTAATTGTGTGATCTTGAGCCTCTGTGTCTCAGTGTTCTCATCTGGAAAATGGGATGATGACAGTACATACCTTCTTCACAGGGTTGTTATGAAGATGAATTTGCTAAACACATGTAAAGTGCTTAGAAGGATGCTTAGTAAGTGCATATGCGTGCTGGTCATTGCTACTATTATTATTTTATTTGTATTAATTCAGGGGTATTTGAGGTGAGTGGACAAGAGGAGGACAGAGGGGCTTCCAAAGGCAGAGAAGTGGGTGGAGAATGATCTGGGGGGTAACAGCCTAGGGTCCTTAATCCTGAAGGCCAGGAGATTGAGTAGGGGGAGCAGAGGGCCAGCCACAGCCTGGGGGGTGAGCTCAGAGGCAGGACAGCCTTTCCCCTCTCTGCCCACCCCTCCAGCTCTGTTCCACACACCCCTCAGTCCAATAGGGGGACAAAAATCCAGTCAACCATGCAGCCATGACTCCGGGACTGTGAATGTCTGAAGCCCTCCTTTCTTCCCTGTGGCTTCTCTTCCTGAAGCACCTGGGGCAGGGATCCCTTTCAGAGCCCTTTTCTTCTCTCCAGAGCCCAATTTGAGGTTTCCATTTTTCCCACCCTCAGTGCCCTCCCTCTGGCCTGCTCAGGGCAGGCTTCAGGCTTCCATGTTGGCCTGGAAACCCGGGAGATTGTCTCTACTGAAATTCCCAAGACAGCACGTTCTGCTTGGTGACGGTGTTACCAGCAAAACACACATACACACACTGACTCTGTGATACAAAGCTTGAGAAACGTTGGGTTGAACCAAATCATACTGGTCCCTTTGCTGTAGGACTTACCAGAGCCTTGAATACCCAAAAGGCCACTGAGACTCTCGAGAGGGACGCACAGCAGGCAGGTTCCCAAACTCCATGCCAGAGAGCCAGTATTCTGTGGAACACACCTTGGGAAAGAATCCACAAGATGCTACGGTGTTGGGCACAGCAAAGATGCTCTTGGTGTCCCGTCCCGCCCCCGGCAGTGGCTCTGTGCCTCAGTCCCCCTGCCAGGCAAGCACCCTCTCCTGACACTTTCCCACGGCCCCTGTGGTGAGGTGACATGAGCTGCTGGTTATGGGAACTTCCCTCCTTCCAAGCTGTGACCCCACCCTGTTCCCACTCAAAGCATATCAGAATGTAAGTCACAGGGGCATGTAATTATAGGGACAGCCGTGAATCAGCACCCATTTACTATAAAATCATAAGAAGTAAACAAGTCCCAAACTTTGGTATAATTAGTTCCAAATTTCTTGTGATGTTCAGGGTGGGAATGGCTGCCTGGAGGGCTAATCTGGGAACAAACTTGCCCAGAGAAGGGAGAAATCCCCTTTTGCTATGATCCTGGTCCCTGATGGCCACAGGGATTTATATGTGAAGAGGAACAAGAGGAAAACAGTGTTTCTTGGGCACCTAAAATGCCATGGGTCCTGGGCGCATGTCACATATGTCACATGCAACCTTATGTACTCGTCACTCTGGCCACACGATGACCCTGCAAGGATGGGGGTGGTGGTGACGACCCCATTGCACAGGGGATGCCAGACTCCTCCTCATGGCACAGTGACTCTGGTGCCCACAGATTACCCAGCCCCTCCTGATGGCTTGGCATCAGTACCCCATGGTTGTAGTATTTCCTCGCTCACTGCCCCAGAGCAGGGGCACCCCTGAGGGTGCAATTCTGTGTGTGCATCTCCAGCATGGTCTCCAATACGTGAGTGGGGCCTGGCACTCATGTTTGGTAAATACTTGTTGAGAGATGAGTGAATGAGTGATCAAATGCAATAAAGCAATCCGTTTATTTTAGAGGAAATTCTGATGATGTTACTCACTTCTCTCACCTCCTCAATGGCTTCCCGTTTCACTCAGTAAATGCCAAAGGCCTCATCATGGCCTATGCGGCCTGTGCATTCTGGCCTCTTCACCTCTCCGACCCCATCTCTAGCACTTTCCCTTCCTGCACTCAGCTCCAGCCACACTGGCCTCGCTCTCCTGCAAATGCACCAAGGAAGCTCCTACCACAGGGCCTTTGCGCCTGCTGGTCCCTCTACTTAGAGCTCCCTTCCCCAGATATCAGCGTGGCTCCCTGTCTTACTTCCTGGGGGCTCACCTCAACCATGACCTCCTCTGAGAGGCCCTCTCTGACCACCTCATCGAAAACATCACCCTCCTTCTCCCTCATGTGTCTTTAGAACTCTTGCTACCACCTGAAATGATGTTACTAGCCTATTTGTTGATGTGTTTGCTGGGTCTCTCCCATATTATCTGTGTGTGTGTTGTAAGCCCTGTGCAGGGACAGGGTCTGTGCTTTGTTCATGGCTGCATCCTCAATGCCTAGCACAGAGCGTGGCACGTGGCCTTTGATTGTAAATCTCACTGAAGCAAACAATTGAAGGAAGCCACAGAGGAGAACTGGACCCTGTCAAGCAGCAACGTCAGTGCTATTTTTCAGAGAAGAAAGAAAAACTTCGTGCTTTACTAAAAGAACCAAATTTACTTCAGTTTAAGGCAAATTCCACACAGAGACTGTCTCAGAGACGGGCACAGAACCAGACACCGTAGAAACACCACCACCATGCATGACGGGGAAGCAGAGGCAGGCGGAAGACGGGGGCCTGGCCTGCACCAGGCACGGAGAGGTCAGTGGGCTGAGGAGCTCCATGCGGCAACAGGGATTGGCATGCATGATCTGCTCCCCGAGTGGGCAAAGGCTGGGCAGCTGGGTGGGCCCGGGAGGGAGATCCCCTTCTTCCCCACCTTTCCCACAGCAGGGGCAGGAGCTCGGGCTCAGATGCCAGAGCCCCAGGCTGAAGGACTAGGGTATGTTTGGGGTGATGGGATGAGACAGGGTGACCCAAAAGCCAAGGCGGCCTCAAGTAGGGTCACATCTGTTAGGAGTAGGATGGGGGGAACTGGGCATGGGATGAATGACCCTCAGGATGTCAGACCTAAAGGAAAACCTGGGGCCATCTGGTCAACCCTCTTGTGGTACAGACATGGAAACTGAGGCCCAAAAGGTAGAAGGGCCTTGCTTGGGTTCCCACATTAGGCAGTGGGGGGAGGCAGGGCTCAAACCCAGGACTCCTGTCTCCTAGCCTCATGGGATACAGGGCAAAGAGCAGGAGCAGTGTGGGAACGTGGGGCTGAGCCACTCCTTACTCAGGCCTCCAGATGGGCAGAGGCGTGGGCACCGAGGGCCCTGGGAAGCCTCTGGAGGGAGGAAGGGATTCCTGAAGCCAGGAGTCAACCATGGAAGTACCTGTGGGCCCACACCAGGGAGAGGCCTCCACAGGCCATCTGTGTGTCTAGAACTTGCATCGTACTGAGTTCGAGAGGCACCAGAAAGGGCTCTGTGCTGAGCAGCCTCCACTTCAGGCCCATCACATGGCCTACGGTCCATGATTACAGCACCCCATGGGGTCCCCGGGGCTCCCAGCGCATCCAGTGTCCCTGGGAGGGTGCACATGTTCAGGCCTTCCTGCAAACCCATCAGCTTCATGGGGTTCACTGGAAATCGGGCA
This sequence comes from Homo sapiens, assembly GCF_000001405.40. NCBI lineage: Eukaryota > Metazoa > Chordata > Mammalia > Primates > Hominidae > Homo > Homo sapiens. Next base: position 36,741,822 of record NC_000006.12, read on the forward strand.
CAGGATAGACCACAGGGCGGGGCTCAGGGACAGGAGTAGACACCATGGGAGGATGGGACGGAGATGGGGGGCTGGAGGAGGCCAAGCCCAGGCTTCAGGGTGACAGGTAAGCAAATAGGATTGCCGGGGGTGGGCGACAGGGACCCCAATCACCCTTATTGTTTACACCTTCCTGGCTGGGTTAGAGCCAGGTATTGGGGAAGAAGAGAAGGGCTGGGTCCCTGTGTACCCCTCTTTCACCCGTACCCCCCTAACTCCCTGGGTTTGGGCAATAAGTGAGGCCAAGAAATTGAGGAGGGGTCTTCAGAAGCCCCACCCCCTGGCAGCCTCCCAGGCACACAGATGTCCCAAAGGCCGGGCAGGCCAACTTCGGGGAGTCTGGGGCCCTGGCCTCCCATTCACCTGGCCTCTCCCAGGCCCCAGCCACCTGCCTGCTGAGACCAGGTTCAGATGTGCGTGTGCAGGGGGGACGCAGGGGGCGTGCGGGCTGGGGACTGCGAGGGCGAGTGGGTTGGTGCTGCGGGTGGGGGACGCGGGCGAATGCCCTGTGCCTTCATGTAGGACACCAGTTGGTCAGGGATCTCTGCCAGCACGTCTCGGGCCAGGCGGGCCATGCTCAGCACGTGGTTGCCTGTGCGGTCCACGTAGTCCCGGAAGGGTACAAACTGGCAAGTGGGAGGGCAGGGTCAGGCAGTGCCTCCTGTGGGACCCTGGCCCCCAAAATCTCCAGGCCTGGGGTTGCATCCCCACCCCCCTCCCAGCCTCTGCTCACTTGACTCAATCCCCCCACCTTTCTGAATTACCTGAGGGACTGTATCCCTCAACTCCCTGGGTTTGGGCAGTCAGTAACTATAGTCATAGTCACTATTCTTTCATTCACTCGACAAAAACTGAGCCCTATTCCACACCAGGACACACCACTGAACACGATTTCTCCACCTCGGCACTAAGCACAGGCTCTGAGTAGGTGCTTCCGAAATGCCAACTGAATCCCTGACTTCTGGGGCACGTGCCCTCCTGGGTTTCCCCCGACCTGTCCAGCAGAGCCCTCTCTCTCTGGCCTCTCTTCGTTCCTTTTCTCTCTGGGGCTAATCTGGCCAATGCCTAATGCCAGGCCCATCTGGCTTCTTCCCGGGGGTGCCCTCCATCCTGAGCGCCTCTTCTGGCTCACTCCTGCCTCCAGGCCTTAGCATGGGCCGGTCCCACCTCCCAGGTTGTCTTGCTCTGGTTTCCAGCCCCCTATGTTTGGTCTCCACACCTGGGATACTGGGCCCCAATTTTTAAACCAAGGGGGTATGCAGGATGTCAGCTTTGTCTTCTGCATCTCCTAAGCACTAGGGCCTCCTCTGCAGGGGATGAGTGGGGGAAGTGCTTGCGGAGGGTGCATTCTTCCACGTGAGACTGCATGGGAATTCCCTGAGGACAAAGGTCTTTCTGCTCATTATATTTGCACCGTTCATGGAGATGCTTACATTGATTCAGTTAACCGAGCAATGCCTATTCTTGGAGAAGGCTGCAGCAACACTAAAGACACTGCCTCAGCCTTCAAGGGGCAGAAAAAAACCAGAACGAGGCTGACCACAGAGGCCTGGAGGCTGAGGAAGGGCTGGCAGAGGGTTCTGGCCTCTGGCTGGGCACCCGCAATGTTAGGAGTGTGTCCCAGATGTGACAGAGGGGGGCCCAGCCCAGACCACAGCATGGCCGAGGACTGACTCCTACTCCCTTCGGTGGTGGCTGGGCCACTTTGGGGCTCCCAGTGCCTCCCTTCTGGGCCCTTCACCAGGGAAGCCCCCAAAGGGGGTGTGAGGTCCGCCTGGCTAGAGGGGCTCTTGAATTTCCCATGGGGCAGGCAAGGCCTGGGCTTCACCTGGACGATGTCGCGTTCAGCCAGCTTCCCCCGGGAGGAGATCCGCACGTCGTCGCCATCCAGCTCCACCATGGCTGTGAGGGGAGGAGTGTCATGGGGCGGGGTGAGATTAACGGTGGACCCCTGGCCCTAGCAGGAGAGTGGACTTGTCCTTTCATCCCAGGCCAATCCAGGGCCGAGACCACTGGCCCATGCCCCGTGTTAGAGATGAGGAAACTGAGGCCAGGGGCCAGGAGGAGCCCGATCAGGTGAGCCTCTGACTTTGAGCCCAGTGCTTTGGTTCACCACCCTCCCCAGACTCCCAGGGCTGGAGGAGAAAGAAGTGACTTGGGGCCTCCTCCCCACAGCCTTGGGATGTGGGTGTGGGTGCACACCCAGACCTGACACACCCTTCCCTGAGCAAACAAATGCGTCCCACACCCTGCACACTCACCCAGACACACACGCCCAGGCGGGAGCTCTCACTCTTTTGGGAGGGGTCATTCCCAGGGGACCACAGCCTCTGGGGAAACATCTGGGGTGGGGGCAGGGTTGCGTGGCTAGGGAAGGAAAGGAGGGGAAGGCAGCAGCTGGACTCACCGTCGAACTCTGCCTGGCCCACGCCGACGATAATGATGGACATGGGGAGCTTGGCAGCCTGGGAGACAGCATGGGGGGCAGGGAAAGGTTGGACCCAATTGGGACCCAGTTAAAAGGAAGGAGAAATCAGGGGTAGGACAGGAAGGGGTGGGCAGGAAAGAAATGGGAGAGTGAACATGGAGAGACAGAGAAACACAGAAAAGGGGGTAGGGAGAGGGAGGGCACTCAGAGATAAAGAGCAAAGGAAACCAGGCTGCGCCTGGAGGAGAGAGGGAGGGTGGCAGGGGGAATGGGTCATAGGTCTGCTTTGGTGAGTCACCCCCATCCCCTCTTACAGGGAGACCACCGGCTTGGGGAGCCATGTTCCTGAGCTTCCCCAACTCTGAGCCTCCCCTCCCACTCCTTTGACCTGGCCAGGCTGGCCTGGGAAAGGGGGAAGCGGTCCTAGAGATGGGTTAATGAGGGAGTCATTGGGGTCTGGAGGGAGTAGACCAGAGCGTGACTAAGAGGTGGGAACAGAGCTCACCAGCCAGATCTCTCATGATCTGGGCACCCCTTCCACCCGCTAGAATCCACTATCCAGCACCGGACTCTGCAGCCAGAGGCCAGAAGGTGGATGAGGGCAGTGGGGCCCAGTGAGGCAGGGAAATGAGAAGCCACGCCCAAGTCATCTCCAAGCATTTCCCTAAGGTCAAGGAGGTAGGCACATCCCCAGGGTTCCCCTAACGGGGAGGAAGACACTCCTCAAACCGCCTCCCCCACCGCACACTCCTTGCTTACGTTGACAATGGCCTCCTTGGTCTGCGCCATGTCCGAGATGACCCCATCAGTAATGATGAGCAGCACCGAGTACTGGGAGCCATCCTGCACGGCCGCTGCATTCCTGGGTGGGGCAGGTGTGGGCTCAGGTCTGTCTGCGGGACCTCTGGGCATGTTCCCCCCTAAACAAGGACCCTGAACACTTTGGAGGGTGACAGCTCTTGGGGGAATCTCTTCAGGGTCAGGGCTCCCTGAAAGGCAAGTGCGTGGGAAGAGAAACCCCCTCCCACCACCCAGAGGCAGAGCTGGTGTGGAAACAGAGGCCTTGTGAGTGCCTGGAGGCGGTGGCAGCGGCACTCACCTGGCCACGTGGGTGACCACGGGGGCAAAGTTGGTGGGGCCGTACAGCTGCACAGTGCGCAGGCTGCGGTGGTAGGCCTCCAGGATGCCGTCGATGCCACAGCATGAGGGGTTCTCCTGGTTGCCATTCTGGGGGACAGAGGGCAGGGAGGCTGAGCCCAGGAAGGAAGGACAGGGGTGCACGATGTGTGGGAACTGAGTCCAGGTGGGGAGGCCAGCAGGCCTGGGCTCCCCCAGGTCTTCTCTGGTGTGGGGTGGCGGGGCAGGGGAGGGAGCTCCCAGGGCCCATCCTGAAGCAGTGCATGCTTCAGGTGAGCTGGGTCCAAACCTGCTCCTTACCCGGCTCCCTGTACCTGTTCAGAGATGCCCCAAGATCCCTGGCTGCTTCCCTCAGGGAACCTTGGGTAAATCCACTCTGCCCTAAAATGACTGCTGGGTCTCAGCAACTCAGGAAGGACCTGTGGCTGATCTGTCCACGTGCACACTGGGCCCAGCACAGCACCTTGCACCCTCAGGCATGGGAGGGACGTCTGCTGTGCCTGAGTGTCCCCAGCTCGTGGGAGCCAGGGAAAGGGGTGGCCTGTGCAATCATCTCCACAGGGCCCGGGATGCCCAGATGACGCCATGCTCCACATCACCCTGGAGATCCACGTCATCCCATCTCAGCACTGACTCAGGGATACCCAACCCACACCACCTTGTTCACTTTTCTGGGGCCCTGAGGGATGGGTCAGCCACAGCTCGCCTCCACCTGCACCTGCGTCTTGTCAGGAACAAGGAAGCCAGGGCCAGCTGTGGGCAGGCAGCTTCAGACATGGAGGGGCAGCATCTGTGATCAGGGAAGGGAGTGGATTTCTGGAGCCCCCCTACACACAGCAGGCAGTCTACCTCCACTGAGGCTGAGCCTTAAGTCCCCGGGCTCAGAGGAAGGGAAACGTCCCCCCACCCCCAGCTTGTCACCTCACCCCCAGCCTGATCAGTCCTCTCTCCCACCAGCGGGACCACCTACCAGTGGGAACTCGTGGGACACTCTGCCATCCGGGGGCAGCTTGGCCCCGAAGCCCAGGGCAGGGAACATCTTGTCACTGTCGTAGTGCTGGATGATCTCTCCGACGGCAGTCAGCGCCAGCGCGTAGGCGTTCAGCTGGTAGGGGCTCATGTAGTGCAGGGATGTGGACTGTGAGGGGTTCCCTGTAACACAGGACATGGGAGCCTTTGACCATCTGGACCCTCCAAGTCACCCCGGGTTCAGAATGAAGAAGGGGGTGTCCAAGGGCACCCCTAACTTTTATTAATTCTTGACTCCTCTCTTTCTCTCATACCCCATGTTAAATCCTTCAGCAAAACAGATCTAGAATCCCTCCTCCGCCTCTCCTCCTCCCCATACCACCACCCTCTTGCTTATAGGATGCAGCAGTCTCCTAACTGATCTCCCACTTCCTTCTGCCCCTGTGCCTCCAGCCCATATCCAGCACAGCAGTGACTGAGCCTATCCGCCTCAGAGAGATCATGCCTCTCCTCTGCCCAAAACGCTCAATGCCTCCACCTCCCCCAAAATGAAACCCAAAGTCCTCACAAGAGCCCGCAAGCACTCATGATCTGGCCTCCAGGTCATCTCCTACCCTCCTCCCTGTCACTCGCCAGTCCCAGCCTCACCAGCCCCTCGCCATTCCCACCTCAGGACCTTGGTGATGGCTGTTCCCTCTACCTGGGACACTCTTCCCCAGATGTCCACTCCCTGGCCCGCTCCCTGGCCTCTTCAGGTCTCTGCTCAAGTGTCACCTCCTCAGTGTGATCTTTTCCAAGCAGCCTATTAAAAATTACAGCCTCCCCCAATCCTTCCTATCCTTCTTCCTGGCTTGATTTCCCCCCCCAGAGCCCTCTTCGCTGCCAATATAGTCTGTATTTAACTTATTTGTTCATTGATGGGAGGTAGTACAGCACAGATTGCCAAGGTACCAATCCTGTCTACCTCCTGCTAGTTATGTGATCTTGGGTAAGTTCCTTAACCTTAGCCTTAGTCTCTTCACCTGTAAAATCAGAGCAATAATAGTTCCTACTTCATAGGATTGATGTGAATATTACACAGATGCTATCGATATTATGATAACTATCCTCAGTGTTATTATTACTAAGGCCCCTTCCAGCTCTGATAGCCCAGTGCTCTATGATGCTAGGACTTACAGCTATAAGAGGAGCTCCTGACACCTGTAGAGGGCAAGACCTGGGCATTTTTGATTGGTGCAAAAATTAGCACTGAGCACCCCTAATAGAGCCCAGAGCCCAAGGGAGGTTGTGATGTTTCTAATCATGTAAAGTTGGGCACTGTTATTGCTCCTAGTGACTCAGCCACAGGCTGACACTGGAGAAATTGGGAGGAGGTAAGGAAGCCAGGGCAGCCCCAGCCAGGTAAGGACTGGGGTCCCTGGGCTGGATCCTGCCTCCCTGAACACCACAGAGCTCAGCCTTGGCTCTGATTCTCCACTCCAGCCTGTGGGTTGGACTGCACAGAGGAGCTGGGATTTGATCCCGGGGGGAAACATCTCCAGGGCCCTCCATAGGCCCAGAGTACACACAATCCCATTCCCCCAGGGAGACTGGGTGTTCCTCAAGGACAAGGCTGTGGCTCAGAGCCCAGATTTATGTCAATGGTCCAACCTGGGGATACTACTGCCATCTTGGTTGTATCTTTGGTCCTCCAGACCTAGGTACATCCTCTTTGGTGAGGAAGAGGCCAGAGAGTATGAGGGTCATGGTCCCAGCCAGGGCCAGATGCCACAGCCCTTAAAAGCTCTCTCCTCCCACCCTGCTCCTCTACCCATCCCCCAACTCACCATTGGAGGCAGTGAAATCAATGGCCACAGTGAAGTTGATCTGGGTCCTAGAAGAGGGAGAACAGCAGGGGAGTCACCTGGAGGGAGGCAGGGCTGTGGGAGGGGGGACAGTGCTAGACATTGGCTACCACCCTGGCTCTGCTGCTTGCCAGGTGTGTGGCCTTGGTGAAGTCATTCATCTCTTTCTAGTTCTGGAGAGCTGAGATAGTAATGCCAGCTATGCCCCCCTTACAGGATTAATGAGCATCAGAAGAGTTATGCAGTAGGAAAGCTCTTTGAAGATGATTGTGTTCTGTGTGGGCATGTGGCTATGGTCACTTATTTCCTCCACAAACCCTACCCCCTGGGCCCACCTGTGTAGGCTGGGTGAGGTTGGGTCTCATTGGATTGCTGACTCAAATTTGGAGTGAGATTCAGGACGAAAACTCATTTGACAAAAAAGAGAGTCAAATAGACATTATGCATCTCCTAAAGAAAGAATAGAATACCACCCATGAAGTTGTCTTACCAAAAAATTGAACCTGATTCTGATTGAGGCTCCAGAGCTGTCTAGTTAGTTACAGGAAATACAAGGGACAGAGGAACACATTAAATGACACCACAGGAGATGCAGCCAGCAAAATCCAGTCTTTGGGAAACTCTGTAGAAGCACTACCAGAGACAGCAGCAGCACCATCTCCTGGGAATATGCTGGGCCTCTCAGACTCTATCTAGCTCTCCTGAATCTTTTTTTGGAAAAGAGGTCTCGCTCTGTCACCCAGGCTGAAATGCAGTGGCGTGATCACAGCTCACTTCAGCCTCAACCTCCTGGGCTCAAGCAGTTTTCCCACCTCAGCCTCCTAAATAGCTGGGACCACAGGCACGCACCACCACACCTGGCTTTTTTTTTTCTTTTTGCAGAGATGGGGTCTCATTATATTGGCCAACCTGGTCTTGAACTCCTGGGCAAAAGTAATCCTCCTGCCTCAGCCTCCCAAAGTGCTGGGATTACAGGTGTGAGCCACCACATCTGGCTGAATATTAGATTCTCTTGGTGGGGTACAGGAATCTGTGTTAGCAAGCCATTCAGGTGCTTGGGGGGAATGAATAGATGAAAAGAGAATTAAGAGACCAACCCACCAATCACAGCCTATGGCTCTTGCCTGGATTTCTGACTCAAACAAACCAATTTTAAAACTATAAGATAATTGGGGAGATGTAAACATTTACTAGATATTTAGTATTAAGGAATTGTTAATTTTTTAGGTGTGGTTATGGTATTGTGGTTATGTTTGATAAAGAGAGAGTCCTTATGTTTTAGAAAGACATCCTAAAGCATTTGGGGATAAAATATGATGGCTGGGATTTGCTTCAAATTGGATATTGGGAGCCTGAGGTGGGAGGATTGATTGACACTAGGAGTTCAAGGCCAGCCTGAGCAACATAGTGAGACCTCAAAAATAAAAAAAAAAAACCCACTAAAATAAAAAATAATAATAAATGACTGAATGAAGGGTGGAGTGCATGAAACAAGACTGGCTATGATGTGGTAATGGCTGAAGCTGGGTGAAGGGTACTTGCATGTTGATTATACCTTTTCTCCACATTTGCATGTGTTTGACGTTTTCTATAATAAAAAGTTAGGTTTTGAGGATTCAGATTCAGGCTTGAGACTTTCTGAGGGCTTGGCCATTCTAGGTTCTCTGCCGGGTCCAGACAGAACAAAGCTGACAAACACAAGTCCCTGATAAAGTCTAGTCTTATGGTTCTCACACGGCAGTGAGCATAGAATCACTACGGGTGCTTGCTTAAGAAGATTCCAGGGCTCCACCCCAGAAATGCCAATTGAGTTTGTCTGGAGTGGCTCCCAGAATCTACCTCTTGAAAAAATGTCCACTGCCTTCATCCAGGGATTATGAGGACACGAGGCTGGGATAACGCTGGGGAAAACTCTGTTCTAGTAATTCTTAGTTGGGGCTATGGATGATGTAAGATCAGGTAGGCCTCACCTCACTTGCATTTAGCAGAAGGTGCCTATCAGAAACCACAGCTCTATCAGCCCAAGATCCCTGTCACAGACACAGCAGAAGGTCCCTATCAGAAACCACCTGATCACAGCTGAGCTGCTGCTCATGGAACCCTCACTCACCCCCAGGGAAATGTCAAGGACATGGTTAGCAGGAGACCCCAGCCAGGGTCTGCTGGCCACAGACAGTCATCCCCACCTCTTTCTCCTCTTCTGCTGGCTGGGGGCAGAGCATCCAGAGGATTCCAGGCAGTAGGATAGAAGGAGCCGCAAAGCTAGCAAGAACCTGGGTCCCTGAATGACTGCGTGGATCATCTCCCCACCCAACCCTGCCATCCCACAGATGAAAAACAGACCTTTATTGGTATGAAGGCTTGAGGTTAGGGAATTATGTGTTACAGCAGTTGACCTACCATACTCATCTGCTGTTTGTTGTCACCCCCGCTTCAGTGTGGAATGTAGAACGCATGTCTTTGTTAGAGGTAGGGAGACATTTGGAGGGTGAAAGTCCCGCTCCCAGGGCCACTCTTGGGAAGATGATTCTGGCCTGTGGGACTATACTGGAGGGACACTGTTGGACTGGCTCTTCCAAATACAGGGTGAGGGGAAAGGCAGGCCTTGCTCTAACTAGTCCTCCCCTGCCCTGGGTTCTGAAAAGCCTTGGGAAAGGAAGCAATTGGAAAGCAGATCCTCTTGTGGGAAAATTACTCGCAGCAGCCTAGTGTCTCCTGCCTAAGGGTAGAACACAGGCTGCTGAGCAACCAGCTCCTCCTCTGACAGTGGGGCCAAAGTACCCATACCCTTCCTCCTGGGTCCAGGTGGGCAGGTGAGGGAGGCCAGGGAGGAGAGGATCCCTAGACATCAGCTTCCTGCCTGGGCATGCATGCCAGGCTCTCAGTCCCTGGAGCCAGCTCCCTCACTCAGGCTCTCCAGAGAGTTTAAAGAGAGGGCTGGCTCTGGGGCTATAACCTGCCCAGTATGGGTGGCACCAGCTTAGCTCAGCCTCTGAGGGCTCCTTTTCGATGAAACCTCACAGCATCCAGCCCTTTAACTCATCAGTCTCCATCTTCATCCCACCCCACCCGCTAACTGCAAGTCAGGCAGGCTAGACTGATTCATTACTATAGAATGAAAGGCAGCATGTTATGGGAGAAGGAACCCTGCCACCATCTAGGCGTGTGGCTTCAGGCAAGCTCTGTAAAATGGGGATAACTGTTCTGATCCTGCCCACTGTGTTCTGTAAGTTGGGGGTACTATGCAAATGAAAAAAATAAATAGGATGGACTGGGTGTGGTGGCTCATGCCTGTAATCCCAGCACTTTGGGAGGCCGAGGCAGGCGAATCACCTGAGGTCAGGAGTTCGAGACCAGCCTGGCCAAAATGGTGAAAGCCCGTCTCTACTAAAAATACAAAAATTAGCTGGGGGTGGTGGCGCATGCCTGTAGCCCCAGCTACTCTACTTGATAGGCTGAGGCAGGAGAATTGCTTGAACCCAGGAGGCGGAGGTTGCAGTAAGCCGAGATTGTGCCACTGCACTCCAGCCTGAGTGACAGAGCGAGACTCTGTCTCAAAAAATAAATAAAATAAAATAAAATAAAATAAACATAAATAAAAATAAACAGGATGAGGGGTGTTTGAGAGTTACCAGGTGCTATGGACTGTAAGGGGTGGCTGATTAATGGGATTGAGAGGGAAGCAATTTTGATGGGGGAAGAGTGCAAAGGCGGGGTCTGGAGTCAGCCCAGAGGAGGGGCAGGTAAGAGCAGAGGAGCTCCTGAGTGACTGGAGGCAGGGTGTGTGCTCAGTGGGTAGGAGGAGAGCTTGCAGCCTTGAGACTGCAAGCTCAAGGCAGCAGGGAGTGTTGTCATGGGAAAGTGAGTGTGGCTTCCCAGGACCTGACTTCTCCCTCTGCCCTGGAGAACCAGGCAGCCAAGGGTCCACTTGGCTGGGATGAGCCTTTGGCAGTTGCTCCTGCCTGTCTCCTTTCCAGACAGGTGCAGTCACTCACCTGCGGGCTCTTGGCTGCCCACGCCCTGACCTGGCACCTGTCCTGGCAGGCAGCATGCTGGGCAGGCTCTACCCTTAGAGCCAGGCTCTTTCCGTGAGCTGCTGGCTGGGGCCTCCTGGCTCCCCCATCTGTCTGGGCCTAGACACTGTGCCTGGTGGTTCTTTCTGCTCCTTAAACTCATGTTTGACCACCTGCTGGCCCCAGGACCAATCCCTGGCTTATCCCCAATCCCGCTGCCCTTACAGGGCCCTAATAACAGTGAGCAGGTTAATCACTGTCCCCCTCCCCCAACCAGACAGATCAGAGGTGTCAGAAGCTCAGAGCTGTAAGGAACCTTAACACTTACCTATTCCGTTCTCTTTGTGTACAGAGGAGGAAACTGATACCCTGAGAGGAAAAATGACTCACCCAAAGGAACCCAGCAAATTAATGGCAAAGAGAGGCCTAGAGCCTGGGCCTCCTGACTCCTATTGCAGGGTTCTTTCTACATCCCCAAGCCCTTGGCTTTCTGTCACGGAGTCCCTACCAGCTCCAGGTCCTGTCTCTGCATGGAGACCTGACATGACCCAGGCCAGCCTCCTTGGCTCAGGAGTTCCCTCCAAGCTGCTTGGGATCTGGGGATGTGCAGGGCTCTGGATGAGTTGTCTCAGCCCAAACACCAGGGTTTGCTCAGAGCCCAGCACCACAGCCTTCAACCAGGGCTTTGAAGAGGCCAGGGTGGGGCCAGAGCCGGTCCTGTCGGTGTGTGGGGCCCTTTCCCTCTCCCCAAGGCCCATGAAATTGGCTGTATCTCTTCTCACCCTCCTTTGATGTAGTCAAGGAAGGTGCACTCTGACTCCACAGCAAAGGAAAGCAGGGTGACCTTCAAAACAAAAGGGAGCTTGGTCAGTGGGGAGCCTGGGGTCAGGGGAGATGGGTTATGATTCGAGAGCTGACATTGACAGAACACTCGGCATGTGCCAGTTTTGCATGCATGACTGCATGCACTGCCCACACCACCCCATGAAGTACTATTATTATCCCCACTTTATAGCCAAGGAAACTGAAACCCAAAGAGGTGGTGCAATGTGCCCAAGGACACTGCCAGGGCAGAGAAGGGATCTGAAACCAGGGTGTGTCTGACTTCAGAGCCTGCACTCTTGACCTTGACGGAAGGGTCCCATCTGTGTCAGTGGAACCGGGGTCCAAGCCAAGGGTGTTAGTTTCCTCTAAGTGGGCACTGGCTCTTCAGCCCCAGGGACCTAGGGTGGGGTGTGGAGGACAAGGGGGCCCTCCTGGCACAGGCCTAACAACCTGCCAATGCCGACCAGCTTCAGGCTTCCATGTGCCTAGAGCTATTAGTCCTGAAATGTGCCTCTTTGGACTGTGCTTATCTTAAATCTTACTGGTCCCATCTCATCCCTCTCAGACCCAAGATCCTGCCTCATAAGTAGCCCATCCTTTTCCCCAGAGGTAACTGACTACCCCAGGCCCCCTCCCCCAAGCAGAGGCCTTTTAACCTATGCCCTGGCAAAGTTAGCTTTGGCTTTGCCAAGACAGGCAGCTACCTGGCAGCTCATTATCATAACAATTTAGAATCAAGGAGACAAATGAAAGCCTGGCATCCTAGGCCAATTATATGAGACAAGATTAGGGCAGAGGACCTTTCACCTGTGTAAGAGAACGAACTCCTCTCTGGTAGTTTGGGAGCCCCCTATTCATGAAGATTCAGCTGTTTTTACAGGCTCATTGGGAGGGCCAGGTGAGAGCACCACCCTTACTTGGCAGTAAGACCCCCAGCTATTGTGGTTAAGGTATTAGGCACCTGGATGAACCACAGGCCTCCTTCCAAGTGTGGCAGCTCAGACTTACTAGGAACCACGGCAGTGGCTTCAACCCTGACTGATGACCATGAGATGCCCTGGGGGCTCTTAGATCATCCTGCAGCCCAGACCCATTATAGCCGAGTTTCCGGGGCTACATGAATGTTTCAGAGATCTTCTTTTTTTTTTTTTTTTTTAGCTCTTCACGTAAGTCTAATCTGCAGACACAGTTGACCACTCCCCATTCCAACCCCCAGGATGAAGCAATGCCCTAACTGCCCTGACCATATGGGTTCACCCAGGGGCTCGCAGGGTGAAAGCAGACTTTCCCCTATTCAAAGGGTAGTGTCCCTAGACCAGAGCGTCAGCATCACCTCGATGCCAGGTAGAAATGCAGAAATGCAGATTCTTGGCATTTTCACAAGATCCCCAGGGGATTCTGCACACCATAAGTAAGGGATGAAAAGCACTAAACACAGATTCCTGGGCCTCCTAAAGTGGAATCCCAGGGAACTGGCCTGGGCGTCTGTATTTCAGCAAGCTTTCTGCATCCCGGGTGATTTTTCGCGATGAAGATGGGGAAATGCTGGAGTAAAAGGAAAGTCAAGAGACCTGGGCCTAGGCCCGCTCTGTCTCCAGCTCACTGTGTGACCTGGGACAAATCGCATGCCCTCTCTAGGCCACAGTTTCTTCGTCTCTAAAGTAAGAAGGCTGGATGAGATCAGTGGTTTTTGAACCTTTTTATTCCCAGCTGGGGAAGGTGCTGTCTTCCCTAGGGGAATTTAGGAAGGCGTGGGAGAATTTTGGGGGTTCTCATAATGACTGGGGCTCTACTGGTAGCTATGGGCAGCAGCCAGGGGTGCTAAACATCCTGTGAGATGAAGAATTTTCCTGCCCAAATGCTGACAGCCTCTCCACTAAGAAACACCGCAGCCTTGGACAAAGGAAATATGACTCCAAGCCCCAGTCTGTGAAGCAGTTACAATCAAAGAAGTGGTGTTCAGTCCCCTTTGAATGAGCAGAGTAATTTTACAGTTCACAAGCCTGCATCTCCCATGTGTCTGTCACAGCTGCCCTGTGCAGTGGCAAGGTGGGGATGATTTATTAGTCCTACTTTACAGACGGAGAAAATGAGGCTTCTCAGAGGAACCCCAGAGCTCCTGAAAACCTCTTCTAGGTCTGGAGATACAGTCTGCCTGACTCAAATGACCAGGCTTGGCTGCACTAGCCATGGGCCTCTAGAGTGAGGAAGGAACACAGAGAGGATGAATCTGGGTGTGTTTGCACTGCAGAGAAAGTGGCTTGTTCTAGAAATGCACTGTGAGCTCCACCTCAGGGCCTTTGCATGTGCTGTTCTCTACAGCAGGAATGCTGGAATTCCCTTTCCCCAGTATCCTCAATACTTCCTCCATTGCCTGTCCCTTTACCCTTTATACTTTTTCCATAGCTCTCATAATCAACTGACACACACAGGCATGTGTGTGTGTGTGTGTGTGTTTTTTTTTTTTCTCTGTCTCCTCCCACTAGAATATAAGCACCAGGGATTTGGGTCTGTCTTGTTTCCAGCTGTATCTGATGTGCCTAGAATAGTGCCTGGCACACAGTAGCACTCAGTAAGTATTTGCTGAAGAAGCGTATGAATGTCCTCAAGACCAGCCCCGAGAAGCCACTAGGCCGGCGTGTCATCCCAGGAAGGTCACGGTTAAGCAGGGGCAGCGCCCGTAGCAGCTGCCAGCTCTGGAGTGAGATGTCATGTTGAGTCCCATCTCTACCACTTTCTAGCTGTGTGACCTTGGCTGAGTCACTTTCCTGCTTGCAGCCTTGGTTTCCTCTTTCATGACTAGGGGATGATAATATCTGCCTCTCAGGGCAACAACCTGTGAAAAGCACCAACGTGGGGAATTTCCCAGGGTAGGGGCCCAATAAATACGACTTCTCTTCCTCTTCCTTCCTGCAGGAAGTCCCGTGGATGTCTCTGCGATTCCTCATGCTAGATACAGCCAGCGCCTGTTGTGTGGTCTGCAAGTCAACTCTCTCCCCTGGCTGTTGCTCCATCTGCCCCACCCCTCCCCACCCCATCTCTCTTGGATGTCTGATTCCCACGCTCAGCCCCTGCACACACACAGACGCACGGGCCTCCCTGATACCAGACCTAGCTTGGGGCTCAGAATGTCTACACCCGGCTGCAGAGACCGGGGTGGCTACTCACTGTGCCAGAATTCACGTATTTCTTTTTCTTCATTTTCTTTTTCGGGTTTACCACCTGCAGGAAAAACCAGTTACCAGGTAAGGCATGCTTCCAGGCAGTCAGGGTGAGTCTTGAGGGCTTCCAACCACCCATGGGTGTGGTCCAAGCCCAGCCCCATTAGAGTGTGGGGTGTGAAGACCACGGGGCCAGGGGAGAAGGGTTTAAGGAGGATTTGTGGGAGACTGGTATTGAGTCTGGGTTACACAACTGGGTTCTCCCATCAGACCCAGGGTCCCACGATCAACCGGGAATATTTATTTAACCTTCTCTCCCACTGTTCCCCGGAACACACGCACCCTCCACCCAGTATAGCCAAAGAAGTCTTGATGTTGCAAAGCGGCCCTATCTGTACCTGTCCCTTGTGTTGGTTGAGGCTGCTCCCCTCACCAAAAATGCACCCCCTTCCTCTCTCAGCCAATTCCAATCTCCCCTGTTCCTCCTTTGGGACCCAGCCCAAGGGCTGCCCAGGGCCTCTGAGGCTCCCCTCTCCATCACCATCCCTCTTACTTGGCAGCAAGAACCTCTTTAGCTATTCTTTGAGTGTAAGCTTTAACTTCCAAACCAGACCTGTGTCAGATAAATCATGGGGCTAGGCTCAGAGTAGGTGCTCAGAGAAGGCTTGTTGGTGGCTAACTCAGCGGTCTCAACCAGGGGCGATTTTACCCCCAGGAACGTTTGGTAACATCTGGAGACGGTTTTGGTTTCCACAACTGAGGGGGTGAGTAGAGGCCAGGCATGCTGCTAAACATCCTACAGTACACAAGACAGCCTCCCACGGCAGGGAGTGATGCAGTCCCAAATCCCAGTAGTGCCAAGGCCAAGACTGGGCAAAGTGACGAGAGCCACCCAGCCCTGAGGCCCCCCACGAGACTTCCGCACTTACTGTATTTGTATTCTCATTTGACCCTCGCCAGTTTTTCTTTGTTTTGTTTTTAATAAGGGAAGTCTAGGCACAACTTTTCCCTAATGTCCCATCAAACAAAGCCAGGCAATTTTCATACCTCCTGTGCTGCCTGTTGGTTTCTGGTGAACTCATTTCCCCTTTCCCTGTCTTTGTTCCCACAGAGGCCGTCAGCTGATCTTTACCGTGGTCTCTTCTGTCTGGGTGAGTATTGCTATCTACTTCCAGCAAGAAGGAAACTAAAGCACAGCGACACCAGGTGATTTGCCTAAAGTCACACAGCCATCTGGGTAGTGACAGGATTAGAAACCAGGTTTCCTGCCCCCGGGCCAGTGGTGCATACATTGGTGCCACCTTGATAACAGATACAAACAGATCTCTTTGACATACATTTATGGGGTGGGTGGAGACATATATTGCTTCTCCCCTGGAATCATCTATCACCTATGTTGGAGAGAGAAGATATGTCCTCAGGGCAAAAAGTGACAAGGGCCATGGAACAAGGGGGATCACAGAAGTGTCAGGGGAGTTAGAGGAAGGAAAGACCACTCTAGGTGAGAGTGTCAGCAAAGCCTCTCTGGAGCAGGAAGTCTTGAAGGCAGACTTAGAGGCACAGGAAGGCTCTGGGCACGGAGAGATGGATGTCAGAGGAGGTTCTGTGGGAGAAATGAATAGAACCCAGGCCCAGTTTGATGGCAGAACCACAGGGTGGAAGAGTAAGCTGGGCTGGTTGGAGGAGAGCCTAGAATGCCCAGTGAAAAATGTCTGAATGTCACCCAGCGGCCTGCAGGGAACTCTGATGACCCCCAAGCTGGTAGGAGACAAAATCAGAGCAGGCTCTAGGACACTGGGGCCTGGTGGAGGTGAGTGTGAGGGGAGGAGGAGGCTCATCCAGGAAATATTTGCCTAGTTCTGCCACCTAATAATAGCTGTGTGACCTTAGGCAGGTTACTTAACCTCAATGTGCCTCAGTCTCCTCATCTCTAAAATGGGAATAAGAAGTACCTGCCTCCCGGAAAGGTATGAGGATTAAATGGGCCAATGCAAGCAAAGTGCCTAGAACAGTTTGGAATGTAGTAAGTATTATCTATACGTGTCTGTTGCTTTTTTCTAAGACGGGGTCTTGCTCTATGGCCCAGGCTGGAGTGCAGTGGTGGGGTCATAGCTCACTGTGGCCTCAACCTCCCGGGCTCAAGCAATCCTTCCAGGTAGCTGCCACCATGTCTGGCTATTTTTTTTTTTTTGGTAGAGATAGGATCTCGCTATGTTACTCTGGCTGGTCTCAAACTCTTGGGCTCAAGCAATCCTCCTGCCTCAGTCTCCCAGAGTGTTGGGATTACAGGCGTGAGCCACTGCACCCAGCCTTAGTTGCTATTTTTCAAAATTACTACTACTATTATTACTGCCACCATAAGTCCATGCGAGAGGTCATGAGGACTTGGGGGTATTGGGACAGGTGCTGAGCTATGGTGAGAACAGCGCTGTCAAGAAGTGACCACGCCTCTTGGGCCCTGGGCGTGGCTATAGAGGTTCGAGAGAGGGAGGGGTTGGGGTGACCAGGTAGACACAGAAGGAAGGCGCTGGATTTGGGGCACAGGTGGGAAGTTCACGTGGGAGGTCTGGCAAGCTGTGCAGGTAGAAACTGAGGGCCTGGGCGAGATGGTGAGAGAGCCCGGGAGAGAAGACCAGAGCACCCTCTTTAGCACTGGAGGACGCCCCCTCCACGGGGTTACCCAGATGGTGAGGTGCTCACGGACACATTCATGGGAAAACAGCTTAAGTAGGCAAGCTGTTAAGATGAGGGCAAAATGGCAGCCCCAGTGCTGCACTGTGCCTCAGTTTCCCAATCTCTCCCTTGAGGGTGTTGAACTATCGGAATGGACAGCATCTCAAACTTTTGCTCCAACATAGCCCTCCCAGCTGGGGAGAATGAACCCGGAGTCCTGAGAGTAACCAAAGATTTGGCCACAAGCATGTTTCTTCTAAGCTTTCTATGTTATCTTTAAATTAGCCTGTATTCCACATTTCCACTCTCTGATATAACTGCTTTAATGTTAAAGCAATGTTCTGTTCTCAGATCCCTGTTTACCCTGAGGTTTCATGCTCCCAGCCTCAGCCTCTCCAGCCCCGCCACGGTGAATCCCATGCAGGGGGCCAGCGCCACCTAGGGGCCAGCCGAGGAGCTGCCCCTCCACTAAGTCACCTCCCTTCTTCTTGGTGGTCAGGCGGGGACAGGACAGGTCTGGAATCTGCCCTCCTGCGCACATTAGGTGGGGTGGGTGGGGGCACTGAGGGGCTCCTAGGGGCCAGGAGCTGTGCTGGCTCTGGGGATGCAGCAGTAAGTGCAACACAACCCCCACCCTGAGGACTTCAAGGTCTTTGAGGGGTTGAATAGTGTCACAAAACAGAAAATAGCCAGAAGGAACCCCAGGAGCACTGACAAGTGTCCACTCCAGGCTCTGGGGTGGGGCGGGTGTGCAGGTGGACACAACTTCCTGGAGGAGGAACACCCACAGGGAGGCTCCGTGGACCAATAGCTCCTACCCAGGAGAAGACAAGAGGGAGTCTCAGGTGGAGGCACCCATATGAATCGAGCCCTGGAGGCTGAGACAGCACGGAGGTTCAGAGAGCCTCAGGTGGCAGGACGGGGATGAATGTGGGAATGGGCAGAGGGAAGGGGCAGGGGCCAGCTCCTAGGGGCCTCCAAAGGCATGTGATGTGTGTTTTTATTTACATGCACAGCCAGGCGTGGTGGCTCACACCTGAAATCCCAGCACTTTGCAAGGCCGAGGCGGGTGCATCACCTGAGCTCAGGAGTTGGAGGCCAGACTGGGCAACATGGCAAAAACCCATCTCTACCAAAAATGCAAAAAAAAAAAAAAATCGCCAGGGTGGTGGTGTGTGCCTGTGGTCCCAGCTACTTGGGAGACTGAGGTGGGAGGATAGCTAGAGCCTGGAAGTAGAGGTGGAGGTTGCAGTAAGCCGAGATTGTGCCACTGCACTCCAGCCTGGGTGAGAATGAGACTCCATCTTAAAAAAAAAAAAAAAGCACGCATACACAGATTGCGGGTGGCTGGCTGGGGAAACAGCATCCCAAATGAAAGAGCTTGGAACTTCACCCTGTAGGTCAGTGGATCTCAGCTGCGGTGGGAGCATCTTTCAGTATCTCTTCCCACCTCCCATGTGCGAACCAGGCTAAGGAGGTGGGTGGAATGCCCTACACAGATTTTAAGCAGGGGAGCGATGTGATCAGATCACTATTTTGGTGGAGTACGCTGGTTACTGTGTAGAGGACAGAAGGAAGAAAGGAGGCTGTGGCAAAGCCCCATAAGGGGGGAGATGATGAAGTTGGTGGTGGTGGCCTGAGATGAGGGGAACGATGTCAGAAAACATGGGTGGTAGGCGAGCAGTGTTTGCTCGTGGACTGGATATGGAATGAGGGATGGGGAAGTTAAGTATGACCCCTAAGGTGCCCTGAGCCCCCATGATGGGAATATTTGAGATGAAGCCGGCTCGCCAGGAGGACGGGAGTGCTGTGGGAGGTTTAGCTAATGTGTTCAGTTTTGGAAGGCTGAGCTACAGGAAGGGCCAGCAGACAGCTGGACATAGGAGCCTGACACTAGGGCAATGCCAGGGCCCGAGGCACAGGTCTTTACTGGCTGGAGCCTGTTCCCTTTTCAGGCAGTTCTGATTCTAGCAAGGCCTTCCTGCCCCAAACCAGCCTCCCCCTGGGACTGCCAGAGCTGTGCTCCTTTTTCAGCTGATGGCCTTCCGATGTGTGCAGACAGTGCTTCTGCCTCCCAGTGTGGCACTTTCTCTTGTTGATTACAAAGAAGCAGGGATCAACAACTGAGAAAACAAGTCAATTGAATGCTTTCTGCTCTTAGCCCGAGAGAAACAGCTCCTTCTGGGCCTGTCAAGCACCTTTAGAAGCCAAGCTCGGAGAGATCTGACCCCTTCCCTTCACCTCCCTAAATCTCCTCAAAGGAGGCCAGAGAATGGTGGCATCTGCTTCTCTCTGACTGGGGTGGGGCGGGGGAGCGGGGACAAAGACAGCTTCTCTCTTTGCAGATGCAGAAAACAAAGCAATGTACTGTATTAGAGCCCTTTCAAATAAATTCATCCACACTCCATCTTCACAATAGCCATGTTCAATCTCATTCAGCATGCGAATGTATAACACACCTACTGTGTGCCCGGCAGTGCCCTGGCCAGTGAGGGGAGGCAACAGACAGGGCTGTCACCTCACCAGCCCTTGGAAAGTCTAGTTGGAACACAAGACCTGCCCACTCAGAACCGACATGCAGGGCAAAGGAGTGGGGGTAGCATGGGATTTGGATTCAGTGATGGAACTCAAGGCCAGCTCTTCAACTTTGCTGGCTGAGTGGCTGCTAGCATGAGGACAGTGCCAGGATGGTAGGATGGTTGTAAAATGTGAACCTCTGGGCACACAGTGCTCAGCAGATGGTGACAGAAGACAGTGCTGACCTCTGGGTCAGGCATTGTTCCATTAACTTATTTAATTCTCAGTTTGCATGGCACAGAGTAGTTCAGAGACTTAGCCAAGGTCACGTAGCTAGTAAGTGGTAGAGTCAGGATACGAACACAAGCAGTTATTTGGGTTATAAGTATCTGCCATTAAGTGGGTTTGGCATGAACCATGATGTCTGTGGAAGTTCAGACAAGAAAGCACGGGGACAAGAGTGGCTGGGAAGACCTCACAGAGGAGCAGGACCTGAGCTAGATTTGGAAGGTGGGGAGGGAATTGCAAAAGGGAGAGCACACAGTAGAACGCGGTGGCTCAGGCCTATAATCCCAGCACTTTGGGAGGCCAAGGCAGGAGGATCGCTTGAGCCCAGGAGCTCAAGACCAGCCTGGGAAACATAGCGAGATCCTGTCTCTACAAGAAATTTAAAAAATTAGTTGGGCATGGTGGTGCGTGCTTGTGGTCCCAGCTACTCGGGAGGCTGAGGTGGGAGGATCGCTTGAGCCTGGGAGATTGGGGCTGCAGTGAACCAGGGCAACAGAGTGAGGCCCTGTCTCAAAAAAAAAAAAAAAAGAGGGAGAACACACACATGCACACGCATACACACACACGCACGCGCACACACACATACATGCACACACACACACACACGCATGCGCACACACGCAAATACATGCTCACACACACACACACACATGCAGACATTGTCCCTTGAGGGCAAATGCTACTGTTACACCTCCAGAGAGACCAGGTGCCTTGTCCGAGGCTCTCCAGCTCTGGGGCTAGAACAAGGAAGGTATCCTGACCTCATTCTCTTGAAGTTTTCATTCTGAAACAGGTAAGATACTCAGCAGGCCCTGAAACTGTTCTGATTGAAAGCACAAGGCCACCTCGAACTCAGGACCTCAGGTCTCAAGCCCAGAACCTTCGTATACTGGCTCCCATCGTGCTCCTATCTCTCTTGCTTGTGAGAACTGCTCTTTATGGGGACACTATAACTCGGTGATTTGGAATCAGCCAAGTCTGGGTTGTTTGTGTCTTGATTTTGCCACTTACTGAATGGTGGAACTTTGGGCAAGTTCTCGCACTTCTCCAAGACTTGGTCTCCTTAACGGTAGAATGGGACAATAACCCCTTTCTCACAGGAAAACACACCAAGCCCCCAGCCCAGTGCATGGCTCACTACAGTCCTCAGTGACTGGGCCACTTAGTAGTGCAAACCCTGGATTTCGGGTGCCCACCTCACCTCATAGATGTTGAATTGGCTCTGCCCACGGGCCAGCTCCCGGTAACTGGTGGTGAACTCCCCAATGAAGTCATGGCTGCAAGGGAAGACGGCTGCTGAGACCAAGGCCAGGCTGTGCCCTGCCTCTGCCCAGCCCCAGCCTTGCACACATCCGTTTCTTTGGCTCCCAATTCTACCTGGGACTCCACTCCAGGGGCACACGCCAGCAGACAGGCTGGGTCCGTGGGAAGAGAGCCCAGTGTTGCCCACAGAGGAAGAAACCCAATTGTCACCCAGTAAAGAGCAGGGCCCTGGAAGAACAGCACCCACTTCTACTTGGATCCTTGTTTGAACAAGGGTATTTGGGGGACAACTGGGGAAATTTGAATATGAAATGAATAGTGAATGGTATTTAAAAATATTGTGGCCGGGCGCGGTGGCTCATGCCTATAATCCCAGCACTTTGGGAGGCCAAGGCGGGCAGATCACCTGAGGTCAGGAGTTCGAGACCAGCCTGGCCAATAAGGTGAAACCCCGTCTCTATTAAAAATACAAAAATTAGCCAGGCGTGGTGGTGGACACCTATAATCCTAGCTACTCCAGAGGCTGAGGCAGGAGAATCGCTTGAACCCAGGAGGTGGAGGTTGCTGTGAGCTGAGATTGTGTCACTGCACTCCAGCCTGGGCAACAGAGCGAGACTCTATCTCAAAAAAAAAAAAAAAAAAAGAATATTGTTCAATGTGTCAAGTATGATAATGGCATTTGTGGGTAAGTGGGAAAGTGCCCTTATTTTTTAGACATTTTCAATGAAGCATTTAGAGGTAAAATGCCATGAAGTCTATAATTTAAGCTACATTAGCAAAACATAGATGAAGCAAATATAACAAATGTTAAATTCAGGTGATGGGATTAAAGGTGTTCATTAAACCCTTCTCTAATGAGATTATTTTTAAAACACAATGAGAGCGATGTCCAGCTGGGTGGCTGCAAGTGTTTTCTGCAGTGCCCACACCTTCTGGAGTGCTTACATCAAGCACGGCCAAGACTTGTACATGGCAGAACTCCCACTGACCCCAGGGTTGGCTCCTTTAACTTCCCCAGTCACTGCCAGAGGGCCTTGGTCAATGTGCTGGCCTGGGGCATCCAGCCGGAGACTGATGCCCAAGAGGTGTCCCTGGGGCCCCACCCCCCCACCCCCCACCGTGAGCCTACACTGTATTGTGTCTACATATTTACAGCTCTCAGCATTCTGACTATGAGCAACTTCATGGTGGGACCCAGTGGCACCTGGTAGCTGTCCCCAACTGGCACAGAAGAGGAGACTATTCCAGGCAAAGGAGTACAGGAACGCCAGGGTAAGACGAGGCAAATTCCAGGTGGAAACAATGAAGCTGACTGTGAGGTAGCTGAGAGGCAAGGAGGGGAGGGCATAGCGGCTCTGGAGCTTCTTGCAGGATGGTTGGTCTCAGGGGAAGGAGAGTTCCTTGGAAGGGGGCTTGGGTCTCACCTGGAGCTGCATTTGCATAGCACTTTACATAAGATAAAACAAACCCCCTGTCCATATCACAGACTTGGGAGGTACCAGCGGACACTGGGGGACCTTGAAGTCCTCCTAAGTCACTCCTTGGTAGTGCCACAGAATGGAAATGTCACAAAAGTCAGGGTGACATATTTGGATTTGGCTCAGCCGACAAGTAGAAGCCAGGGTGGGTTCTGGACTGAAGCTTCGAGAGGCCTGCTCTTGTCCTCCTCTATGGATTCCCAGAAGTACTGGCCTCCCAAAGACCCCGAGTGGGAAGCACCCTCCCAGCAGCCAGGGACAGCCCTACACAGGCACTGTCTCACGGCCCATGAGTCCACTCACGCCTCGTAGCTCTCCCTTCCCACAGCCCATTCCCTCAGTCCTGGCTCTCTGCAAACAGCTCCTCTGATGAGCCGAGGGCTGTACGGGTACAATTGGCCTCCCTGCTAGGTTGTGGGGAGTCTCTGAGGGCTGGGCTCCTCTGCATCTCCGTCACCCCACAATGCTTAGCCCGAGTCTTCACGCGGAAAATGTGTCCATGAATGCTTGAAGTTCACTGGTGTCTGTGCCCTAGAACATGCACTCTTCAGAAAGCCCTAAATTCTGCCACGCGTGGGGAGATTGTGGGTACTGGCGGGCCCCTGGGCAGCTATTTGGGAAAAAGGAGGCCTCTTATGCCCCTCACACCATATCCTGCAGGACAGAGGTGCTTTGGTGCCTCCGTGGAGCTGGATGGGGAGGAGCTACTGCAGCAGAGGACCCCTCCCCCACCCTCCACACACACGCAAACCCAGGCTCCCTCACCCCCAGAGCCACTGCGGGGGGGAGCCTGGTCACAGCTCCGCATGGGAGGGCAGGGCCCAGTGGCTGTCCCCATCCCCACTCACCTTCTCGCCCCTGCCCTCCTGCCTGCTTACCTGCCGTCCCGATCCCAGTCGTACACCTCCACCTTGATGGTCCTGCAAAACAAAGGCCTTTGCTGGGATGGGCCCAACCCCACACCCACGTGGCTGAGGATGGGGCCCTCTTCATGTTCCCGGACCAGATAGGGAGGCCAGGACTCCCTCTGGGCCCCAGGGCCCTGGGTGGGGAGGCAGCGGCTTGAGAGACAAGGATCTCTCTTGAGGCCTTTTAGGAAAGGCCTTAGGAAAAGGGCAGCCAGGGCTGTGTAGGGACTGCCCAGAATTTCAAGGAGAATGTGGGAAAAACAGCTGCAGACTTCAGTTCACCCCACCTTCTTCTTGGCCACTGCAGAAGGGGCATAAGCTCAGCATGGAGCTGCACTGTGGATTTACCAGGGGTGGAGGAGCGGGGAGGTGGGAGTGTGGTGCTCCCTGGATCTCAGGCCCCGGCAGGGTGGAGGGGAGGGAAGAAGACTGCTTGTTGAGGGTCTGAGGGCTTTGGGTGTGGGAGCCAGCCCTGCACGTCAGGGAGGAGCCCAGGGCCCTGGCTCGGGGATGGCCCGCTGAGCTTTTCCATCCCCACGACTGGCTCCTGAGTGAGGGTGTAATTATCTTCATATTTTAGCCTGGCTGCTTTAATTAGTTTGTTTTGACTCCTATGCATGCGGATGGGCTTTGAGAGCCCATTTTATTTTTAGCCACGTTCCCATGGCAACAGGCTAGCGGACCAGAGCTGGGAGGAGGGAGGTGGAGGGTTGCGGTTAACCCTTGGTGCCAGCTGCTCGATCCTCCAGGGATGCCCAGGGACAGGGGAGCTGCCAGGGTCCCACAGCAGGGTCAGGTTTGGGGAGGTGGGAAGGGCCTGGGGAGCTGGGGTCTTCAGCCTTCAGTTCTTAGTGGGGTGCAGAGAGGCAGCTCCCCGGGCCTATCTTTGTTAACATCCCATCATCTCGCCCATCTCCTCGGGCCTGCCAGGAGTCAGCCTTGGGCTTCTGTGGCCCCTCCAGGAGGAGGCGCTGTCTCCTTTCAGATGAGCATCCTCAGGACCAAGGGTAGGCGACAGATCCACCGCAGCAGGGCAGAAACTGTTCTGAATGAAGGAATGCCCAGTAGGTTGTGCACACACTGGATTTCTGTAAACCAGCACTCCTGTACAATGAGGCAGGCATGGAAGCCCACCATTTAAAGGAATCCTTTAGATTCTTGTGAAAAACAAAAAACCATGTCTCTCTGAGGTGAATTATTGTGGAAAGGAAAAAAAAATCACCTAAGCCCCTGAAGGTGGGTTGATGAGCTGGAAAGAGTGGAAAGACCAGGACGGCCCTACGCTTGGACCTGGGCCCCTCACTATGGGACCTGAGATGTCACTTAATCTCCCCGAGCCATAAGCCACCATTGAAAGGAGAAGTAATAACGGCCTTGCAGAACAGCTGCAAGAACAAGCTAGTAAGGCCCGCCTGCTGCATGGGAGGGTCTCTACAAAAATGCCTCCTTCTCTCCACTTCATCATTTGGCCGCGCTCTGATAGGTTTTTGTTTGTTTGTTTGCTTGTTTGAGATGGAGTCTTGCTCTGTTGCCCAGGCTGGAGTGCAATGGCGTGATCTCGGCTCATTGCAACCTCCGCCTCCGGATTCAACTGATTCTCCTGCCTCACCCTCCCAAGTGTCTGGGATTACAGGCATGAGCCACCACACCTGGCTAATTTTTTGTATTTTTAGTAGAGATGGGGTTTCACCATGTTGGCCAGGCTGGCCTCGAACTCCTGACCTCAAGTGATCCACCCGTCTCGGCCTCCCAAAGTACTGGGATTAGAGGCATGAGCCACGGCGCCCGGCCTCTGATAGTTTTTCGTATGAAATTTACTTCAATCAGGGACACTTGAGCCTAGGTACTTGGGCTTTGCAACTTCTGATTCAAGCCTGACTGCCTGGCCAAATCAGTGGCAGCTTTTCAGACACAGACTCCCAGGTCCAGCTCTGGGCAAGACTCAGGAATCTGTTTTCAAGGCTTCCCTAGTGACTGTGCTGTATGTGTTCCGGAGTGATGACCTCCACCCCACTGTCAGATGGGAAAATTGAGCCCTAAGAGCCTCCAGTGACTTGCCTAGAGTCACCCAGCTGAGGGTCTGAGCCAGAACAAGACCAAGGCCCTGACTCCCAGTCCAGGACTTCGGTCATGGCCCCACAAGGCTGAAGTCTCTCTACCCCTGCCCAGTGGCCTCCCAGTCCTTCCCCAGACCGCTAAGCTCTGCAGGGGACCTTCAGAGACCCCAGCAAAGAATAGCTCTCCTCTGACCACCAACACCAGCCCCTCGGGTGACTAGATGGGTGATGACCACATGCTCAGAGGCTGGAGGAGGACCCCAGTCATGGTGACAGCCCTGCATATCCACAAAATCACTGGGGAAAATTTTAATCCCAGGCCAGAGGGCCTAATTTAATTGGTCTGGATAGGACTCAGGCCTGGGTAGTTTTGAAAAGTTCTGTGATGGATTCTAACATGCAACCAGAGCCACTGACCTTCTCTAGAAGACAGCACTAGTTTTCAAACTTGGTTGCAATTTGGAATCCCCCCAAGAAGCTTTAGAAATACTGACACCAATGTCTTACCCGAGAGATTCATGATCAGTTGGTCTGGAGTGCAAGCTGGGCATGGGAATTGTTAAAAGCTCCCCAGGGGGATTTGAACTTGCAACCCAGGTTGAGACCACTGAATGAGATTCCTGTGCAAACTCGGCCTGGCCTCCATTAAGGCTCCAGGGATGGCTGCAGCCTGGGGGTCAGATTAGCTCAAAGTCTGCACCTCCAGCTTTGGGAGAGAAGGAGGTGAGAGAAATAGTGCCCAGAGACAGGGGGAAGACCATGGGGAGAAGACAAATAAGGCTTTGACTACTCTATTCACAGTTCTTTTTTTTTTTTTTTTTTTTTTTTTTTGAGACAGAGTCTCGCTCTGTCGCCCAAGCTGGAGTGCAGTGGTACGATCTCGGCTCACTGCAACCTCCACCTCCTGGGTTCAAGCAATTCTGCCTCAGCCTCCTGAGTAGCTGGGATTACAGGCGCATGCCATCATATCCGGCTAATTTTTGTATTTTTAGTAGAGACGGGGTTTCACCATGGTGGCCAGGTTGGTCTCAAACTCCTGACCTCAAGTGATCCGCCCACCTTGGCCTCCCAAAATGCTGGGATTACAGGCGTGAACCAGCGTGCCCAGCCATATTCACAGTTCTGTGGCTGTCCACCCTGGTTGGGCTGCCTGAAGTCACTGCAGATGTCACTTGTCACCTGCTGGCCTTGGCTCCTAACCCCTTAGCACAGGGCCAACAAAAGCTGCGGTCCAGCTGACTGTGACTTCTGGGGCCGGCACCCAAGAGAACAGGCTTATTGGGTGTGGGAAAATGAAATGGGCTTCTGCAGACCACCAAATGAACACCTTATCTGGCATACAAAGGCTCAGGACAGAGGCCTAACCTAGGAGGCAGCAAAGTGGGCAGAAAAGACCTTCGGCTGTGGGGTGAGCAGCCCTGGCTGGCAGTCTCAGCTCTTCCAAGTACTAGGTCTGTTGCCCCGAGCAACTGGCTTAACCCTCAGACACTCCCCTCCTTTCCAAATTGAGAAAAATCACAGCCACTTTGGAGCTGCTGTGCAAGTAAACTATCTCCACGTACAGTCAGCGCTGGACACATGTTGCTCTGTTCCTGTCTAAAACACTCCATCCCTTTATCCAAGCTCCTGTCTCTCAAACAATTCCCATGCTTCTTGAAAATATCAGCTCCATGAGGCCCGGGATTTTTGTTTGTTTGTTTCCTGCTGTATCTTCAGCTTCTAGAACAGTGCCTAGCCTATATCAGGTGCTGTATACATATTTGTTGGCTGACTGAGAGCTCCTAGCAACGTGATGAAATGGGCTGTGCAGGTAATAATACCGTCATTCTACAAAATCACAAAAGGAGGCCAAGAGTATGTGGCTCTCCGTGAGTCACACAGCTGGTCAGTGGTGATGCCAGGAGTCAGTGACCTGGGCCTCTGGACACCTAGAGCCACAATGACAGAGCCAGATATGTGTGAGCCTGGGCAAGCCAGCAGGGATGAGAGACACCAGCCAAAACGCCAGGCTGCCCCCACGGCATACCAACTAGCTCTATCTATAGTTTCCTCCCAGCTGAGCTGCAAGGTCTGCCTCCTAATGAGCCTCTGCCTGGCAGGGGGAAGGTTTCCCTGCGGCTTACAAGTCCCGAGGGCTGACAGGCCCTGAGGGGTTTTGCCTTAAATGGACTTGAGTCAGTCCAACACTCAACTCTTCAGGAAGAGGAGCATCAGGGCCTCATCTGGGGCAGGCAGTGAGACTGGCAGCAATCTCGGCCCCCAGGTTGCACTGCGCAACACCGGGCAGTGCCGCGGTGACCGTGCCTCCCGTCTGAGCCTCAGCTTCTGCATGTGAATACCGAGAACGGTACGATGCCCTTCATCGAGGCCATCTGTGGAGATGCCTGATAGGGCGCCTGGCCCTCCTGGGAGCTCATCTGTGGCCGGATGCAAAAGAGAAGGAACTCACACATCAAGGGTGCCAGGCAGAAGTGGGAAGCTGCGGTGACTCCTTTCCTCTCTCCAGGTGAGGACTCCACACTCTTAACACCCTCTTAAAATCTACTCATTCAGCATCAAGGTGTGAGCAGCCTGACCCAGACAACTGTGGTTTAACAGGGACAAATCCTCAAGTCACAGAACATTAAGAGAGTAGGGCAAATTCCAGGAAGGCAGGGGAAGTGCTTCCTGTCATCACCCCACTTTACCCCACCGGAAGGCTGGCTTGGCTCTGATCCTGATGCCACTTCCTGTGACTTCAGCTCTGCTCAGCTAGGTCACTCAGGTTTGGCCTTGTGTGGACTGGACACATAGCAAAGGCAGGGAGACTCCAGGCCAGAGGGCCAGGCCAGAGGCAATTTCAACAGGAGGGAAATGCAGCTTCTCCTTACTCTGGCAAGTTATATAATATCTTCTCTTCTATTTCCCTTGTAAAATAGGCACAGCACTAGACCCGGCTCCTAGGGTTATTGTAAAATTTAAATTCACAAAATAAGATAACGCATTTAAACCAATTAGAATACAACTTGGTCCATGTCCTAAGTCCTCAGTAACTGTAATCGTATTACCTGGCTTCTACACCCATCATTCCGAGAACACTGCCCTTTCTCATCAGGCCCGGGTTCTCATCCTCCTGTACCTCTTCTCACAATAGGAGGGAATGATCCCTGACCGTGCCGCCCTCCTCTTAGTTCCCTCCTATCCCTCTGACCATCTCCTCTTCTTTCTTGCTCCTGGCCTCTGGCATCACCCACAGGGCCTCTCAGGGCACCAGATCTCTGGCCACCCCCCTCCTGGAGACCCTAGACTGCTGTCCCCTCCTGCTTTAGCGGTGCCTGGTCCACAGCTGCCTCCTCTCAATGTGGCTGAAACCAAGTTTACCTCTCTTTCCCCAACCTCTCAACAGCAGCAGCTCGTTTTCAAACAACAAACATAATCTTTATAACTTAAGAAGGATAATTTTTTTAAAAATGGGTTTCAGATAGGCTGTGAAAAGAACTGCGGAACACAAATCTGTGAGTAAGAATCTGGCTGCCGATCACACTGCCCATTTCTGTCGGTGGTGCCACCTTTTCCTGCCCTCAAACGCTGAACCATTATCCCTTCCCCTCTTTCACTCCCTTACCCAGGCAGGTACCAAGGCCTTTTGGGTCTTCCTCTTCCTTCTTGCTGTTCCCCTCTCCTCTCCCCTCTGAATTATTTGGTATTAAAGCCAGAAGGACGTTAATGCTTTGAGGACTAAAACCAATCCAAGCAGCTTCCCTACCTCTAATCAGAAAGCAGAACTGCCCCTAACCCCTGAGCAAGGTGCTCATTAGTAAGCCTCCCCCAGATGCACCCTGGTCACAGCCCTGTCATGCCATGTCTTGGCTATCTGGCAACAGTGCATAGGGATTAACAACACAGAATCTAGAGCCAGGCTGCCGGGGTCCACATCCTGGTTCTACCACCGGCTGGCAGCAAGACACTGGGCAAGTGACTTAATCTCTCAGG
Organism: Homo sapiens; assembly: GCF_000001405.40. Taxonomy (NCBI): domain Eukaryota; kingdom Metazoa; phylum Chordata; class Mammalia; order Primates; family Hominidae; genus Homo; species Homo sapiens. The sequence goes on from NC_000006.12 coordinate 36,771,394, forward strand.
GCCTCTCTGTCTCCTTACCTGTAAAATGTGGCTAGCATCAGCACCTCTTTGCAATGAGCTAATTGTTGGGGGGATTAAATTAGTTCCTATACATAAAGCACTTAGAGCAGGGCCTGGCCCATGGTTAAGTGCTATAGGAGTCTTTGCTATTATCATGACCTGTCTGTCTCCCCACTGGCCTGGGAGCAACCTAAGAGGGAGGCTTGGGTCAATAGGCCCCCACAGCACCCAACACAGTGCCTGGGGCCTGACTGGCTTGGAAGACACGGCTGCTGAATTAAATCAACTACGTTCTGTGAGGCTCCAAGAGGTGTCTTGGAAGGAGGGGACAGTGGCCCCATTTTCCTGCACAGGGCCCTCCCCTGCCTACCCTGGAGGGCCTTCTGATACTGGCACCTCCTGAGTGTCTGTTGGGTGCGTGGGTTACACTGGGGCTGGGGGGCGGGGGGATAGGCCTGATCGTTCTTGGAGCCAGAGTGACATCCCTGGCCTCCTTGATTAACACTACTGTCAGTCACATTATGGAAGATCTGCTTCTGGACATGGGGGAGGGCCATCCTGCAGCGAGATGAGGCTAGGCTCTGCCTCAGAGTGGGAGGTGGGAGCCTGCCCCTCCCACCAAATAAATACCCACCTCCTCCAACGGCCCAGTGGTGAAGCCAGGCCTCCGAGCCCTGCTGCCCCTTTCACTGTCCCTGACAAAGCTGGCTCCTGCAACCCTGGGAGCTCCTCTCTAGAGATACAGGGTTGTGAGGGGTCAGTTGGGCCAGGGATCCCCAATTCCTTCTGCCCTGTGAGACTTTAACTGCCATACTCTCCCATCCCCCTACCTTGAATTTCCTCTCACTTTGTTTCCATCTCCCTTTATTCCCGTGCCCCTGTCCCCAGGATCCTCCACCCCTGACTTTCCAGCCTTTCCTGGGCCTTCTTTAGAACTCACTGCTCCAACCAGCCCGTCCTCTCACTGCTCCAACCAGCCTGTCCTCTCATCCCCTCACCCACTCTAGAAGCCCCAGGAGCCAGCTAGATGTGTAACAGAGGCTTGTTTGACTGCAGCGCTAAGACCGTCTTTGTTCCCAGTCTTATTTTGTGCACTTATTTATCTGTCTAAAATACATGTGCACATCTGTGCTGCCTGTGGTCAGACCACAGTCTCCCTAAAGATGGGAAGGCGACCCTGTTCGTTTAAATCCGCACAGCTAGAGGCGCCACGCTGGGACACAGGAGGCACTCAGTGACCACCTGTGGAACAGACTGTGGCTCTTCTGTCCCAGCCAAGAGGCAGGAAAAAGAACAAGCTCATGTCTCAAACTGGCAGCCTGGGGGTTTCTTCGGAGTGTAACAGGGGTGCCTGGAGGCCATTCATCTGCTGATCATCCCCTCAACATGCCTTTTCAGGCTCCCAGCTGCCCCAAGGTGTCTGGTTTTGTTTGTTTGTTTTCTTTTTTGTCTTTAAGGTTTTCTTTTTTTTTTCTTGAGACAGCATCCCAAGCTGGAGTGCAGTGGTGCAATCATAGCTCATTGCAGCCTTGAACTCCTGGGCTCACGTGATCCTTTTGCCTCAGCCACCTGAGTAGCTGGGTCCACAGATGTGCGCCACTATACCCAGATAATTTTTTTTAATGTTTTAATTTTTTTAAATTTAGTTTTAAATTTTTAAATTTTTTTTTGTAAAGATGGGGGTCTCACTATGTTACGCGGGCTGGTCTTGAACTCCTGGATTCAAGCCCATCTCAGCCTCCCAAAGTGTTGGGATTACAGGCGTGAGCCACCACGCCTGACCCCAGGTGTCTGTTTCGACACCCCAGTGCTCCTGTCGGAGTGGCCCAGAGGCCCAGCTTTCTTAGCTGTCCAGAGAGCCCTGCCCATGAGCCCCCTACCACCTCACCCACCTGAGCTGCAGCAATCACCAGGAGACAGGGATGGGTTCTCCTGACTCAACAGAAACCAACACAGTCTCACAGCTCCCATTTTGGGTGGTGGCCCCACTCGCTCTCTCGGCGCTTGCTACAATGTATAATTACATGTTTCCTTGTGTGATTATTGGATTAATGTCTGCCTCCCCTACTGGCATGTAAACACCACTAGGTTGGGTGAAGGGTGAAGACTGCACCCTGCTGATTTCCCAGCATCTAGCACAGTGCCTGGTACATGACAGGGGTTCCCTAAACATTTGTGGATGAGATGCTGAATTTGGTATTTTAGGCACAACAGAGCCTCGTTGTGTAGGTTGTGTCGTGTGAGCGTCAATGCAGTCCTGTAGAGTAGGCAGACATTTTAATACCCATTTTACAGATAAGGAAACTCAGGCTCAGACAGGTCAAGGATTGCCCAGGTTGACAGTGCTTTTTGGTCACAGAGTCAGAATTAGCAACCAGGTATCTGGTATCTACACTCAACAATCTACACTCAAATGATGATGAAGATGATAGCCAACATGTAATAAGAGTAGGCATATGTTAAAACAAAAAATCTAGCCTGGGCAACATGGTGAAACCCCATGTCCACCAAAAACACAAAAAATTAGCCGGGCGTGGTGGTGCATGGTTGTGGTACCAGCTACTCGGGAGGCTGAGGTGGGAGGATTGCTTGAGCCCAGGAGGTGGAAGCTGCAGTAAGCTGAAATCGGTGAGATGAGAAAATGTCCCTTCACTCCAGCCTGGGTGAAAGAGTGAAATCCCATCTCAATTAAAAAAAAAAAAAAAATCTGCCAGGCATGGTGGTTCACACCTGTAATCCCAGCACTTTGGGAGGCAGAGATGGGTGCATTGCTTGAGCCCAGGAGTTTGATACCAGCTTGGACAACACAGCGAAACCAGTCTCTACAAAAATAAAAAATTAGCTGGGCGTGGTGGTAGGTGCCTGTAGTCCCAACTATATTCAGGAGGTAGAGGTGGAAGGATCGCTTGAGCCTGGGAGGTCCAGGCTGCAGTGAGCTGTGATGGCGCCACTGTCACTGCATTCCAGCCTGGGTGACTGAGCGAGACCCTGTCTAAAAAAAGAGAAAGAAATCCCAGAAGCTCTTTGCACTCTACCCCGTTTGTTTATGGCAACTAGGCTGGCAGGATGTATCCCTAGGATCTTGACTCCCCAGTCTGTTGGCCAGGAATTGGGACCAGCTGCCTCTGCCTGCATCAACACCCTGCTTCCCTGCTGCCATCTGCTCCTCCACTGGGAACAATGAAAAGACAAGCTGCTGAACTCCAGGCCTGGGCACCCGGGACACCCATCTGGGTTTCCCTGGAATCCTGGGCACTTCCCATCCCCCTAACCTTGGGAGTTTCCCACCAGTGGGGATGCCAGACAGAGGGGAAAGAGGTGGGGCGGGTGGGGAGAAGAGGATCTGTGAGGCTGTGAAGAGGCAGACATTGCCGGGTGCAGCAGGGAAAGAGTGGAGGGGCTCACCAAGCCCCAGCCTGTGCAGGGCACCCCCTACTGCACAACTCCAGAAGGCCTCATTTCTACTGATGGGACTGACCACGTCAATATGAATGGGGCCACCCTCACTTGTGCTTGGGGAGGGCCCAGAAGCAGAAGGAAAAAAGAAGGGACATTTTCTCATCTCACCGATCGTAGTCGCCGTTGCAGAGGGCTCTCACGGGAATGGAGAAAGTTTGCCAGACTGGATTTAGGGTGTTCTTCATGACCTCGGTCTTGTGGCAAATGGTGAACCTGGTGAAGAAGAAGAGAGGGAAAGGCTGTCAGGCCCAAACCCAAGGGAGGCGAATGCAGGTCAACAGAGGAGTCAGCTGGTTCACATCTCTGGTTCCTGGACGACGGAAATGATGGCTTCAAAAGGTGATGAGCTGCCCATCACTGACAGCAGCCAAGCTGATACTAGGCGGCCATTTGCTGGAGATCCTGCAGAAAGGGTTCCTGTACCAGGTGAGGACCTGGAGGTGGGGACAAGTCCCAGGGTGTCAGGAGCCCTGGGTTCTAGCCTCTGCTCTGGGGCCACCTCACCGTGTGACCTTGAGCAAGCTCTCCCCTCTCTGGGCCTCCAGCTCCCCACCTGTAAACGCAGGCAGTTACCCTCTATCAAAGATTCTCCATCTGCAATTCACAGAAGGATGAGCAGATGAACCTCAGGGGTCTGTGAACCCCGGAAACACTAGGAGAAATTAGATGTATGGGTCATTTGTGCCTGCTGTTCCCCTGGCCTGGAATATTCTCTCCTCCGCTTCCATCTTTGTGACTCACTCCTCACTACCTTCAAACGCCATCTCCACGAAACCTCCCCTGACTACCGTATCTAAAATTGACAACTGCCTGGTCTCCTGCCTCTCACATCCCCTAGACTCCTCCCAGACTTTTTTTTTTCTATTTCATTTGTCACCATTTGACATTTTGATATAGTCTATTTTTTCCTTATTTATTCTGCTCATGGTCTGTCACTAAAATGTAAGTTTCATAAAAGCAAGGATTTTTGTCTCTTTTGATCACTGGCACATCCCTAGTGCCTAGAACAGTGCCTGGCACTTCGTAGGTATTCAATAATTCTTTTTAAATGAATCAATGTATTTCTTGGGGGGCGAGTTTCCATAGCTTTCACTGGTATGTCAATCCAATGAAATTAAAGCCCCTAACTTAGACGATCTTTAAGACCCTTTCTGCTTTTCCCATCTGAATCCATGAACCTGTTTTGCAAGCTAAAAGTTCAGAATTGACTTATCCCAGATGGGCCCGAATCTGGTGTCCCTGCCCATGCCCCACGCCATGCTTGGCTGGACCCATCCTGGAGGCCAGCCCTGCCACATGGATGGGCAGTCACTACCAGGGCTGAGCTGGGGGCAGGGGCGTCTCTCTGAGATCTCCCACAACCCGCCCCAGCTACATCTCTGGTTAGAAAGGTCACCCAAATAAGTGCCTGGGCTCCACCCATACCCACACAGCCGGTGTCATTTCTTCTTTGGCAATTTTCAAGTCAAAATGTCATTCTGTCACCATGGCTTAGCGTTTTTCTTCTCTGCTCCTTCTCGCCCACCCACTGGAGTGTGGAGATGCATGTGGGAGACCTCCCCACACACCTCAGAGCTGGTGGTGAGGATGGGAATGGGGATGGGAGCAGGAGGGGCCACAGCTGCCCCTGACTGGGGTAGGCAGGTGGGGCAGGAAGAGGAGCCTGGGGCAGTGGTGGGAGGGGAGCTGGAGGGACAACAAGGAGTAGGGAATGGGTGGTCCCAGAGGGATGGGGGATGATACTGTGCAGAAGCCCTGCTAGGCTCCAAATACCACCCCCCAACCGTCACACAGACCCTTGTGGACCCTCTGCAGCCTCCCATCTCTGGAACCACTGACTTCTCCCTTTCCCTCCTCTCGCTTGAGAGCCAAGCTTCACCAGGTGTTCTAAGTGATCAGGTACAGCTCCAGGGGCACAGCAGGTGCCTCCTTGCCTTGTCCCTCCTCCTGTGGCTGGTGTGACAGTTCCCTCTCCTGGCTCCCTCACTGACCTTCCTCCTAACTGGGGGTGTCTCTGCAGGCCTTCCACTCCTTTCCCGGCAAACCCTCAGTGACCACCCTGTTCTCACCAGCGCAGCCATCGCCCTTTCACAGGGGCAGGATACTGGCCCACCGCTAGGCGGGCCTCCGGATCAGTTTCTTCAGTGCCCCACGGGATCCCCTAGAAGGGATCAGTGTCTCCTTGCCCCCGGAATGCTCCAGCTCACACTTGGAATGAAACTTGCCCCCAAATAAACTCCCATGACCTCCCGGGTCTGATCAGACCAGTTCCCCTGCTGCTCTGCAAGCACTCTGGGTTTCCTTGGCTCCACTGCCAGGGAGAGGGCTCTGACTTTGGTCCCATCCAAGTCCGGCCGAGTGAGGTCCCCTCATTGTCCTTTTGCCCCCTTCCTCCCCTCCCCAGTTCCTTCCCCTGCATTTCCACGGCACAGCTCCAGGGTGGGAGCTGGTAGTACCTCCCACCTGTTCACCATGTCGGTCACGAGGCTCTCCCTTTCCCCGCACCCTCCCCACCCATCCTACACAGCGCTCTGCTAGAGCAATCTTTCCCAAGCACCCTTTGCAGTGCACCCCTCTCCTGCTCCCAAATCCCTCTCCTCCTCCCAGCCGGCCCCAGCCAGACAAGCCCAGCTTGACCCTGACTCTGCCTCCCTGGAGGGGGCCTGTGTGGACGCCCGGAACAATATGCAGGCCTTTTCCTCCCCAATATGAAGTCAAGTCAAAGTCAACAGAATTATTTAAAGAAATCCTTCTGGGAGTCCTTTGGTGAGACAAAGAATCCTTTTGTCATGCAAATGATCATACCTAATTTCCCTTGTTTTGTACGTTCAGGAAAACTGATTTTTAAATCAGTTTTCCCTTGAACTGAAACACACCTCCTCCTCGCTGCTCCCCTGCCTACCCCCCCCCCCACCACACACACACACACACACACACACACACACACACAATTTCAAGGGGAATTGGATTGGGGGGACGGTCTTTCTGCCCTCTGGGCACACTTGCTTTGCCCAAACGTTTCTCCCTTCTCTAGCCCTTTATTCTTCCCTGCTTCCCCCACCCCCATGGCAGGGACCCATTTTCTTCCTCTCCTTTAAAACCCGCTTCCAATTTTCCCTTCTCCAGCAGCGCTTCTCTAATTAACCTCCCTGGCCCCATCGCTTCCTCATTCTGCAGAATCCCAGCCTGTAAGTGGCCACAGCCTGCCAGAATCATGGTGCTTAAAGAGACTGTGGAGACCACATAATCCAACTGGTTCATTTTACAGATGAGAAAACAGGCCCAGAGAGGGGTCTTCACTTGCCCAGGGTCACACAACAGGCTGCTGGGGAAGACCTAGGTCCCCAGACCTTCCACCCAGAATCTGTCTCCCTGCATATATTACTGACCTACATTTGCCAACATGTTGTGTATGCTTCCATCTTATTGTGGGTGGCTTCTAGATTAGGGAGAAGAGAGGAGGAAATAGGGGCTTCAAAGTCTGGAGTTCCAAATGAAGCCTATGGCAGAGTGTGGGGCCGGGCAGCAGAAAGGGTCCAGACTGGCCCTGTTGTGTGGGCAGTAGCGGGGGGCCAGACTGGGGGCTGCTCAGAGGGCTGTGAGGACAGGGGGCTGGGCTTGGAGCTAGGAGCTGATTTGTGTAGAATGAAGGAGCTATCAGAGGTTTCCCATGAGGGACTGGCCCCCTATTCCTGCCCTAGCCCTGTTTTTGCCTAGTCCCCCCACCCTCCAAATACCTAGCTCCCACCACTCAGTACTATTGCTGAGACCCACAGAATGGCACCACCAGCTTAGAGGCTGCTGCCACCTCCCACCGACCACACCTAGGTGCTCAGGGCACTACCCTGGGGCCCCGGACTTCCACCCAGAGCCCTTGCCCTCTCTAGAGCAGAAGGAGATGGGCCCAAGCCACCCTGCCTGGCAAGTCACCACCACCCGTCCGTCCTTGACCCCAGAAGGGACGAGAAGGTGCAGTGCACAAGTGTCCCCAGAAAACTCACGTTCCATCCTCGTTGCTTCTGTAGAATACCAAGAAGGGGTCAGATTTCCCAAAGAAATCTTTCTTGTCCAGCTTGTTGGCACAGAACTGCATGGTGGCGACATCCTGGTGGGAGGGAGGGAGAACGGGGTGTGAGGCAGGAGAAAGTGGAAGCACAGCTCCCAGACCCCGGCAAGCATGAGGAGTCCAGGCACCAGCCCTGGTTGGAATGCACCGACTAAGTGCCAGGCCCTTATTCCATCCTCAGACGGCCCCCCAGCAGGCCTAGCAGACCACTTGGGTGGGGAAGCACATGGAGTCCACAGCTGCCCCAGTGTGAATCCTAGCTCTGCCACTTCCTCTGTGTGAACTTGGGCAAGGTAGGTGACCTCTTGGAGCCTCAGTTTCCCCTCTGGAACATGGGGTTGATGATAGCACACATCTCGTGGGGTTTTCATGAGGACTAAATGAGATCAAGTGTGTGACATACTTGGCAGAGTGAGGCACGTGGCAACCCCTTGATGGATGTGAACACACGTGGTTTCATTACACTTTCACTGAGTGGCTCGGAAAGGTGACATAGCAAACCCAAGGCCAGTCTGAGCTTGATCTGCAAGCCCCAAAGCCCTCTCTCTGGCCACATTGCCTCACCACCTCACACCTATGTGTGGTTCCTGGAGGAAGTTCGAGTTTTGGCATCACTTTCACACCCACCAACTCATGAGAGGCTCACCCAATGCTCTCAGGTAGATACAGTGGGGTCTGTGGCCCATTTCACAGCTAAGAAGCCAAAGGCTCAGAGCAGGGAGTGGCTTCCCCAAGTTCACCAAGCAGAGCCCACCTGCTGAGTCCCCAGCCCTGCTCCCTGCCCCAGCTGACCCAACACGCAGAGGTGTCCCGGCCCTGGTGAGGATCTCTGGACCCCTCAGCCCCTCAGCTCTCTGGGGCCAACGGGGCACTGGGCAGAGATGTCCCTGTTGTCCCCTTCACCCCTCCCGTGTGGCCTCTGCAATTTGAAAACTCTGCATCCTGACAAATCACCTTCGAGCCAGCTGAGCTCAGGGCTCTGTCGTCCAGACCCCAGGACTTGCCCTGCTCTTGGGGTCACTCCGCTCCCTCACACATCCCCCCTTCCTATTTTTTTTTTTTTTTGAGACGGTGTCTCACTCTGTTGCCAGGCTGGAGTGCAGTGGCGCCATCTCGGCTCACTGCAAGCTCCGCCTCCCAGGTTCATGCCATTCTCCTGCTCAGCCTCCCGAGTAGCTGGGACTACAGGCGCCCGCCACCACACCTAGCTAATTTATTGTATTTTTAGTAGAGATGGGGTTTCACTGTGTTAGCCAAGATGGTCTCGATATTCTGACCTCATGATCCGCCCGCCTCAGCCTCCCAAAGTGCTGGGATTACAGGCGTGAGCCACTGCACCTGGCCCCCCCTTCCTCTTAATGAGGGGGAGTGTCTTGAGAAGGGTGACCCACAGCCCAGTGAGGGCCAAAACGGTGGCAGAGAAGAAGACGTAGCTCCCATGAAGTTGAAGGACTCAGTGACAAGGTTCAGCGGTGGCTACGGTGGTTAGGAATACGGCTGCTGGAGCCAGGCTGCCTACTTCAGTCCCAATCCCATCCCTCCTTAGCTGCGTGACTTAAGGCAAGTTATTCACCCTCTGTGTGCTCAGTTTCCCTACTTATAAAATGGAGGTAATGGCAGTGCCCATCTCATAGGCTCGTGAGATAAAGTGAGTTAACAGGAGTACAGCGCTGTGTGCGTGTGAGCTGTTATTATTTGAACACCTGTTTCCCCGCCCAGCCACAGTGTGTGTGACCTCTGTCCCTGCCCCACTCCCACCTCCAGCACCTCACTTGCCTTCCCTCGGGGACATCTGATGACAACAAACACAGCCTCCATTCATTCACTCACTCACTCATTCATTCAACATTTATTAGATGCCGTCTGTGTAGGACAGTCACTGAGCTCAGCACTTTACACCCCTTATCATATTTAGTCCTCAAAATAATCCTTTGTTACTTTTTACAAATGAGGAAGCTGGAGGTTGGAGAAGTTAGGTGACCTGACCGAGATCACCAGCTGGTAACTGGTAAAGCAGAAAATTCACACATAAATAAACTAATTTCAAAGTCATGCCTCTTCCAGTACCACTCTGCCCCCCTGAGAGAGAACAAATTACATTTCACCACTTCCCTGTTTTCTTTAGAATCGGCTGATTTCTTCAGACTCTGGGCTTGCCTGGGCAGGGAGGGGCTGCATTCCGGTTACCCTGGGATGGGGAAGAGGCTGTAAGCACGGGTGGTGCTGGAGACAGAATGACCTGCCCAAGGAGGTGCCCAGGTAATGACGACTTTTATTATGCCTCTCATCATCGCCCACCAGACAGGGAGAAGGAAGCTGGACTGGGGGCTTCCAAGGCCCTAGAAGCTCCAAGAATCCTGGAGCCTCCAGAGAAATCTAGGACCTCAGGCCCTGAATAAAAGAACAGCTGACTTACTGAGCACTTACTAGATGCTAGGACCTGTGTTAAGCCTTCATACTTTATACAACCATACAAAATAACTCTTGTTTCCCTATTTTACAGATGAAGAAACTGAGGTTTTTAGAGGTTAAATCATATGCCTAAAGTCCTAGAGTGCATAACTCAGACAGTCAGATTTCAGAGTTTTCACTCTTATCCCTCCAGAAAAGTCCCTAGGCTTCTAAAGCAGCAGGGCAGGCACACCCTCCTCAGGAGAAAGTTCTAATCCCGTCCCATGCTGGATGGAAGGAACACTTTAAATGCCCCCCTAGGGAGCCCCATCCATGTCCTGGGACAGGGATGTGGCCCAGGACTTGATGGGCTACTCGCTGGCTGTATAAATTGTGGGGCCCAGAGCAAAGGGAAAACGTGGGGCCCCCTGTTCAAAAACAATCAGGAGATTCAAGATAGTGACAGCAGAGCATTAAACCAAGCACAGGTCCCCGTGTGACTACACAGGCCACACGCCTCTGCAGCTGGCCCTGTCTCCTTCCCACAGAGGTGACCCGCAGTGGCATCAGAAAACCACCAAGAGAGGCCCAGATTCCCAGGGGAGCAGCGGGGATGGCCCCAGCAAGGAACTCAGAGCTCAGAGCTCTAGTCCTGGCTCTGCATAGCCTTGAGCAGGTCACTCAAGCTCTCAGAGCCTCAGTTTCCTCGTCTGTGGAGCGTGGAATGGGATGACCACCACAATCCTTTTAAGCTGAGCAGTAGGTGCCACATGGGGAACACTGAAATAGCCATCTCTTGTGGGGAGCAGTGGCACTCAGGGGACAGTGAGAAAGCCAGGATCCCCCCAGCCTTCCCAGCCCTGGCCAGGGTTTGGTTGTCATCATCATGATCTCGCACGAATCTGGAAGTCGCCTGAGTGACATTCTTACCTGAAGAAACACAGGCAAGCCACCCAGGACCTGTTCAGCCTGCACTGGTTGACTATAAAATGCATACACTTGAAACAACCAAACAGAGGCCACAAAATCCAGAGGCAACAGCTCTTAGTTTTGCTTCCTAGGAACCCCTCAGGCCCTGTGAGATCAGGAATGGGGGAGAAATATTAGAAAAAATGAAAGAACTTGACAGGCCATAAGTTCCAGGGACATTCAGTGCTCCACTGGGAGGGCTGCTGTCTCAGCCTAGCACCCGATGGCGAAAAATGGCACAAAGGGACAGGTACAGTGGCTCATGCCTGTAATCCCAGCACTCTGGGGGGCCGAGGTGGTGGATCACCTGAGCTCAGGAGTTTGAGACCAGCCTGACCAACATGCCAAAACCCCGTCTCTACTAAAAATACAAAAATTAGCCGGGCATGCCTGTAATCCCAGCTACTTGGGAAGCTGAGGCAGGAGAATCGCTAGAACCTGGGAGGTGGAGGTTGCAGTGAGCCGAGATTGCGCCACTACACTCCAGCCTGGGCAACAAGAGCGAGACTCTGTCTCAAATAATAAAACAAAAACCAAAACACACACACACACACACACACACACACACACACACACACACACACACACACAAAACGGCACAAAGGAGCCAAGGGCCACCTGGTTGGAATCCTAGCTCTGCCACCTCCCGGCTGAGCAGCTCCTAGTGGGTAACTTAACCTCTCTGAGGCTGGGTAATGTAGAAGAATAGCGCCCCCTTGTGAGCCTGTGGAGAAGGCGAAAGGAGATGGCCTGTGTCACATCCTGGTCCACAGTGCCTCACACAGAGCAGGAGGTAACACTTGCAGAGTGCCACCTCATACTAGGGTGAACCATATGAAATTGCCAATAATCAGCTGTTGTTTGCCTATGAAAATGGCAATATAATATGGTTCTACCCACACAGGCACACAGAGGGGAACAACACACACTGGGGCCTATCAGAGGGTGGAGGGTGGGAGGAAGGAGAGGATCAGGAAAAATAACTAATGGGTGCTAGGCTTAATACCTGGGGGTGAAATAATCTGCACAACAAACCCCCATAACACAAGTTAACCTACATAACAAACCTGTACATATACCCCTGAACTTGCAGTAAAAGTAAAAAAAAAAAAAAAAAAAAAGGTTCTACCTAGTACGTGCTATAGTAGGTAGATATAATGTTATATGTATTAATTCATTGAATCCTTTCGACAACCCTATGAGGAAGGCACTGTTATTATTCCTTTTTTGTTTTTCAGACAGGTTCTCTCTCTCTCTCTCTGTCACCCACGCTGGAGTGCTGTGGTGCGATCTCCGCTCACTACAGCCTCAACCTCCTGGGCTCAAGCAATCCCCCTGCCTTAGGCTCCTGAGAAGCTGGGACCACAGGTGTGTGCCACCATGCCCCATGCCCAGCTAGATTTTTAAATTTTTTTTGCAGAGACAGGGTCTTGCTATGTTGCCCAGGCTGGTGTTGAACTCCTGAGGTCAAGCGATCTGCCCACTTCAGCCTCCCAAAGTGTTGGAATTACAGATGTGAGCCACTGCACCTGGCTATTATTCCCATTTTAAAGATGAGGAAACCAAAGCACAGAGAGGTTAACACCCTTGCTTAAAGTCACACAGCTAGCAAGAGGCGCTAAGATGGGAACAAGACAGTCTGGCTCCAAAGATTAATAACTGAGATTCCAAATGATGACCTCAAGTCATCAAGATAAGTTTAATTACATTCCAACCTCAGTTTGAGAAGTCAGAGAAGTGTGAAATCCATTTTAGAAAGGCCTCTGTGCAAACCAGTTAAAATTAAAAACAAAAAAAGGATTGGCTCTGAAACTCAGCTAACTGGAAAAATCCGCCAGTGTGCAACACTTTCTCCCTCTAACCCTGATGGCAGATAAGTGAGGCATTGCTGGGGGGTTGGCAGCTGATTTTGTTCCTTAGCCTTATCTGCCCTCCCTAATACAATCTAGACCCAGAAACATTTGCCAAAAGTCCACTGTGATCATCTGCATTGTTGCACCATTGTAGACTCCGTGGGGGATAAAACAGGCCTTCAGAGAAATTTCTAGACTGAAACGAAGGCAAGCTTCCTCCCTAATGGGTACCCATGCCACAGGGAAGTCCTTGAGACAAAGAGTGTGTAACTAACCGCCTGGGGGCTGTGCCTTGGAAGGTCACTCTGCCTTTCGTCAACAGTCATAGGAACAAGTGGGAGCTTGTGAATGGTTCAACCCCTTGATATATGTGTGAACCCAAGAAGAGGCTGGAGAAAGTGGCAATAAGATGGACAGGGCCAGCAGGATAACAGAGCAGCAAATTCTGGCTGAGGGTCAGAGGTTCAGCTATTTGACAGCCTCAGCCTGAGAGTCGTGCTCTCTGAGCACATGAAATGCCGTCCCCTTGGCCGGGCATGATGGTGCACAACTGTAGTCTCAGCACTTTGGGAGGCCGAAGTAGGAGGATCGCCTGAGCCCGGGATTTCGAGACCAGCCTGGACAACATGGTGAAACCCCATCTCTACTAAAAATACATAAAAATAGCCATGTGTGGTGGTGCGCACCTGTAGTCCCAGCTACTCAGGAGGCTGAGGTGGAAGGATTGAGCCCAAGAGGTGGAGGTTGCAGTGAGCCATGATCATGCCACTGCACTCCAGACTGGACAACTCCATCTCAAAAACAAAGAGAGAGAGAGGAAAAAAAAAAAAAGAAAAGAAATGCCATTCCCACCAGAAACATCACTGGAATCAATCACAGAGAAGATAAAGCAGCTCCTGCAATATATAATTTCCTACAATTTCTGTCTTTCACCCTATCTTTTTAAAAAACATATTAAGTTCTTCTAAAACATCAGGATTGCCTCCATTTGCATCTCTCCGCATGTTAATGGGGCTGCTGGGGAGATTATAGCAGACAGCCTTGCTCTCCAGAGTGGCCTGGTCTGCTCTGGCATCTTAGACCTCCCTCCCCTGAAGAGGGCTGTGAAGGTTGGAGGTCAGGGGGAGAACAGAAGAAGGCTGTTGGGTCTCAATGGCAGCTTCCAGATTCAGAACAAGTATGAGGTGTGTGCAAAATTTAAAGGGGGCTCAAAATTTCGGTCATCAAAAAATTTTTTTTAATGTGACATTTAAAAAATCAAAATCAATGCAAAAGCTATAATAAACAGAATATCAAAATTTTAAATGAAGACATTTTATAAGTGAAGCAGAGGCACAGAAAAGTAACTTGCCCAGGGTCACATAGGGAGTAAGCAATGGCTTTTGGTCTGGATCCAAAGCTCAAGTTCTTAATCACCGTGCCTTACAACTTACATGCCCTAAGAAGCACTTTTAAAGCCAGGAACAGTGGCTCATACCTGGAACCCCAGCTACTCAGAAGGCTAAGGCAGTAGTATGGTTTGAGGCCAGGAGTTTGAGACCAGCCTGGGCAACATAGTGAGACCTCCATCTCTAAAAAAATAACAATTTAAAAAATTTAGGCCTGACGCTGTGGCTCACGCCTGTAATCCCAGCACTTTGGGAGGCCAAGGTGGGCAGATCACTTGAGGCCAGGAGTTCAAAATCAGCCTGGCCAACATGGTGAAACCCCGTCTCTACCAAAAACACAAAAATTAGCCAGGTGTGGTGATGCATGCCTATAATCCCAGATACTCGGGAGGCTGAGGCAGGAGAATTGCTTGAACCCGGGAGGAGGAGGTTGTAGTCAGCCGAGACCGTGGCACTGCACTCCAGCCTGGGAGACAGAGCAAGACTCCGTCTCAAAAAAAAAAAAAAAAAAAAAAATTTAAAAAGAAGGACCACGGTACATTTATTTTCTTCTCCTTAAAATGTGCTGGATTTTCCAAATCTCCTAGAATTAACATATTGTCTTTTTTAGTCAGAAAAAAATAAGACATCAATGAAAAAGAAAAGGAATCAGCACTCCAGTAGGAGGAAACACACCAGGAGCTGGGGGTGATTCTGTGAGTAGGGCCCTCTAGGAGGAGGAGCCTGGAGCTGGGCTCACGGGATAGGATGGCAGAAGCAGGAAACCTGGGGCGTCAGCGAACACCCCACAGGCTGGAGGTTATTCATACACAGATGGTGGGCACAGAAGCTGGTCTGAGAGACTGGGCCTGTCTTTATGCATTGACTGTAATAACCATGTTGAGGCCAAGCTAGCTTTTCTTTGTTGTCTTAATGACTGACTTCCCAAACAATCCAATCAGTTGTGCATCTGTTGATTTGGTCATTCAGAGGCTGAAAACCCCAGACTGACCGTTTTCCCTCCCACTCACCGAGCCTGTGTTTCTGGGATACTAACCAAAATCCATCAACTGATGTTCAAAAGAAAAACAGGACGATTTGGATATGAGGATGTTCACTACAGTATTATTTATATTGTTTCCTAAAAAGAACAGCTTTGATAAATTATAGCCCATCCATACAATAGAGAAATAACATGCGGCTATTAAGTGCATGTTTTCTAAAAATGTATAATGATACAGGAAAAGGCAGGCTATAAAACTGGATACTATATTATATCAATTATAAGAAAAATTACGTACATGGACACTCAGCAAGAAAGCCTTGGAGGAAGCACATCAAAATGTCAACAGTGATTATCTCTGGGTGACTTTTCCATGCTGTTTATATTTTTCTGTATTTTCCAATTTGTCCATAATGAATATGTTATTTTTTTTTAGCATCAGGAAGAAATGCTTTTGCTTTGTTTTGGCTTTTTAAAAGCCAGATAGATTATTTCTAAGACCAAAAAAATTCAAACTAACCTTAAGAAGGGTGATGTTTGAATGCTGGTTACACGGGATGCTCATATCGGTCTCAGCCACAACACACGACTCTCCTATGTATCAACCTGCATACTTCCGAGTCTCAGAGAACCTTCACCACCTCCCCCACTTACTTTGACTCTTCCTTCTCATCTCTCTTTCTCCATGGCTCTTCCTTCTTCCCTCATCTTTCAGGTAGAGAAACTGGCCTCTCCCTGAAGCTTATCTTTGGAAAAACAAAAGTTTTGATTGTGTTGGGATCCAGGCTGCTAAGTTCCCCAGCTATGAGGTCCCACACAATCTGGCCCCAACTCCCACCATCACCACCCACAGTCTCATCTTTCCGATTCCTCATCCATCACTCCTGCCCCAGGGCCTTTGCACTGGCTGTTCTGTCTGCTTGGACCAATATTCCCCAGGTAACTGGAAGGGTTCATTCTCCCACCTGTCTATATATATTGGCATATTACATAGTATCTACACATTTTCCTTCGGGATAGTCAAGAGTGTGATAAAATAGTTGTTGTAAGAAGAGGCGCTGGATCTGCCAGGGCTGAGGACCACTGCTCTCATGTGATTGCCGGTTGGCATTTCCATCTCTCATACTAAATTAAAAATTCTGGGACAGCAGGGACTCAGTCAAAGCATATTTCCTGAACTGAAATGAAAGAATACATGAGCACGCTGGTGACACCTAAGGGGTGGGGAGGCCCCCGGGGCAGTTATGGTGTGAAGTTATAACTCCCTTTGCAGGAGAGAGATGAGGCACACCCTTCTTCCTCCATCACTGCCTCCTCCATGACCACCGCCACCATCCTGGCTGGGACGGCCAGTCAGGTGGAAGGACCTGACTAGGAGGTGGTAAAGACGTACTATCCTGAGCCGGGAAGTCCTGACTCCAGAGCAAGGCAGGTCTGGGTGGCTGACAGGTCTCTAGGGGGAACCAAGGGGCTGGGAAGTGGAGGGCAAAGAGCTATCCAACCCTCTGTATTGACAACAACCCCTACCTTTTCTTTTTTTTTTTTTTTTGACAGGGTCTCACTCTGTTCCCCAGGCTTCAGTGCACTGGTGCAATCATGGTTCACTGCAGCTTTGACCTCCCAAGCTCAAGTGACCCTCCTACCCCAGCCTCCTGATTAGCTGGGACCACAGGCGTGCACCACCACACCCTGCTAATTTAAAAAAATTTTTTTGTAGAGATGGTCGGGGGGGGGTCTCACTATGATGTCCAGGCTGGTCTCGAACTCCTGAGCTCAAGCTATTCTCCTGCCTTGCTCAGCCTCGCAAAGTGCTGGGATTATAGGCGTGAACCCCAACCTCCACTGCTCAAAGCCACCCTGCCTGCTGAGGGCAGTAGCCCCACAAGGGACAGAAGGTCGGTGACTGTTCCCTGTACCGTGAGGGCTCGAGGCTCCAGGGGTGAGGGAAAGACTGAGGATTAGGAGTTCCAAGGCCTGAGCTAGAATCCCAGCAATCTTAGGCAGACCACTAACTTCTCTGCATCCGTAAAACAGGGTTACTCACACCCACCCAGCCCCCCAGCCTTGCAGTCAGAATCAAATAAGACTAAATAAGAGGGTCTCGGTAAACCAATGTTGGCCAGTATTACAGGCAGTAACAATCGTTTTACTGCTGTATTACAGGCAGTAACAATCGTTTTACTGCTGAGCAGAATTGAACCTTGGGTGATTCAGAAGGCCCTTCGGGAGACCAACCTCATGACTGTCAACATCAAGTACCATTCGATAGTATTTGGATCAAATTCTGATTGTGGGAACTTCTTTGACATTTAAATTCCAGATGAACAAGGCTTTTCTATAACCTGTCAAACTATGCTGGTGACACACTGGAGTCCACTGTCATCCTTTGCTGGTTCCCACCCGCCCACGTCATCCCCATGGATGAAGAGAGGGTTTGTCTACTTCGGCAAAATGTATTCATTTGAGCAGGAAGCCCTGCTCTGGTGAAAAATCATCTCTCAGACCCCACCCTCTTCCTTTGATCCTCCCACTGAATGCTGAGCTGGAAAGACGAAGCAAAGCTGTTCAGATGTAATTATTTTAATTCAGCCAGATGCTGGGAATTAGTCTCTTTTCCTTGCAAGGATTCTAGGGAGAGACAGAACTCAGCTAAAGATGCCCCAGAAGAAAAGGAGCTGACAATCTCAGGAGGAAGGGAGGGCGCTCCCTGCCCCCGACATAGACCCCTGGTGCTGGAACAGCTTAAATCAAGAAAACTGCTGCTATCCCTGGGTGAAGGAGTAGGGAGGACTGGGGAAGAAGGAGGAAGAGGAAGGGTTTAACACCTGATAGGTATTCAACCTAAGACTGCTTACCAACCCCTGGAATGCTAGACCAGTAACGGCCACCAGCATTGTCTAGAGCGTTAGAATTTCCAAAGCGCTTTCATGTATGTGACTTTATTTGGTTATAAACTAGGAAGAAAGTCACCAGCTGGGCTAGAAGCTTGGGGAAACACTGAATTTAGGTTCAAGGAATTCAGATGCACCCTTTCCTAGGCATCTGTTAGACACACTCACATTCATGAACTCCTTTAATCCTCACAGCAACCCTATCAGCGCCAAGCTGCAGGTGGAAAACGGAGGCTCTGGGAGCTGCAACAGCTCTGTTCCACAGGGCAACCGAATTCTCTCCCTTGTCTGAACTCCAGTGGCATCCAGATCCTCAGCAGACACGTGTGTTTTGTCCATGACCTGGTGCTGAACACTCGGTCTGTGCTTCCTAATCATTCAGTCACATATTCGTGATGGGTCCTCGGGAATGCCTACTGCACCCCGAGTCCTGCCCTGGGGGTGCACACTGGGTGGGGTTCATTCCCGCTGTCAAGTGCCTTCAGATCCACTGAGATTAACAGATAAGCAACCCGGGTGAGCAGTCACATATGAATTTTTTTGGTCATCTCTAGACTGCCCTGTACTATCGATTCTGTGTTCGTGTGTCTTATTCTTCCACTGGAAGTCCTTGGAAACAGAGTTTGTAACACCACAGTCCAGTGGTTAAAGACCTTGGCTCTAGAACCAAACTGCCAAGTTTCAAATCTCTTCTACTCAGTGGCTGTGTGACCTTGGACCGATCAATTAACCTCTCTGTGCTTCAGTTTCCTTATCTATAAAAGTGAGGAAAATTAATGAGGACCATAATTCATCAGATGTTATAACACATCATACTACATACTACATTATATATTATAATATGTTAGGTAAGCAAGTCAATACATGTAAACCACTTACCACAGTGTATGGCCCAAAATAATGACTCAATTAATGTTCTCTAACACTGTTATACCTCTATACCAGCAGCTCTCAAAGTATGGACCAGGAACCCCGAGGGATCCGTGGGGTCAAAACTATTTACATAATAATGCTAAGATGAAGAGTTTTCCAGAGGTTATCTGACAGGGATTTCACAACAGATTGACTACAGAAGCAGCTATGAGAATCCAGATGTCTTCCATTAAGTCAGACGTTAAAGAGATTTGCAAAAATGTAAAACAAGGCCACTCTTCTCATTAAATGATTATTGGGAGTTATTGTTGTTTTTCAAAATATGTCTTATTTTATTTATTTATTTTTTGAGATGGAGTCTCGCTCTGTCGCCCAGGCTGGAGTGCAGAGGAGCCGAGATTCCAATCTCAGCTCACTGCAGCCTCTGCCTGCCGGGCCCAACTAATTTTTTGTGTTTTTAGTAGAGACGGGGTTTCACCATGCTGGCCAGGCTGGTCTCAAACTCCTGACCTCGTGATCCGCCCGCCTCGGCCTCCCAAAGTGCTGGGATTACAGGCGTGAGCCACCGTGCCCGGCCCCAAAAAAAATGCGTTATTTATGTTGACCCATAATGGGTTCAACTATTGTTATTTTTAAAGGAATTAAATTATTTTTAAAGGAATTAATACATACATTAAAATTCTGTTTAAATTTCTAGTAGGGTAAATATTGATTGATAGCTGATCCGTAGCACTGACCTCCCAGGAAGGTAGGAAAATCTTGTTTCTCCTGGTCATCCCTCCCAGCTCCATGGGAAGCTGTGTTCCCAGGGTAGCCCAGGCTTTGTTTACACTTGCACCCTGCCTCTCCCTGCATCTGTCCCAGCCTCCTCTTCTCTCCAAGCCCCACCACTTTCCCACTTTTATAGCCACTCTTAGGTTAGATGGTGGTGCTTTTGGGGCTGAGCCCGGATCTTAGAATCAAGCTGACCTGGAGTAGAGTCATGGCTCTGCTGTTTGTCATCCTTGAGCAGGTGACTTTGCCTCTCTGAGCCTCAATTTCCTCATCCATAGAATGGGAGTAACATTTTAGTACCTGCCTCTTAGGATGATTGTCAAGAGCAGCGATAACTTATGTAAAGTGCCTATTACTTGACAAATACTGACCATCACCATTATGATACTTTATCATTATTATTAATTATGAGGTCCCCTGAGCCCCTTCTTTGTGTGCTCAGCTGTCCCCATCTCCTGCTCCCCCACAGTCCTACAGTAAAAGCAAGACCAAGGGCTGCCTGGGACTGCAGACTTCTTCCCAACACATGCGTACGCACAGACACACTCCATCCGCCCCATGCAGGGTGTCACCCTACTCCAGAGCTGAAAGTGAAAAATGACAGCTAAATGTCAAGCACCCAGGCTTCCTTCAAGACTGAAAAGGTCTTTGCTGCCACAGTGTTGGTGCCAAGGCAGTCTCGGCTCAAGGACACGTGAGTGGTGGCTGTGATGGGGAGGGGAGGGAGCCCTGGCATGGGAGCTAGGGGACGGGGCTCAGCTGGGCTCTGCTGCTGACTGTGGGTGAGCTCCTTCTCCTCTCCGGGCCTCAGTCTGCTCAGCTATAAAAAGGGAAAACACCCACTAGCTCTGATGTTGCAAAATTCTATGACAGCCAGGTCAGCATCAGGAGCCCTGTCTACCCTCGGTTCCCTCCAGGGGCTCAGGGAGGCCAGCCTGCACTCCATCACCCCCACCCCAACCACGTCCTGTGCTGGAGTCCTCTGCCACTCACCCTACAGTTGCTGAGCTCCTCAGCGGACAGGATGATGGTGCCACATTTCTTTCCTGGGACACCACTGGGAGAGGAGAAGATGAAAGAATGGAAAGCCAGACAAAGACAGAGCCATAAACCTGACACTCCCTCAATCAGCCCCCTGCCCATCCTCCCCCGCCCCCTACCATCCAGCAGATCACCCCAAAGCCCCTGAGAAGACAGAGTCTCCTGAGATCCTTGTGGCAGTGTGGCCTAGTGCACTGCTTCCTGGGACCGGGTCCCCGAGCCTGGAGCTGCCCCACCCCCTGCTCCCCGAGAGCCCACCAGGAAGGGTAGTGCCTGCAGTGAAAGTCCTAGAATTGGAAAAGCATCCAGACTCACCCGGAGGCTTCCAGACCAGTGGTTCTCAAACTTTCCATCCAAAGACCACTTCTGTGGGCAAAAGACCTCATGGGCTAGCCACCCCACCTCACACCCAGCTGACCCCCAGCGTCCCGGGACAGTCCAGCTCTGAGCCACTCTGATGTGTCACGGGAGGGAGGAAGGCAGGAGGGCTGGTGGGCCCTCGCTGGCAGCTTGCCCAGGCTCCTTCCCATGGCTACCTCCCCTTAAATGCCTTGGCTGGGGTCTCCCTGGGAGTGAGAGATCCCAGCCGACTGTGCAGCTCCCCAGTGAAGTGGGCAACCAGATCAAGGTCCGTGAAGTCGGTCCACCCCAGCACATCCCTCCAGGAGGGCAAGTTCTTCGGCTGGGGCTCCACTCAGGGGAACTGAACCACCTCTTCCCCTGGTTAGATAGGACCCCCTCCTTCAGGCACCATCCCAGCCCACTCTAATGTTTGGGACTAAGCCAGAGGTGGGGGAGTCCCAGTGTAGTCAGGGGCCACTGGGAGGGAGAGGAAAATGTCGGCTTGTCCAGCAGCTCTGTGACTTTGGGCTCATTCCTGTACCTCTCTGAGCCTCAGTTTTCTCCCCTATATAATGAGCGTGACTGTATATACCACACAGTGCTTGGCACAGAGAAGGCCCGCAGTGAGCAGCATCCCCCTCCCTGCACCCTTTACTTCACAATTGTGCAACGCTGGTAAAATCCAGCCTCACACCTCAGGCCAGCCACAGGGCCACCAGCATGCTGTCTGTGGAACACACTTTGAGAACCACTGATGGAGCTCTTCCCAGCACCAGCTATTGGAGGGAGAGGCTCTCAAACAGAGGAGGCAGGGGAGGAAGGGAAGCCGGCCCTGGAGGGCTGGCAGGACAGCCCAGATCTCTCCAAATCAGGTGAGCAGAGCGGGGGCCACATCTGGGGCATCCCCTGCCACGGACAGGGGACAGTGCCTGCCAGGTTGTCCCCCTAGACTTGGGCAGCTGAGCTGAGTGCCTCAAAGCCCCTCCCCACCCGCTGGTCTGGTCCTCCATGGTAGTAAAGACATGATTTGTTTGCCCAGGGAGATAGAATCCTCCACGCCAGCCTCCTCCGCCCCATGTTTCTCCATCTGTTCCTCTCTTTGCCTCTGAGTCCTTCTTCTATTTCCGATCCTTCTTTCCCTCCTCTCCAGCCCCAACCTGCTCCCACCTTCTTGGCCTTCCTTTCTCTCTCTCCCTCCCTCCCTGTCTTTGTATCTCTGTCTGACTCCTGCTGCCTCCCCAGTTGCTGCTTCTCTACTCTCCAGGTGAATTAGCATCCATGCTCTCCCTGGGCTGTGAGCATCCCCGGGCCCGCCGGAGGCCCCTTCCCCACCTGCAGCTGGTCCAGTGGCATATCCAGCTGCTGCAACCTCAATTCCTGAGAGCTCTCAGGGAAGGCCAGGGGAGCTCTGCTTACCCCAACAAAATGCCCTTCTGCAGAGGCCCCTCCAGGCAGAGGTTCCCTGCCCTGCACACCCCCACCTCCAGCCCCAGTGGGCGAGTGGGCGTGAGAAAGAAGCCAGGGTGGGAACTCCCCAACCGGGAAAGAAGGGGAGGGAAGGAGGGGGAGGCTCTGCGTTGGCCACATTTGCATGAGGCCAGCCGAAGCCAGATGGTCAGGGTGGTGGAGTGAGGCTGGCCCACCGCAGCTGGCGAGCAAACGAGCAAACGTGAAAAGTGGGGATTCAGCTGGATCTACTCTGTGGTGAGGAGGAGGCGGACATCCAGCAGCCAAAACAAGGGAGGGGAACAGGGGGGAAAGGATAAAGACAGGGGAGGAAAGAGGGGGAGAGAAGGGTGGGGATTGGGGGCCTAGAGAAGCCAGGCCAGGGAGAGAGGAAGGGAACAGAGAGTGCCCAGCCCCGCTATTCATAGACAACATCCCCCACCTGTAAGCCCCACCCTCTCCCTGAAGTCCCAGGAGCCACTGGGGCTTGAGATGCCCAAGCTCTAGCTTGGATGGGGGAGGGGCCCACTGCCGAGTGGGGGCCTCTGTTCAGGGCCCAAAGAGCCTGGGTGCCTAAGGAGGAACCCAGGACTCTCTGTCCCCGGATCAGGGCCAAATTCGCAGTGATGGGAGCAGGGACGAGGCCCAGACTCTGAGGCCCCCTTTGCAGAGCTGGCTGAATGTCTAAGGACTCCAGGGCCAGAGATGTCTGGCAACGTACCCGTTGGACACAGCTGGCATGGGTTTGCCCGTCCTGGAATTCAGGCTGAATGCGCCTATCCTGTGGAGAGAGAGGGGGAGAGAGAGCATGCCATGAGCTGAGTACCCCCACCCAGACAGGCCAGCGCACTTGGCATCCAGATGCTTGGAGACAAGCGGCTGCTCTGGAAGTCATTAAAACAGGATCAAAGCCACAGGCCAGAGCAAGTGGAGTCCTTCTTCTGGGCAAATTCCTCTCCTTCAGTGGTTCTCAAGGTGGGATGCCCAGACCAGCAGCACCAGCATGTCCTGGGAATGTTATTAATAGGAATGTAAATTCCCAGGCCGAGCCCATACCCACAGGATCAGGAACTCTGCGGGGTGGAGCCCAGCAATCTTTGGTGACACTGGTACCTGCTGCAGCTTGGGAACCCCTGTTCTCCCTTTCCAGACTCCGCATCCAGACTGCAAGATGGGGAGACTGCTGGAAGAATCACATGAGATCATGATATGGGCTGAACTGTATCCCCCAAAATTCATGTATTGAAATCTTAATCTCCAGGTCCTCAGAATGTGACTATATTTGGAAATAGAGTCTTTTTTATTTTTTTATTTTCATTTTTATTTTTGAAACAGAGTCTCGCTCTGTCACCCAGGCTGGAGTGCAGTGGCGTGATCTCGGCTCACCGCAACCTCCACCTACCAGGTTCAAGTGATTATCCTGCCTCAGCCTCCCAGGTAGCTGGGACTACAGGCACGCACCACCATGCCCGGCTAATTTTTGTATTTTTAGTAGAGACGAGGTTTCACCATGTTGGCCAGGATGGTCTCGAACTCCTGACCTCAGGTGATCTGCCCACCTTGGCCTCCCAAAGTGATTGGATTACAGGCGTGAGCCACCATGCCCAGCCTGGAGATAGGGTCTTTAAGGAGGTAATTAAGGTAAAATGAGGTCATGGCAGTGGACCCTAATCCAATGGCTGGTGTCCTCATATGAAGAGGTGACTAGGACACAGAGGTGCACAGAGAGATGACAATCTGAAGACACAGAGATGAAAAAGAAGACAGCCATCCTCAGAAGACATGAACTCTGTTGACATCTTGATCTCCGACGTCTAGCCGCCAGAATTGTGAGAAAATCAATTTTTCTTATTTAAGCCACTCAGTTTGTGGTATTTGCCACAATGGTCCCAGCGAACTAACACAGATTTCACAAGCAAAACACTGACCCTCATGCCTGGCCCAAAATAGATGCCCAGTAAACAGGAGCTGTTCACAGGGTTTAGTCAGGAAGACAACTAAACTAAGATATGTGAAATCTTCGATGGGGTAAAAGGTCCACCTCCTCCTCCAACATTGCCGTCAACCTCTGTATTTTATTTTATTTTATTTTATTTTTGAGATGGAATCTCGTTCTGTCACCCAGGCTAGAGTGCAGTGGTGTAATCTCAGCTCACTGCAACCTCCGCCTCCTGGGTTCAAGCGATTCTCCTGCCTCAGCCTCCCTAGTAGCTGGGACTACAGGCATGTGCCACCACGCCAGGCTAATTTTTGTATTTTTAGTAGAGACAAGGTTTCTCCATGTTGGTCAGGCTGGTCTCAAACTCCCGACCTCAGGTGATCCACCCGCCTCGGCCTCCCACAGTGCTGGGATTACAGGCATGAGCTACTGAGCCCTGCCAACCTCTATATTTTAGAACTTGCTTGTCCTTTAAGGCTCAGTTTCAAAAGCCATCTCCATAGGAAGTCTCCCTCAATACTCCCCCACCCCCAGAGGGTGTTTCCTGTCACCAACGGTGGACCAGGTGAGATCAGGAAGGAAACAGACCCAAATGACTAGTGGCTTTGGACCCAGGCAGCTGGGAGTTGGGAAGCACAGACACCCTCCCTCATAGGGCATCTCCATCCTGGCAACCCAGGTAAAGCCACGGGTGGGGGTGCTGCTGGAAAGAGCAGATGCTAATGGGTATGCTACACTCAGCACATGGTTAACACTGAAGTGGGCACAGGGGCAGATGTTCCTAGAGAAAGAATATAAAATTACGAATGAAAACTGTTAGAAATAAGTCCTAAGAGGGAGGGGCCTAGCAAATATGAATGTGAATTTTGTATGCTTTTTTGCAAGAGGCCCTCAAATTCTATAAGCTATAGAGACCCCCAAAACAGGGGTTTTCCCCCATTCTCAATAAATGATAGCTATTTTCACTGTTTTCTAGGAACCCAGAGATGAGACCTTTTGGGGGCCAAGGAAACATTTCCGGGGGCCCTGAAGTTATCATGAGTTACTGGGGGTCACGGGCAAGGATCTGGAAGAGAGACCACACACACACACATTGCAGTTATTATTATTATTATTATTTTGAGACAGAGTCTCACTCTGTTGCCCAGGTTGGAGTACAGTAGCCCAATCTCGGCTCACTGCAACCTCCTGGGTTCAAGTGATTCTCGTGCCTCAGCCTCCAGAGTAGCTGGGACTACAGGTGTGCACCACCACACCCAGCTAATTTTTTTGTATTTTTAGTAGAGACAGGGTTGCACCATGTTGGCCAAGCTGGTCTCGAACTCCTGAGCTCAGGCGATCCATCGCCTTGGCCTCCCAAAGTGCTGAGATTACAGGCGTGAGCCACCGTGCCCGGTTCACACTGCAGTTATTGATCATGGTGAGGGGACAGCGTCCAGTGGGAACTTGGCAGAAGATCTGATGATCTCCCTTTCCCGGCCGCTTTGCCCTGTGGCCTGGATGCCTGTCCCAGTCTGCCCTCTCTTTCCTGGGCCCTGCCCACGAGTGTCAACCTAAAATAATCAAAAGCCTCGGGATCCAGTTAAATTAGTTTATTTAAATGCAAAGTGTGAGGGTGGCCGTCCAGAGAAATATGGACACCAAAGAATGGTGACCAGTGTTCCCCAGTGTGGGGAAAGGTAAGAATCGTTTATACAGGCAAGGGCCCTGCCCCTGGTACTTCCTGAGAAATAGGGACAAGAGAGGTCACCCTCACCACACGGCCAGCCCTGGCTGGTCCCTGAAGACATCATCAGGCTCCACTGTGAGAAGCCTTGGATTCCTCATCCCAGAGCCCGCTTCAGAGTAACAGCTTTTCCCTAAAAGCAAATTAAGGTCAGGGACCATCAGGGACAGGATGGGACGGGAGGAGCCTCACTGTACCCAGCTCTGGCCTACAAGCTGTGAACAATCTTAGGAATATGCTATGTGAGTAGAGCCCTGGGTTCAAATCCCAGCTCCCAGCTCTCCCTCTTCCTAGCTGTGTGTCCTTGGGCAAGTCACTTCCCCTCTCTGGGCTTCAGTTTCTTCTTCCACACTATGATAGGGGTCAGGGTGGGAATAGACTATATGGTGTCTAGTCTATTTCCTCCTGGGCCTTCCCAGGAGATGGGACTCTAATAACCCATCCTGGGTTCCCCTGAAATACCTGGATTAGAAGCCCTGTGAGAGCAGTGAGGCATGGGGTCTCTTTATTCCTAATAACCCTGCAGATGCCAGTCATAGCCAGCTGACTGCTTTGTCCCCATCCTGAGCCAGCCCCCAGCAGAATGGGCGGGAAGTTGGCCTACCACTGGGAAAGCAACCCAGACACTCACGTGAGGGGCTTTTCCAGGCGGCTCCCAGGGGACCCCACAATCTCTCCAAGGGTGCAGAAGGCCTGGCCCAGGAAATCCTGCATATCCAGGGAACAGAAGAGACCAGTGTCACCCACTCTGCTCACAGCTATCCCACCTCCCCCATCGCCCAATTCCTGGAAGCGTGAGGGCCCTTAAATGACAGGACGCAGCGTCGGACACACATTCCATCACAGCAAAGCCCCAGGCTCACCCAGAGGATGGCATTTCAGAAACTATGGAATTGCTGAGCAGTTACTGGCAGAACTCACGTGTTTGGATAAATCAGGACTCTTAGAGTCAACGTCGTATCTGCAGGGAACACAGAGAAACGATGAAGGCAGCTGCGGACGTTCTGCCCAATCCTGCCTGGGTTCTCAAGTTGAGTCAGGGCCCCTGTCCCCCAAAAAACAGGTCCCAACACAGTGAATATTTCTAGGAGTAATGGTTGGAAGACATGACAGGGAGCCTTCTGGGTGCTGGACATGTTCTGTCCTTGAGCTGGGTGACATCAGAGGGGTGGAAACGGATGTAAAAATGCATCGTGGAGTAGGCACAAAGATTTATGCGCTTCACTGTATATATGTTATACCTCATTAAAAATGGAAAAAACTAAATCAATGAGCTCTGTTCACAGGTGGCTAAGCCATCTTACCTTTCACTCCCTTCACTTACAGAGTTCTCCATCTTTGCTCTTTGCAGCCTAGCCTTGGCTGCCCGTGGTGCTAATACCTTGCTTCTGACCTTCCCTTATAGCTTCACCCTACCCAGGCCTGCCCAGCTTGCCCACAGGCCTGGTCACTCAAGAAGGAGGGAGGCATTGACACCTTCACCTCAGCTGGCTGCAGGCAGCGTGATGCTACAGCTGGCCTCCTCCCCTCACCTGGGGCCTGCTCACCGGGGGCCTGATCACCTGGAGCCTCACCTGCAACCTTCCCCCAGCATCTCCCACCCACCCACTGGCATCTCTGCAGCCAAACAGCCATGCCAGGCCCAGATGACTCCTGCTGAGGGATGGTCACTCTCTTATCAACCTTCTCCAAAATGTCACCAGGTGACTTCTCTACAATAGGCTGTGTTGACTCTCCTCAGCTTCAATACCTCCCATCTCTCCCTCCAAAGTCATTTCCTTCCACTGCATTCTTTCCTTTTCTCCCTAAGATCCCAAACCCCCTTCTTTCCCACCCTGACCACTCTTCTGTGGGGCAAAGACTTTTCAAACCATCCCATACCCCATAAAAACAACATCACAAACTCCCCAGCCTGTTTACCAAGCCTGAAATTCCACCCTGATCTTTAATGTCAGGAGAAAGGCACTCTCATGTTCCGACGGATGCTGGATGCCTGAGCCCCATCAGCCAGGCCACCTCTGCAGGCGGGGAGGCTGCAGGGACCCTCTCCCAGAACACGCTTAGATGGAGGAAGCAGCCAGTGGGTACCTCCTGGTTGCCAGGGGAGAAAAGGGCTCCCAGAGGCACAGCCAAGAGTTGCCTTCAGGATCTTTCCTCAGCAGACATTCCCCAGCACCAAGCAGCTTGCCTGATGCCATCCCCAACTTAACTGAGACGAACTGGGGTGAATGCCATTGTTCTCTCTCTTCTTCCCCCTTTCCATCTCTCCTGGTAAGGGTGCAGGCGACTTCAGCTAATTGTCACTTCTATCCCAGGCCAACCCTGGGCTCCCACTAATTTCTCAGCTCCTTCCTCAACCACAGGTCTGTGGTCCTACCTGCCAGCAATCTTCCTCCCCACCTGGCTGCATCTTCAGCACCATCTTCCACTTACAGATCAAAACGGAGGTTCTGCTTCTCCTCGAAAAAGTAATCCACAATGAACTTGCGCACGAAGTCAGGATTGAGCGTGTTGTCGATGACTTCGGTGCGCCCAAACTGCAAGAGAAGATGGAGGGTGAACCTCAGGGCCGGGCTGGTGGGGCCGGCTGGTGGGGCAGGGGAGAGCACTGGGCTCAGAGCCCCTTAGTCCTGGTTCTGGCAGTTATGAAAGCCCTGTCTCTCCAGGCTCCTGACATCCATCCCCTCCCAATCAAAGCACGAGTTCTTCCATCTGACAGTGGAAGCCATGTACAGTATGGCTCCAACCCGTACTGCTTCTTCCCATCTCCATGCAAGCTGATGGTCTTAATACCTGAGCAGGCCCTTCCCTTCACCTGGCCTCCCTGTCTCTGCCAGTGGCATATCCTCATTCCTTCAAGGCCTGATGTAAATGCCACCTCCTCCAGGAAGCCTTCCTGATTCCTCCAATCAGAGAATTTTATTTCTCTGAGCCTCCACCGAACTTGCGCCCACTCCATGACCACCATTCTGAGAATTGATTCCACAATTAGGTGTGTACTTATTTGATTCCCAATTGCAAACACAAGGGCATAGGCAGGGACTGTAGGAGACCACCTCCTAAAAGATCCCCACCTTTTGGTATTCATGCCCTTGCATAATCAGCTCCTCTCGAACGTGGGCTGGACCTAGTGACACACTTGTACTGAACAGAGTATCTCACAAGTCATAGAATGTCACTTCCAAGGTTATGTTGTAAACAACTATGACTTCCGTCTGGGCACCCTCTCTTGCTCTGTCTTGCTTGCTCACTTGATAAAACCAGCTGCCATGTTGTGAGCTGCCTTATGAAGGGGCGGCAAGGAAAGGATGAGGCCCCAGGCTAATACCAGTGAGGAACAGTGGCTGTCAATCTGCCCATCCGTAAGAATTGGAATCCTGCCAACAACCACTGGGTGAGCTTGCAAGCAAATCTTGCCCAGTTGAACCTTGAGATGATTGAGGCCCCAGCCAACACCTTCACTGTGACCTTGTGAGAGACCCTGAGCCGGAGGACCCAGCAAAGCTGCACTCAGATTCCTGCCTGCTGTTTAAACCACTAAATTCTGGGATAATTTATTACTCAGCAATAGCTAACTAATTCAGAGACTGAATTGTCTTGGTTGCCCTTGCAGCTGATATTCTAGAATTTTATACATAATAGGCAGTCAATAATTGAATCCCATTCAATTTTGCAAATGACTTTAGGCCAAATCACTCCCCATCTTTGGGCATCAGAATCACTTGGTAAAATACAGATTGTGGAGGGCCTCACTCCAGAGGCTCTGACTCAGTAGGTCTAGTGGAGCCTGGGAATCTGCATTTTAAAAGTCCTCAGGTGATGCTGATGCTGTGGGTCTGGGGACTCCACTTTGAGAACCACTGGGCTAGGTGGTGTTCCACTGGGATCCAAGTCCCCTGGAGGCTCCATAGGCCATAGAGGAGGGCAGAATGGGCACGATTCTAGGCCAACCATCCCATCAAAGCGGCTCTCTTTTATATCTGCTCAATACAGTAGACATTTTGAGCAAAATTTTTGTTTCAAAAAAGGGGTGAGGGGCTAAGAGGTGAAGTTTAAACCCACTGCATTTACAATAGACTATCATTCAGCCTTTAAAAAGAAAGGAAATCCTGTCATGTGCTACAACATGGGTGCACCTTGAGATTATGCTAAGTGAAATAAGCCAGTCACAGTAGGACAAATAATGTATGTGTCCACTTACAGGAGGTATCTAAAGTGGCCAAATTCATCGATGCAGAAAGTAGAATGGCAGTGACCAGGGGCAGGGTGGAGGGGTATAGGGGGAGTTGTTTATGGGTATAGGGTTTCAGTTTTGCAAGATGAAATGTTCTAGAGACCTGTTTCACAACAATGCAAATACATTTGTAACTCTACTGAACTGTACACTTAAAAATGGTTATGATGCGGCTGGGCGCGGTGGCTGACGCCTGTAATCCCAGCACTTTGGGAGGCCGAGGTGGGCGGATCACGAGGTCAAGAGATCGAGACCATCCTGGCCAACATGGTGAAACCCTGTCTCTACTAAAAATACAAAAATTAGCTGGGCATGTTGGCACACGCCTGTAGACCCAGCTACTCAGGAGGCTGAAGCAGGAGAATCGCTTGAACCCAGGAGGCGGAGGTTGCAGTGAGCCAGGATTGCGCCAATGTACTCCAGCCTGGCAACAGAGTGAGACTCCATCTCAAAAAAAAAAAAAAAAAAAAAAAAAAAAGGTTATGATGGAAAATTTTATGCTATATGCTTTTTTTCCCCACAATTATAAAACAAAAAACATTAGCTAGGCATAGTACCATGCACTTGGGGTCCCAGCTACTCAGGAGGCTAAGGTTGGGGGATGGTTGAGCCCAGGAGGGTGATACTGCAGTGAGCTATGATCACACCACTGCACTCCAGCTTGGGCAATAGAGAGAGACTCTGTCTCTAAAAACAAAAACAAACAAAAAATCCACCACACTGTATGCTCCATGAAGGCAGGGGTGCTGTTCGTTACAATATTTACCAGAGTCTCAAAGTAGTAAGACAGGCAGGTGCAAAGCAAAATATTTTAAATGGGCATTAATCCTTCTTAATAATCTTGAGTGTCAGAGTGTCAGTCTTCCTTGATGGGGCTCTGCAGTCCAGGAAAACACCAGCACATGGGCCCCTCACACATGTGGTAGATGAGGCCCTGGGTTACCTGGGGCTTACCCTGAGTGTCCCTTCTACCCTGAATTAAGTTAGAAACTTCCAAAGGGGTTGGGTGCGGTGGCTAACACCTGTAATCCCAGCACTTTGGGAGGCTGAGGCGGGCGGATCACTTGAGGTGAGGAGTTTGAGACCACCCTGGCCAACATGGTGAAACCCCATCTCTATTTAAAAAAAAATAAAATAAAATTGAGCCAGGCTTGATGGCGCACGCCTATAGTCCCAGATATTTGGGAGGCTGAGGCAGGAGAATCACTTAAACCCAGGTGGAGGTCGCAGTGAACTAAGATGACATCACTGTACCCCAGCCTGAGCGACAGAGAAAGACTCTGTCTCACTGGAGAGGGAAGCTCCCACTCCAGGTAACATGGGGTCATCTGAGGAACACTAGATTTGGCATCTTTTGTCCCTCACTCCCTTGGTGAGTCAATCTCATGTTCCAGTCAATCTCATCGGCTAAATCTCTTCCTTTGCTGTGGCCTTGGTCTGGCCTCATCACTTTCTCACCTTGTCACCTCGACTACCACGGCAACCTCCTAAGGGGCCCCCAGTATGTGCCAATTCCTAATGCTTGGAGCCTCCGCTCCCTGGCCATCCTGTTCTCCAACTCCCCACCCCTCCTGTGTGCGCCCATCATCCTCCTGCATCTCTAAGGCTGCACTTACTCTGCGGCCTGATAATGATCTACTGAGTCTATTTCTACCCCTCTAGATTGTGAGCTTCTCAAGCAGGAGGAGAATCCAAGTTCTCCTCATCTTTGTAGCCCAGGACCTAACACAGCATTTAATACACAGCCGCGGGTTTAGATCATAATAGCTACTGTTTATTGAACACATGCAATGCACCAGGAGCGGTTTTAAACATTTTGTGCCGTATGGATATTGACCGATTTTGCATCTATGTGTAAATTCATTTCAACATTCCTGATCACCTATATGTGTGTGTTGTTTGAATTATTTGAACTGGTTGCAACATCTTACTGGTTTCCTCATTAATTAACAGGCTTTGATAATAAATATTTGTCACGCTAATTTTAAACTTGTATGGCAGTCATGATTTTACCTTTTTAAAAAATATATGCTTTAACAGGTGTTTTTTAAAAATACCCATGCTCAGCCCCAACACAGACCAATTAAATACAAATCTCAGTGGGTGGGGCCTGAACAACTGTGCTTTTTTAAAGTTCCCTAGGTGATCGTAATGTGCAGGTGGAGTTGAGAACCACTAATGAATGAGAATACAGCAGGAGGAAGGAAGTAAACTAACATTTACTGAGCCCCTACTGAATGCTCAATAGCTTAAGTGCATCATTAAGTTATTTCATTCAATTCTCACAAAAATCCTGTGAGGTATTACCCATTGTACAAATGAGGAAACTAAAAATCAGAGAGGTTAAGTAACTTGCCCAAGATCACACAGCAAGGCAGAGCTGGGACCTAAACCCAGGTATATCTAACTCCAAAGCCCATTATATTTTTACTGCATCTAACTGTGAGGAGTCATCAAGCATTATGAAAATCAAATAAAGATGAGGTTTACTTCACAAGCATTTGTACAAGTCCCAGTATGTGTCAAGCAATGGAAAGGACATCAGATTGAATAAGACTGGGTTCCTTTCCCACTCCCTAAATTCAATAACAATCTTACAATGCATAACCCCTGTTCCAAAAGAGTTCCTGCATTCTCCTCTCCTGCTCTTATTCTTGATGAATACCTCCTGCCTTCAGACAAAAGGAACATGTCTCTTAATGGCTTTCTTGCAAAATATTCCAGGTAAACACCCAGGTTTGAGAAAATTCTCCTTTAAGGAAGGGACTTACTTCCTTTCTCTCACTACACTTGCCCTCCTCCTTCAACAACCTCACAGCATCCCTCTAGCAGGATTTTAGATAAGGCCCAGCCCAGAAGGAGCAGACATCCTATATGCAGTTTCCCTCCCCACCCCACCCCACCCCCAGCATAGGCTCCAAGGAAAACACCCATTAAGGAAGATGACAAGGCTGCTTTTAAAATGGCACTTGCAGCTTCAATAGAGGGGAATACCCTAGAGATTGATTCTGCCTAAGAAGACAATGGAGTTCCCCTGGAAACAGGACACGGAGGGGAACTCCAAGCCCACCCCCAATAACTCCTAGAGCAGGAAAGGGGGCACATGAGCTAGGCTGGACAGTGACAGATTACTAAGACTCAGAGGTAGTTAAGACGTGCAGATCACAAACAACCGCAAAATCCACAATCTGGGGACTTACTGAAGATGTTTTATAGCCTTCATTACTTGGACGAATAACAAAGGGGAAAAATGCTAAAACTTGGATTTTAAAATCTGAGAAGCCACCAGGTCCTGTCAGGCCCAATTTATACCCCATTAATGATGGCAGGAACACAACTGAAGAGACGTTGAAAAAAAAATCAATTTGGCTGCTGTATTTCATTCTACATAGACTTATAGAGTTTTCAAGCCAGAAGGGACTTGGAGAGATGAGATATTAGCACCCGAGCACTGGGAACCACAGGATGGCATGCAATCTAACTGCTGTGCAGCAAATCCTGCTTAGGGAAGGAGCAGGGGGGTTAACCCCTCACCACCCGTAATACAGAGCGCAGCCAGCCCTGTTCATTCTGCCAGCTCCCTGGGCATGCCTGTCCCTGCTTCCAAGCCTTTCTGAGCTCCTCTGTCCACACTTTGGGCTCTGAGGATACTGGGAGTGGGGGATCCTCACGTTGCTCACAGACCACCAAACACTGGTAAGCACAGGAATTCTGATAAACAAAGGCTGAAGGATGCCCAAGCAATCTGCATGCAGGATGTGATGCAGAGAGCCCTAGAGAATTGTTAGGGAAGGTGCGCAAGTGTGCACTGGGGAGGCTGAGGGATGAAAACTGGGCAGGAGGCTGAGTGACAGGGGAGGTGACAGGGGACCTCCCTGGGCCCCAGGGCTGGGACGGTCTCCTACTGGGCAGAAGGAAAGAAAAAGTACAAATGAGAAGGAAGCCTGGAAATGAGGGAATTTGCCTTCTGAAAGACTCTCTCCCTGGCAACAAAACTCAGTGGAAAGAGCTTCTGACATGCCCCAAAAGATGGTCCCAAGGGCTCCTAAAACCTCTATGACTAAGCTGCATGAATATCAATTAAGCAGTGTTAATTACATACCATCAGTTCCAGTGAGACCCTCAAAGTGGGGGCAGACTTGAAACTTCTTTGGGGACTAAATTAGGCGACTCTCTGGGACTCTGCTACACGTGACAGCTGGGATGTATGGGGCAGGTAGACAGCAGTGTCGCCAAACTGCCCTCAGAGGGAAGCCCAGAGCAGGGCTGAGGTTGAGAACCCAGGTTGGGCAAGCAAGGTCTTCCTGCCCCACATCCAACTATTGGGCCAGGAGGGGACAGCCTCTGTCAAGACACGGGTGCCCAGCCTGTAGGGGGCTCTTGGGGCTGGCGGTTGGGCCTGGGCTGATACGGAGGCTGGAGAGTCTCGGGCTGCTGCCTGCTGCCCGCCCCAGCTCCAGTCTTCATCCTACAGGAGATTGCTTCCCTTTGAATAGCATCACTATCATTCCCTCACCCTGTGGCTTCCAGTGGGGTTTGGCCAGTGGGAGACACTGGTAGATGGGAGACAGGAAGAGACAGAGGTTGGGGTATTTCTTCCCACTCCTGCCCAGCCTCAGCTCCATGGTTCTGGGAGAGGCTGCTTCCCTCCAGGACCACAGACCCCACCAGGCAGGCCCTCCACCTCCCACTCAGAGAGCAGCAGTGCCTTCTCCCATCGCCACGGCAAGCCTGGGTGGTCACAGCTCCCTGCTGTTGCAAGCCCCCAGGTGATGCTCTATCCCTTGTGGATTTCCCCAAGCTCATCCATACCTTTGAGAGAAATCTCTTCATTAAAATCTCTCCAGTTAAACCCTCTGAGTTTCTCTTTCCTGCTGGGACCCTCACTGATAAAATTTATCTCTCACAAACATGTTTACACACATACAATTTCCAACTCAATTGAACGTAAACCAAGACAGCCCCTGCCTCCACCCTATTCTGCTCAGACTCCAGTGTATAACATTCATGTCACCAAGAAAGTGCATGACTCCCGATCATGCAGCAAAGATACCAATGTCCTGTGCCAGCCCTTTGGGACGTGGGATCTCAGCACTGCTGTCCCACTTAAGGGCTTCATTGGGGGCTCTCAGGGGCCATGGCCCCCCAACACCAGCCTCCTCCACATTGTAGAAAGTGGCCATCCTGGCCCCATCCACATAGGTGCCAGAGTGAGGACTGGGGGATGGAAAATTCCTAAATAAGAGTCAGGGTTTGAGGCTCCTAACCTGGGCTTTATGTGGGTTTGTGACATCCTGAAATTGAATGCAAATGTCTGTCTACACATGCCTGCATTTTCTGGGGAGAACAGCCAAGGTTTATATCAGTTTCTCAGAGGGAAGCACGTCTTCAAAAAGCTTTAAGAATCACTGGCCCTAGCTTTGAAGACAGGTCTCAAGGTTTCCCACATAAAGCAGTAAAGTGAAGTCGTTAATAGTGCAGAGTCTACGGCCAGGCCTCTGGGTTCAAATTTTGGCTCTGCTACTCCCTGGTTATGTGACCTTGGGCAAATGCCTTTACCTCTCTGTGCCTCAGTTTCCTCCTCTGTAAAATGGGAATGGCAATTTATCTACATGTTATGGGATTGTTGGAGGCCTAAATGATTTGATTTACATAATATACTTAGAAGAGAGCCTGGGACATAAAACGTGCTCTGTACGTAAGTGATCCCACACTCTGGTTCTTTCTACATCCCTAACTCTGGTTCAGCCATCCAGGAACTGTGTTCATCTCCCAAGCCTTTAAACTCAGCTTTATCTCTAAGATGCTCCCAGTCCTACCACTAACATTTCCTCTTCAGCTCCCACTCCTTTCTGCTCATCTTCCACACCTGAGAGGGTTTTCGTCCTCCATCTAAAGGGGTCTCCCGAAAGCCCTAGCTCTCAGTGGTTGCTCTCTAGATATCTTCTGTATGCGGGGTGAGACTGGAGGCAAATGCAGGGCTGGCCCTTTGCTCGAACAAACCGACTTCTCCATCAGGATCCAGGCCCTACTCTCCCTACGGGCTACCCACAACACCAGGGTCCTTAGTACCCCAGGCCTCAGTTGAAAAAAGGCCGCAGAAAACCTAAGGTTTTCTTAGAGACCTGGGGCCTAGAGAAGAAACTCACTGTGGCCACCAGCAGGGAAGGAAACAAAAGGCAGGAGGAGCCCTTGGGCATGGAAGCCACGTAGTGAAAGTAAAGGAGAGAGGTCGCCCGCTCAGCCTCTGATCATGGACTAGGATGTGGAGAGAAAGGCAGCCCAGGAAGAGGTGCCCTCTCTGTTGCTTCCAGATTTCTTTTCTTTTTTCTTTTTTTTTTGAGAGGAGTTTTGCTCTTGTTGCCCAGGCTGGAGTGCAGTGGCGCGATCTTGGCTCACTGCAACCTCTGCCTCCTGTGTTCAAGTGATTCTCCCGCCTCAGCCTCCCCAGTAGCTGGGATTACACGTGCCTGCCACCACGCCTGGCTAAGTTTTGTATTTTTAGTAGAGGCGGGGTTTGGCCATGTTGACCAGGCTGGTCTCGAACTCCTGACCTCAGGTAATCCACCCCCAACCGTCGGCCTCACAAAGTGCTGGGATTACAGGCATGAGCCACTGTGCTCAACCTGCTTCCAGATTTCTAAAATCTGGGCCCCTTCTTCCTCCTCATCACCCACCAGCTGGGAGGCAGCAACAGACAGCACAAGGACATCTCCCGGCACGTGAGTCAACTCCCCACAAATGCCCATGGCTGCAGAACATTGGGGCCCAGGGCCAGGGAGGGCCCAGGACCCTCCCAGGCCTGCCTTGTGTTGCTTACGATCTGCCTGAGACACCCCCTGAGAGGGTGTACCTCCCTGTTGCTTAAACAGAGTAAATCATTCCTTCCTCCAGATGGAGGACAGAAGGGACATGCAGGGAGTGTCTGTTGCAGAGCTGGTCTCCAATACTGATAGTAACCCTCACAGAGCCCTACTGCGTGCCACGCACTAAGTGTTATCCATAAGGTCATTCATTTAAGCTTCATAACAACCTTCCGAAGCAGAACTATTATCCCCACTTTACAGATAAGTAAATTAAGATAAGGCTCAGAGAGATTGAGAGACTTGCCCAAGGTCACACAGCTAGCAGGCGATAGGAACGGGATTCAAACCCAGGCTGGCTGGCTCCAAATCAATAAGGAGTTGATATAGTCACTATTCAGTAAGAGGCTTATGCTGTGAATGGAGGCTGGGACTAGGTCTGACAGTTTTCAGCCCTGTAGTTTCTCTACTCCCTAGCGCAGTCTCTGAACTTCTGGGATTACTGTGCCTGCTCCCTTGTTAACACTCCCTGTGGGTCTGGGTGGACCCACAGATCAGGTCATAATGTGAGTGTCCCTGACCTAACACCCTGCCCAACCTCTATCCCTCCCCTTGCAGCCCCTACGCAGAGAGAGAGAGAGGAGAGAGAGAGAGGAAGGGAGAGACAGAGAGAGAGAGAGATTGAGAGAGAGAGAGGAGGAGGAGAGAAAGAGTCCTCAACCCTCCTGTGATTTCCTTTTAAAAATGTTAACAAGTTGGGCAGCACTTTGGGAGGCAGGAGGATCGCTTGAACCTAGGAGTTCGAGACCAACCTGGGCAACATAGTGAGATCCCATCTCCACAAAAAATAAGAAAATTAGCCAGGCATGGAAGCACACGTCTGTAGTCCCAGCTACTTGGGAGGCTGAGGCAGAAGGGTCAATTGAGCCCAGGAGATTGAGGCTGCAGTGAGCCGTGATTGTGCCACTGCACTCCAGCCTGGGCGACAGAGCACGACGCTGTCTCAAAAACAAAAAAACAAACAACAACAACAAAAAGCCAAAACAACAACCAAAAAAAAAATCAAATTGACTTAGGACCTGATTTTAGAGCTGGAAGAAACCAAATCCTCTCAATTAACACATGAGAAAACAAAGGCAGAGAAGGTGGGAGGGGGGCTGTTCTGACCACGGTCACACAGCTCATTAGGAAATGGATGCTGACGGGTACCCCAGCCAGTGGGGCTCCCAGCGCTGAGTGGAGCCCTGGTTCACCCAGAAGCCTGTGGACATCCCTGCTCAGGTTTCTCCCTTCCACCCGATCCTCCTCCTCCTCCTTCTGCTTGGTATCCTGACTTCTCAACTTTGAAACACTTCCATACATCCACGATCTCATTTAACCCCCTCCAATGACCCCGTGACAATGAAATTATTATCATCTCCACTTTACCGATGAAAGAACGGAGCTCTTGGAGGCCAGAGAAGCCCTCCCAGAGGCAACCCATGGTGGGCGAGGAAGGGCCGGGACTCTCAGGAGTGAGAAAGGCAGAGCATCCCTGGTGCTCACCACAGCCCCTACCTCAGGCATGCGTGGGTGGCTCTCTGCAAGCCTGAACAATCTTCATGGCCCTGGATTTAGGCAGCTCTTGCCTTTTTACAAATTACAGCTGGATTGAGCTTCGGAGCCATCCCCCAGCTGCAAAGCCCCCAGGGGCTGTGCCGGTGGGATAGGAGGCTGGAGCTGACAGACTGCTGTCTACCTCACAAGCTGCTCACCCTTCCCCAGCCGTAGATCCCTCAATACTTTTCATATATTATTGATGGCTCCTTAATTGGGGATTCTAAAAGCCTCGCTGCAGAGCCCAGCCCTGGCCCCTCATGAATCATGTTCACTAGGATTAAAATTAGAGGCCAGAAAGCTACCTGACTCAAATAGAAACGGAAAAAGGGAATGTGCTTTCCAAGGCTGGCCCTGGGAATAGGAGCCAGGTGGGGGCGCCCAGTGGCTGGGAAGAGTGGCCTGAGATCTGGGGACAGGAAAGGAGGGCCTGGGGAGGCGGAGGAGCACGGAGGATCTGGCCATGCCAGGCCTGCACCATCTTGGGTCTGGAAAGTTCTCTCTGGTTCTGTCACTGAAGGAGTCCAGAATTCTGTGGCCACCCCTCCTCGTTGCAGTGAGGAAAACCAGGCCCAGAGAGAGATGGGGCTTGCCTAAAATTACAGGGAGTGAGCCATGACCTTGGCACCTTTCGTTTCGTAGGCCTGGTGACCTCCCAAATGGCTGCCTGTTTTGTTAAGGCTTCCAGGTAAGGCAGGGCAGAGGTGGAGACAGGGGCCCTGAGTTAGGGAAGCCCAGGCTCTAAAGGCCTCCCTGTTCTCAAGCCTGGTCAGAGAAGCCTCCCTATCTCGCCCAGAGACCAGGGTCAGGGTATGAAACTTTACCAAGCTTAGAATGAAAGACTTCCTGCCAAAAAGCTTAGTTCCTAATTAGCCATTGTTTCAGATAATCTGTTCAATCATCCCAGCTCCTCGGGGAACGGGGAACGACCCTTTACCAATGAGCCTGGCTGCCAAGCTGCCAACAAAACACTCTCCACCACCTTGTCCCCACCCCCAGCCTTCTAGCCCCGGGTCTGACTGTAGAGGGTGGGGGGCCTGAGCAGTCCCCACCCTAAAGGAAGCCAAGCATCATGGAGGGGGCCCTGGGACTTGTCCCCCAGCTCACTCCAAAACATCGATAGCTCCTGCCAAATGGCATCACGATGTCTGAAATGATACTGTCAATGGTTCCTTCCTCCAGATAAAGCATTGGTTTCTTACTTAGGGCTTCTTATAAGAAGAGCCATTATTGAGCTTTTTCTGCAGGCCAGGCACTTTACACGAATTAGCTTATTTACTCCTCACAGTAGGCTTGTGAGCCTAAGTGCTTGGCCAAGATCCCCCACCTGGGCAGGTGGTGGGCCCATTTTTAAACTTGACTTTGGAGTGCACACTTTCAACAGCTCAGCCACAACTGTAGAGTGCACCTGGACACTAACACTGAAAAGCAAATAGATCTATCAGCCACCAGGGGACCTGGCCTAGAACTCAGGGTTTATTAGAAAAGCCAACTCCTTTCTTCAAATGAAATCTCAGGCTCATGTCTAATGTATTACACAGAAATAATGAACACCTCTGCTTGAAGGAGGAAAGGGAGGCAGGGGCTACACACATATTCACGGTGGATCCTGGAGCTGCCACCCTCAAATCCTGGGGATAGAAAAGCACACTTTGGGCTGGGCGCAGTGGCTCATGACTGTAATCCCAGCACTTTGGGAGGCCGAGGTGGGCGGATCTCCTGAGCTCAGGAATTTGAGACCAGCCTGGCCAACATGGTGAAACCCCATCTCTACGAAAAATACAAAAATTAGCTGGGGGTGGTGGCATATGCCTGTAATCCTAGTTACTCGGGAGGCTGAGGCAGGAGAATTGCTTGGACCCAGGAGGTGGAGGTTGCAGTGAGCCGAGATTGTGTCACCACACTCCAGCCTGGGCGACAGAGTGAGACTCCGTCTCAAAAACAAACAAACAAGAAAAGCCCACTTTGAAAGTCAGTGGCCTGGGCAGAGGAGAAGACCAGGGACTCCGACTCGGAAAACCACATTCACATCCCAGCTCTGCCACTTCCTAGCTGTGTTGCTGGGCAAAGCCAGGATCCCTCTGAGCTCTGCTTCCTCATCTGGGTGTGGTGAGGGCCAAGGGAGATAATGGGGTGCTGCTGATGTGGAGACTGTACAGGGTAGAAGGCATATCAGTCACCCTCTTATTTAAGGAGGGGAAGGAAAGGGATAGAGCCTCTTTACAGCTTGCCTGATGGTACTGTTTAATAATAAAAAGAATATTTACAGGTCCTGAGCACAGGCAGGCACTGCTAAGTGATTCTGCCATGTGGTCCCTACCACAGTCCACTAAGCAGGCATTGGGAACCCATTTTATTGATGAAAAAAACTAAGGCTCAGAGAGAGGTTAAGGAAAGTGGCAAAGTCAGGATTCAAAGGGACATCCCAGACAGCACCTCACTGTGTCAAAGCAGGTTTTAAAGCCCTGACCCTAAGACTGTGAGTAGGTGGCCATAGACCCATCTAGTCCCTAAAGTAAAGCTTTGGTCCTGGACTGCCTAACCCTGATCACGGGGAGTCAGAGCCCTGAAAATTCAGCTGCATGACAAGAGCAAAGGCCACTAAAGGCTTTCCAAGTGACCTAAGGCTCAGGAGGGACCTCTCTTTGCAGAGGCAGACTTCTCTGCAAAAAGGAGAGAGTCCAGAAAGCCTACCCCAAGCTTGCCTTGGAGTCCACCTCTTAGAGAGGCCTGCCTTCCGCTTTGTGCCTTAGCAATGCTGATGGTCCACTCATTCCTTTGTATCTTTAGATAATGGTCTATGTGGAATGACCAAGGCCAGGTCACCAGGGATCCTAAATTGGGCTCAAGGCCAGGCAGGCAGAGGGTTATTTCTTTTCAGATTTAAACTCTTGGCATTGAACGAACTGGATCCCCTGTGTTCATGCCCACCACAGTCTTATTCCAAAACCTCCACAAGACTGCAAATTATCTTCCTGCTTCTGCCCTTTCCCCTGCAGTCCACTCTGCACACAGTGGCCAGGGCTGTCTTTCTGAAACATAAACCAGGTTGCATCACTCCCCTGCTTAAAACCCTTAAATAGGCCAGGTGTGGTGGCCCACGCCTGTAATCCCAGCATTTTGGGAGGTTTAGGAGGGAGGATCACCTGAGGTCAGGAGTTCAAGACCAGCCTGCTCAACATGGTGAAACTCTGCCTCTACTAAAAATACAAAAATTAGCCAGGCATGGTGGCGCATGCCTGTAGTCCCAGCTACTTGGGAGGGTGAGGCAGGAGAATCACTTGAACCCGGGAGGCAGAGGTTTCAGTGAGCTGAGATCGAGCCATTGCACTCCAGCCTGGGCAATGGAGCAAGACTCCATCTCAAACAAAACAAAATAAAACCCTCAAGTAGCTTAGCATCACACTTAGATCAGTATCAGAACTCTTTATATGGCCTCTGAAGCCCTACAGGATCTGAACCTGATGACCTCTGTGACCGTATTGTCCACTTTCTTAATTGTTCACACCACTCAAACTACACCAGCCTTCTTTTTGTCCTTGAAATACAGTAAGCTTGTTCCCACCTCAGGGCCTTTGCACTTGCTGTTCCCTCCACCTGCAACACCCTGCCCCCCAGAATGATGCATGGCACCACTCAAGACTCAGCTCCAGTGCCACCAAGTTTGGCTTGGTTCACAGGATCTCCAAGGGCGGCCTCTCCCACTGTGATGGAGTGCCCAGGTCAATGGTAGATTGCGGTTAATATTTCCAGGCATTTTCATAAGCATTACCTTAGTTAGTCTACCCACAAAGGTCTCTTAGCCCCTTTTTATCGATTAGTAAGCTGAGACTTGAGAAGATAAATAACTCACCTAGGTCATACAGTTAGTAAATATCAGAGCTGGTATGAAAACCCAGAGTTTTGGACATCAAGTTCAGGCCTCATCTGACAAATGCATTTGACTGTTATTCATGATGTCTTTAGGGACCAGATGGGAAAATATAGCACATAGGTGGCTGAACGGCCTACCCCAAAGGTCAATTAAAAAACTGAAGTCAATCTGGGAAAAGATCTCTAGTGGAGGAACGCAGTACTCCATCCCATTCAATTCCTTGTCACCTGTGTCGGTGAGGACTACAGCTGACCCAGGACCAAGAGGCATAACCAAGATGCTGAATGCAAGATCGTAATTCAACATGGTCTCCATAAACTGTAACAACGGACTGAATCCAACAAACGACACATGATGGCAATAAATGTGAAATCACAGATTTAGGTTCAAAAACTCATTGCCAACTCTGAGGTAGGGAAATTGGCAAAGCTATTTGGACAGCAACTCATGGAGAAAGACACAGAAGTCCCCAAACTCAGTACGAATTAAGTCAAAAACACCTGCCAAAAGATCAGTGGCATATTAGATAGTGTCGCTAGATGTGTAATCCTCAGAAGCAGACACAGAATGCAGAGGCCAGCAGGGAGGAGCGTGATGATCTAAGGCAAGCCCCTGTGTGGAGGAAGCCAGCCCATGATGCTCTGGGCTGCAGAAGGGGATGGCGGGGACACATGCTGTCCAGGAGGGTGCTCAGGTTGGTAAAGGGACAGAAAACAGTGATATGAAAAGCTTCAGTTTCCTCCTCTGTCAAATGGGGCCAATAATAATAATAATACCTCCTTCATAGGATTGTTGTGAGGATTCATTGAGTTAATGCAGGTAAAGTACTTAGAACAGTGTCTATGGCCAGGTGCGGTGGCTCACGCCTGTATTCCCAGCACTTTGGGAGGCCAAGGCAGGTGGATCACTGGAGGTCAGGAGTTCAAGACCAGCCTGAAACCAACCCCATCTCTACTAAAAATAGAAAATTAGTCGGGCGTGGTGGTGCACGCCTGTAATCCCAGCTACTCAGGAGGCTGAGGCAGGAGAATCACTTGAACCCGGGAGGTGGAGTTTGCAGTGAGCAGTGATCGTGCCATTGTACTCCAGCCTGGGCGACATAGCAAGACTCTGTCTCAAAAAAAAAAAAAAGAACAAAAAAAAAGAACAGAACAGTGTCTGCACATTGCTGTCATGTGTTTGCCATTATCATTACTGTGATTGGTGTCATCTCCCTGGGTTGAAAGTGAGCTCCTCTGGTTGTAGGCAGTGTCTGGTCCCCCTTTGCACCCCCAGCATTCATCCCCCAGCACATAGTAGGTGCCTGCTGTAGTCTGAATGTTTGTGTCCCTCTGAAATTCACGTTGAAATTCTTATTTCATTGTGATGCTATTCAGAGGTGAGGCTTTGGGGAGGTGATTAGGTCAGGAGGGCAGAGCCCTCATGAATGGGCTTAGAGTGTGTTCATCCCTCCCACCATGTGAGGACACAGCAAGATGGAACTGGCCCTCACCAGACATTGAATTTGCTGGTGCCTTGATATTGGACTTCCTGGCCTCCAGAACTGTGTAAATAAATTTCTGTTGGTTATAAGCTACCCAGTTTATGGTATTTTTGTTATAGCAACCTGAACAGACTAAGACAGTGCCCAACACATGCTCACAGAGGTTATGTGAAGACACATGTCAAGTTGCCCCGAGGAAGATCATTCAGAATATTTAGAGATGAACCATCAATTTCAGCTGCTGGTGAAAAGTTTAACAGGCTAATTCTCCTCAAAAAAGAGACTGAGTGCTTTGGCAGGGACATGTGGGTGTGGTGGCTGGGGCCAATGACTGCAGTGGTATGGGGCGATCTGCTGGACAC
The DNA here is from genome assembly GCF_000001405.40 of Homo sapiens. Lineage (NCBI taxonomy): Eukaryota > Metazoa > Chordata > Mammalia > Primates > Hominidae > Homo > Homo sapiens. Next base: position 36,815,886 of record NC_000006.12, read on the forward strand.
CCTAAGATTCTGTGATTCCCATTTCTTTTCCAAGAGGCCCTCAGCCAAGACAGCTGCCTGGTGAGGGAGGGGCAGGGATCTCCATACCCACTTTTCAAATGGGAAACCTAGAGGGGTTCCCTATCATGTCCCTCTTCCCAGTGGAAGCATTTCTGGGACTCTTCCCACCTGGCCATCCTGCCTTAGTTAGTCTACCCACGAAGGTCTCTTAGCCCCATTTTATAGATTAGTAAGCTGAGACTTGAGAAGATAAATAACTCACCTAGGTCACACAGTCAGTAAATATCAGAGCTGGTCTGAAAACCCAGGGTTTTGGACATCAAGTTCAGGCCTCATCTGACAAATGCATTTGACTGGACATGCAGAAGGCCCTGGCAGGACTTGATGCAAACAGTGCTTGATTTTCTGGGCTAAAATTACATCTTGAGTCAATTTTCATGAAATGTGGTGACAGATTTAGGTGCTGGGAAGATGGAGCTTTCTCAGAAGGCATAAAAATGACCCAAATGGTTAAAACCAGCTGAAAGCCGGCAGCCAGGGGCCACGAGAGCAGATTTCATCCCTCCCAGGATTGGCTCATCTGCAGCCTCATGCAAACCCCACGTACAGAGAAAGTGCTGTGCCTGCACTTGACTTCCCCTGACCACAGGATTATTATTTCTCGGACAAGATTCTGGTAACAGAGAGGTGATTTGTTCCTGAAGGGCAATGAACTAGATGGAGGAGTGGTGGGAACTGGTTCCTGTTTACTTGCAAGGGCAGTCTTCTATCCCAGAGGCGGTTCCATAGAGACAATCTGGATTTTTCTTTAATTCTCCATTCCTGATACTTTCCTCTGTGGGTCGCACAGAGAATCGAGCAAGGAATTACAGCCCCTCTCCCGTCCCCAGTATGTTTGTTTGTTTGCTTTCGAGACAGGGTCTCATTCTGTTGCCCAGGCTGGAGAGCAGTGGCACAATCTAGGATCACTGCAACCTCTGTCTCCTGGGTTCAAGCGATTCTCCTGCCTCAGCCTCCCAAGTATCTGGGACCACAGGTGTGGGTCACCATGCCTGTCTAATTTTTAGATTTTCAGTAGGGACGGGTCTTGCCAAGTCGGCTAAGCTATCCCCAGTATGTTTAGATGCATCTTCCTTTCTCCAGAAAAAGCTGTGTGAAGGCCGGGTGCAGTGGCTCACGCCTATAATCCCAGCACTTTGGGAGGCTGAGGCGGATGGATCATCTGAAGTCAGGAGTTCAAGACCAGCCTGGCCAACATGGTGAAACCCTGTCTCTACTAAAAATACAAAATTAGCTGGGCGTGGTGGTGCATGCCTGTAATCCCAGCTACTCGGGAGGCTGAGACAGGAATATCATTTGAACCTGGGAGGCAGAGGTTGTAGTGAGCTGAGATCATGCCATTGCACTCCAGCCCGGGCAAAAAGGGTGAAACTCTACGCAAAAATAAATGAATAAATAAAGCTCTGTGAAACAGCATGTGCCCTAGGGGTGGCCCACGTGGCTGAGCTCTGCCATCTTCACTCCTGGAGTCTGGGCACGGGTCCTGCTCACCTCTCATAAATGAGGTCAGCCTCCTTGATCTCTACGGACCCTTCTGCTCTGACATTCTCACTCTACAACTCCAGCTGTCCTCAGCCTGACATCCATGAACTCCCTGTATTGACTCTTCCTGTATCTTGCCAGCCTCACATCCTGAACACCAGCCATGCTCCTCTGTCTGTGCTGGACAGCCCCCGTTGGCCCCTCTGCTTCTACACCCAGCCTTTCCCCACACTGCTCTGTGCCCAGGAAGAAAGACTGACCCAAGTTGACTGCCCCAATGGTCTGTTGGCCCTAGGTCTCCTACTGAGGTTCCACCAATGGGAGGCACCAGCAGGAGATAGGAGGACGGGAAGAGACTGAGGTTGCCTGAGTTGACTCTGTCCCTCCAGTGGGGCTCCTGGTCCTGTTTGGAAGTCCCTTGGGGTTCTAGAAACCAGGACTCCCCTTCCTCCCAAGGCCTGGAGTAGTAATGGCTCCCTCCTATTGCTACCCTTGAGACTCACCATCTTTCATTGATTTCCTTGAACCCCATCCACCCCTTTATTACATCCCTCAACAGTGCAGGATGCTACTGGGCCCCTGGGTTATGTCTTCGCACGTCACTGAAACCTGAAACCCAGCTCAACTCAGCTCCTCCACAGACTGAGGCCAGTCCTGCCCCCGTCTGTAGGATGAGGAGGTTGAGCCAGATGATCCTGAAAGTTCCTTCCAACCCATATCTCCTCTGTTCCACATCATGCACCCCAGGCAAATGGCTTGTGCTTGGGCTCAAATTCCATTTAAAAAAATCCAAATGACCTGTCAAAATGCCTTAGTTGAATGTGGCCTTCTGGCTGCGACTTTCCCTCCCCTGAACTCCCATTTTCTTCCATCCATACTTCCCTTCTCGTCGTTTCCCGTTAGGATTGTTCATCCACATGCATCTCCCCTCCCAGGCTGCAACTCTAGTTCCAATTCACACATTTGGTGATGCTCTGTTCTTTTGACCCATCTCCCTATTTTCCCCAGCGCCTGGCACTTCATAAATGCTTCCTGTTGCAAATATTAACTGAGATGGGAAGAGTGACCAGGAAGGCCCCAAACACTTTGGATGATGCTGTATAATGAATATTTACTAAGCACTGACCATGCACCAAGGCACTTTACTTCCGTCATCTCGTTTCACCCTCACCGCAGGCCTATAAGGTAGGATTTACCCTCAGACGCCAGATGTGGAAACTGAGGTGCAGAGAGGTTAAGTAACTTGCTCTAGGCCCCACCTCCAGAAAGGGCTGGAGCCAGGAGCAAGCACAGGTGTATTCCACACCAAGGCCACCTGTCTTCCCTCTACTCCACCCTGCGGCGGGTGTAGTAACAAGATGTGACTTGGACAATCAGAAACCCTCAACCAAATGAAGACAACTCTCAATTACAGAATGTAATTAATGGCTCACCAAAGAGTGCCCTTCTGAAGAGCCCTTCCACACTTTCCTTCATGAATCACGAGGACATGAACACATTCCTGGTTTTTATGAAGCACAGCCAAAAGGCCTCAAAAGTCATTAGTTCACTTAAGCAGGCTAAATGTTTCCCTAGCAATCTGGTTTATGCTTTAATTGGCATAGACTCTTGGACAGGGTGGAATAGTAAACTTTAGCCCAGCCCCTGTGGAAATATTTCTCACATTTTTTTTGTTTTTGTTTTTGTTTTTTCTGAGACAGGGTCTCGCTCTGTCAACCAGGCTGGAGTGCAGTGGCACGATCTCAGCTCACTGCAACCTCCACCTCCTGGGTTCAAGCGATTCTCCTGCCTCAGCCTCCCAAGTAGCTGGAACTACAGGCATGGGCCACACCCAGCTAATTTTTGTGTTTTTAGTAGAGATGGGGTTTCTCCATGTTGTCCAGGCTAGTCTCGAACTCGTGACCTCAAGTGATCTGCCTGCCTCTGCCTCCCACAGTGCTGGGATTACAGGCATGAGCCACGGCGTCTGGCCCCCACATGTTTCCTTTCTTTCTTTTTTTTATTTGTTTTACAGATGAACTTCCCACATGTTTCATGAATAAAATTCACCCCCTTCAACCTCTTGGTCCCACCAAGTCTGGGGACTGGGGGCAGAGGGAGACAGTTCCGGCCAGTCCACCAACGAAGAAGGGAAATTCATTAATAAAGCCTGGGTTACTGAAGTGTCACTCAGACTTGATTTCAGACTTTATTAAGTCTTTATTAAGTCTGGGAAGGCCTCCTCACCCTCAGGCTCTTGTCATTGGTCATTTTGTGCACTGTCCCCCTCCCTTCCCCTTTCCTTGGACCCTGGGGACAAGCCTGCATCCTTCTGTTCTTCATAGCTGCCTCCTACCCCTCTCTTAGTGGAGACCCCAGGCGGAGTCTCTGTCAGGAGTCCACCAGCCTCCCTCCCAGGAGTCAGTGGAGATGGGCATGGGATGAGGCTGCCAAGGCCAACAGGGCCACAGCTTCAGGCAAATCCCCTCTCCCCCCATTCTGGTGCCTCTTCTGATCACCTGGAGCAAGCGCAATCTCCAGCCAGCTCAGGCAGCCATAAAGGCCCCTGCAAGCCAGCTTCAGCTCCGCCGCTCAGCAAGCACATCCCACCTCGCACCATGGAAGAAAACAACATTCCTCCCTCGACCCCTGACCTCCTGGACTTCAACCTTGTCCTTGCTCAGCCAGACCCTCTTCTCCAAGAGAGAGGAGGGATCGCTCCTTTTGTTGTTCAAACAGGAGCTAGTGGCTCCCAGGACCGGACCCCTCATCCTGACCCAGTTCCCCTTCCCCGCTTTCCTCTTTCCACCTGAAAACATTCTCCTGTGAGGGCTCAGTGAGGGAGCGAGGAGGCAGAGGTAGCAATGTGGCAACAGCCACCATGGCCTTGGCAGCCTCTGTAGGCCCAGCTTCCTTTCCTAATCCATTCTTTTTTTTTTTTTTTTTTTTTTTTGAGATGGAGTCTCGCTCTGTCGCCCAGGCTGGAGTGCAGTGGTACGATCTCGGCTCACTGCAACCTCTGCCTCCTGGATTCAAGCAATTCTCCTGCCTCAGCCTCCCAAATAGCTGGGACTACAGGCACGCACCACCACGCCTGGCTAATTCCTAATCCATTCATTTTTTAAGCAACCATGTATTAAGCACCTACTGTGTGCTGGACTGTTCTAGGTGCTCAGAATGTAGTAGTGAATAAAGCAGATGAAAATCTCTGCCCTTGTGGAGCTGACACATGACAAACAAGGTAAATAAGTAGCCTGGCAGGGTGGCATGTGCCTGTAATCCCAGCAGTTCGGGAGGCAAAGGCAGGAGGATTGCTTGAGTCCAGGAGTTCCAGACCAGCCTGGACACATGCTGAGACCTCATATCTACAAAAGAAAAAAAAATTGTTTTTAATTAGCCAGGCTTGGTGGCATGTGCCTGCAGTCCTAAATACCCGAAGCTGAGGCCGGAGGATCGTTTGAGCCCAGGAGTTTGAAGCTGCAGTGAGTCATGATCACACCACTGCACTCCAGCCCAGGCAACAGAGGAAGACACTGTCTCAAGGAAAAAAAAAAAGTAAACCAGGGTATGGGAGATGAGAAAAAGTGATACAGAGAAAATAAAAACCAGTTAAGGGGAATAAGAAGTGTTGGAAGGTTGGAATGTTAGATAGGGTGGCCAGAGGAGGCCTCCACAGGGTGACATCTGAGTTAAAACCTTAGGGAAGCATGGAAGGGCTACTAAGCCATGTGGGAAAAGAGCATTCCATGGAAGGGCCACTAAGCCATGTGGGAAAAGAGCATTCCAGGAAAAAGGAAGAGCAGGTGAAAAGGCCTGGAGGCGGGGGCGGGCCGTGTGACTGGAGTGGAGTGGGGAGGGGCCCAGCGTCAGGAGATTAGGTCAGCAGGGAAAGGAAGTCACAAGGTGGGGGGACTGGGAGGCCATGAAGGGACGGTGCTTTTGCACGATGGGAGCCACAGGAGGGCTCTGAGCAGAAAAGAGACAGAATTTGACCCGGGTTTTAACAAGATCCCTCTGGCCGCGGGGTGAGGAATAGAGTGAGGGTGTCTAGGAGACCCCATTCACTTCACAAATGTCCCTGCCATTCTTGGAGTGGGCCCATCAAGTCAGCCCTCTCTCCCTACTCCCTGTTACAAGGGACAAAAGGCACATGGAGTGGGGGTGGGGAGGGGACTGGAAATGAGATGAGGCTGGAAAAGGGCGTCATCCTGGGTTGGGGTGGATTTTGGAAGCCAGGGTGGGTTTTGGAGCCGGGACTTGATTCAATGCAGAAGGGAGTCAACAAAGTTTTCTGAGCAGGGAAATCACCTCACTGAAGCCACGCTCACCTTAGTCAGAAGCCACGGGAAGGAAGCTTGCTGTGGATGAGGCCTGGTGCTAGAAGCTGCACTCACGCCTCCAGCCAGCAGACAAGGTCTTAACGGGCACGGACTCCTTCTGCGTCTCCCTGGGACTGGGGCTCCCTGAGAACAGGGCTATGTCTCCTCTCAGACTGGGGCTGCCTGAGGGCAGGAACCATCCCCTCCATCTTCAGTCTGTTCATGCAACAACAGGGATGGGACTTCATGCTTTGCACACCTTACTAGCCTTCAGCGGGGCTTGGATGCTGCAGTTAGAAACATGTCAGGGAAATTGCTCCCGAATTAGAGACAGACAGGCAGACAGGAACAGGCTGGTGTTTCTGGTGTGGGAAGGAGCTGCACCTACCTCCCGCCACTGCTTGTTCTCCATCCCTTGGGTATACATGACGCACACTGCGGGGGGAGGAGAAACAGTGGATTAATACCTCAGGCCAAGAGGAAGGAGGGGTCCCAGATGAAAAGGATCCTGGCTGGGCAGGCGCCTCAGCAGACCCAGCCTGGGTAGCACTGTTGGATCTGGGTAGGGGTAGAGGGTGTCTCCTGGGGTGGCTGAGATCTTGGTGAGTGAGTCTGGCCCCCCAAGCCTGGACAGGAATCTGGCCCCCCAAGCCTGGACAGGGTTGTAGATGCACCGATTCGGAGGGGTTGCGTTGGAGAAGGGAGACTAGGTGTGCCTGGAAGGGGCAACCTTTAGGAGAAGGGTCGGCACCATTGCCTTCTAGGCTACAGCAAGGGTCTGAAGTGTGAGGCAGGTAGACGGGTGGGTGTGATGGACGACAAGCAGAGGTGTGGTGGGGGAGAGCATCAGAAATCCGCATTGCTCCTTTACAGCCCGGAGCAGTTTCATGAGGCCTCTGATTATCATCAGCCCCACTTTACAGATGGGAAAACAGGCTCAGAGGAGGCCAAAGACCCATCCAGGTCACACGCTTGGGTGGCACTGCTCAAGGCTAGAACCTGGACTCCAAAACCAGTGCTCATCCCACCAGGTCACAGCCAGCTGGAGCTCTTAGGCCTACTGGTTTCTCTGGGACCCTGTAGCCCCAGACCTCCAACCCCTCCCAGCCTGCTCTGTTGTGTTGAGGCTTCACAAGCGTGCAGGCTGGGAAGGGTCAAATCTCCGCAATTATCTTTCTCAGACACTATGGGAGAAACATTAAACAGGCTTGACACACTTTGAACGGCGCCTGGCACATGGTTAGTGCTCAGTAAGGGCTCAAGCATTGCCGCTGTAATTAGTCATAGCGTTGCCGCTATTGTTACCGTTCTTATTGTCAGAGCAGGACTTACGTGGGTCGGACTTGGAAAACATGTCTTTGTCCAGGAGGTTCCTGAAAGAGGGGGAGAGAGGAGGGGTTAGCACGGCCAGCTGAGAGGAGGCGACCTCAGGGGATTCAGGCTGTTACCGAGACCCAGAGGCTGCCTCTGGCCTGGCCTCAGGCAAAACAGTTCCACAATCGTTTATTAGGCTTCATTAAAAGCCAGGCACTGGGCAGGCCCTGGAGGTTCCTCAGCCCACCTGCCTAAGGTGTGCAGAACTCCCTACCTCCCACCCCTATCATCACCACAAGCACTCCGGGTAGGTGCCCTGGTCTTGGTGCCCTGTGTCGCACAGCCACTCACCATCGGGGGATTTCCGAAACTGCCCAATGTCTTAGCCCTTTCTAGAAGCTCTCCTTTAATCACTTCTCTGCTTCTCAAAAAAATAAGATAAAGCAATCAAAACATATCCACCTACTCTCCCATTTTCTCAAGGCTCTACTTACAGCCAGTTTATTCGATGGTCTCATCTGTACTGATAGATTAATGAATTACACCTCCCAGGGGAAGCCGACTCATTTGGACAAGGTCCTTCTGTGGTCAAGACCAGGGCTAACACATGGCTCTGATAATCAGACTGGACGGCACAGCAGCAAGATGATGGACACAACATTTGGGGACAGAACGGTCTTTCAACAGGTGCTAAGCTCCCCTTGTCCTGCCTCCATGCAATAAAGGCTCCCATTTACTGAGCCCCGGCGATGGGTCAGGCAGTGCGCTGTTTTACAAATATGAGCTCCCGATTCTCATGCTGCCCTACAAGGTTGATCCTAGGCAGGTATTGTCCCATCTTACAGATGTGGAAGTGGAGGGGAGAGGAGGGGAGGATGGGCAGCCTACATCCTGCACATCTGGTATCCCTCGTTTCACAGCGACCTGCTGCCATTGGGAAGCAAGACAGCCCAGTGGAAACGCAGTCTCTGGCTGGGAAGTCATTCAACCTCTCTGAGCCTGTTTCCTCATCAGTACAATGAGACGGTAGTATCAGTCTTGAAGGCTGTTGATGCCCTGCATGGATCCCCTCAGCCCTCACAGTTCCTGTACACATCCATGGTTTCCTCTTGTGTCTGTTTCTCTCCTGCGGGCTTTCTCGGGCAGGCTGTCTGCAAGGGCCAGAAAGTTTATGCTCCCAAAAGGCCGCACTCAACCAACAGGAAGGGGCTGGAGGACTGACTGCTCAGCTTCTTCACTCACCCTGGAGACAGCTCTGCTCTACAGTCTCTCCGAAGTGCCAGAGGGACTGAGCCCCAGGGGCCGCCAGGAGACCTACCCATGAACACATCCCACGCTGACCAGGTCTTCCCTTCCCTGCTTCCCCTGTAAGCTGCCAGACAAGCCCTTCCTGCCTGTGCGGCTACTCCTGCCAACACTGCCCTCAAGTCTTGGTTCTTTTCCCAACCATCTCAGCCTTGTCCCGCCTCCCTTCCGGAGGTCCCAAAGGATCTTGTCACCTTCCTTCTCTACTCCCACAACCCCCCACAGGGGCCTCTGCCCCTTGAACTGCTTTTCTGGAGAAAAGAAACAGTCAACACTGGTCTGTGTTGCTTCCCGAAAGCCAACTTCAAATATCAGAGCTAGGCCGGGTGTGGCTGCTCATGCCTGTATTCCCAGCACTTTGGGAGGCTGAGGCATGTGGATCACTTGAGGTCGGGAGTTCGAGACCAGCCTGGCCAACATGGTGAAACCCATCTCTACTAAAAATACAAAAATTAGCCCGGCATGGTGGTATGCGCCTGTAATCCCAACTACTCAGGAGCCTGAGGCAGGAGGATCACTTGAAACAGGGAGGTGGAGGTTGCAGTGAGCTGAGATCGCACCACTGCACTCCAGCCTTTTTCAAAACAACAGCAGCAGCAACAACAACAAAACAAAACAAACAAATGTCAGAGCTAGATGAGGCCCTGAGGAGGATCTGTTCCTCTTTCTCCTCCATGATGGGGACATGAAAGACCAGGGAGAGGCAAAGGGCGACCGTGGCCCACAGCAAGCAGTGGTAGAGACAGAAAAGTCTAGAAGGAGGCCTTACCCTGAGTCAGTGTCACCAAAGCCCTCGGCAGTGACAGCCTGTCGGGCAACTTGACCCCATAATCAACCCTACCACTCATGCCCCACGCCCTAAGGTGGGAGCCAAAAATCAATCAACAGATGGACAAACGCAACAGCAGCCTGAGGCCTACACATGGCATCCTCTGGTGCCTGGGGAAGCCCCAGATTGCATTCATTAATACCCCCAGCTCCAGTCCCTGAGCAGATTCCTAGAGATGCCCCCAAGAGAGGAATTCCCAAATGGCTTCAGGAAACCAGTCCCTGGAGAACTCTCACCCCTCCCCAACTCCAGTCTCTACATCCAGGGGCCACTCCCCAAAGGCAGCCACCCCCAACTGGGCCTCCCTGACCCCACAGGCAACCACCTCTCTCCTGGCCACCACTGGCCCCTCCACCAGACCAGACCTGCTCCCAGTCAGCTGTCATTTCGGAAACCATCTGATAAACCTCCCAGCCCTCCACAGAGAGCATCAGATGAACGATAAACAAGGCATCTCTGAGAAGTAGGCAGCAGGGGCTGCACGTGAGACACCACTTCTACATACAGTCATTCACACCGAGGCGGGCTGACTTCCCTGGGCCGACATTCTCATCCTGAAGTGTGCTAAGTTTGGGGGTAGGGGTGTCTATCTTGATTTAAACAAAGGACAAATGCCTTGAGACCAAAGGTGACTCTACAGTGGTGGAACCTGAGGCACAGTGAGGAGCTGAAAGTGATAAGGAGGAGGGGGACTTCTCTACTAAAGCAAGCGCTTTAGGTTTATCTTTGAATTCTATAATGAAATTCAGCAATGACATAAAATCCTCGAATGTTCAAGCTGGAGAGGACCTCAGAGGTCACCTTTCCCAACTCCTTTACAAATCAGGACTGTGAGACTCGGAAGGACAACGCTTAACTCCTCCAAGGTCTGGGTCTCCTCCAAGTGTGGCTCTAGAACTCGGATCTGGTCATATCCAGGCTAGGGAGAAAGAGAGTGAGGCCCTGGATATCAGCCTAGATACGTGTGTGTGTTTGCGTGTGTGCATGCGCATGTGTTATGGGCGGTGGGAGGGGGAGGTCTTATCCTCAAAGACAAGTAGATGGGGCTTTCCCTGGTCCTGCCCACTTCCCAGCTGGGCTAGAGGCACACAGCTAGACTAAGAAACAGAATCTAGCCACCTGGCTCCTTGCCTGGTGACCTCAAGACCCTCACCGAATCCTGGGACAAGGGTCACCCTGGCAACCAGCACCCCAGGATAAAGCAAACCCTCTCTTCCCCACTCTGCTGAAATTATTCTTGCCATCCTTCCAGACTATTCCTGTCCTTCCTCAGTTTTGCCTTTCCTGGACACTGATGGACAGCTACTTCCTCTCCTCTCCCCTGAGCTCTCTCTGGCCTGGAGTGTGCAGCCCTCTGACTCGTAGGACCCCATTACATACTCTGTACACGATCGGTTGCAAAATCATGGGTGTATCTGTCTCTCACACTGGCTGTGCATGCCTCCATGGCAGAGTTTCCCACCCTGCCACAGGCCAGCCTAGCACCTGAGTCAGAGTAGTGGCCTGGCAAGCTGGATGGATGAAGGACGACCAAAAAGAATGGCCAGATGGGTGAGCGAAGCCCGTATCTCCCCACCTGGGTGGCACACGGTCAAGCTCAGGGACGGCCCCTTGCACTTCCTCTCAGCTGTGGCATGTAGTAGTTAAGTGCATGGGCTCTGCAGTCAGACAAGCTGGGTTTGCTCACCTTGTGCCTCAGTTTCCCCATCTGTAAAGTGGGGGGTGGGGCACAGTAAAAATAGTTCAGGGCTGCTGTGGAGATTCGATATGTGGAGCACCTGGGACCTCGTCAGCCTTGTCAGACAGGTCAGCTGTCGTTGGCCCGGTGCTGAGTGGAGCCGTCACTCTCCCGGTGGATGCTCAGGCACACTTGGTGACAAGCGCAGCACAAGCAATCTCCACCCTCACAGGTCCAAGGAAGAAGCCCGCCCCCAACACACTCCCAGGGCTCCCTGCTGAGTCCCTTCCCCAGCTCAGCCCCTCTTCAGCCTCCGTTCCATTCCCCACTCTCAGCCTTGAGGACCTTCTGCCTCTCGCCTATGTCCCTGCGCCCTACACCCTCTGATCCCACACCTCGTCCACACTTGCCTCCGTCCATCCCTCTCCCTAACTGCCTGTCCAGACAGAACCCTCAGAGCCTGCTAAACCTCCTACCTTGGCTTTGGACGGGTGGCTTCACCCCGTGAACAATGGGCCTCGCACTTCTGGGGCTCACCCCTGCCCCGGGGTATAAAATGGCAGTTCCTTGGGCTCTGTTCCAAGTCTGGCTGTGTAGGTCTGAAGCAGGGCTCCAGAGGCCATGTTTATCCAAGTGGCCGCCAGAGATCCCCCTATTATGTCTCTGATGGCAGCCGTCCAAATACCACATGTTGAGACACCGTCTCTTAGGGCCTCAGTTTCCCCCGCTGCAAAGGCACAGACCACAACACACACACGTGTAGCACCAGAAGTTTCTTCGAGGTAAAGCGCCTTCCCCACTGATCCTCACCATGATCCACTGAGGACTTCCAGGCCCAGGGGCAATGAGTCACTTGCCCACAAGCACACAGCCAAAAGCCTGGGGGAGGAAACCGGGTCTTCCGCCCTGACGAAGGGCCCGAGACACCAGGGCACAGACAAGACCAGACCACAAGTACTTTTTCTCCACTTTCTTTCTTTGGAGAGCACAAAGAGAAATTTTTTTTAGCAGGAAAAACGTATTTTTTTTTTTTCTAAAAGAGCATACAACCCTTCCGCTGTCTGCACAGCAGCCTGGAGCTTGGCTTCTTTTGTTCCTTAAATCAAGGCCAGGAAGCAGAGCCAAGAGCCCCTTTCCTCCCTGCTTCCCCTTGCGGAATCATTTCCAATTCAGTGGCAGTGAGAAAATGGTCATTCATTGGGCTGTGAGGTCAGAAGTCTCCAAGGCCCCAGCAAGGACAGAAAACACTGGAAGGGCAAAATGAGAGCCCTTGGCAGGTGCTAAAGGAGGGGCCACAGGGTAACACCTCCCATCTGGGGGAGCTTAAGAAAGAAGCTGGGCACATGTAGTCTTAGCTACTCGGGACTCCAAGGAGGGAGGATCACTTGAGCTCAGGAGTTCGAGACTAGCCTCAGCAACACAGTGAGATTCCATCTCTAAAACAACAACAACAAACCAAAAAAAAAAAAAAAAAAAAAGAAAGGTATGGGTAGAGGCTGGGGTGTACCATCCGAGAGGGAGATACAACCCTGCACTCAGGGAGCCCGGTCTGACCAGGAGACATAGCCTCTGCCTCAGGGAATCCTCAGCCAGAAAGGCATATTTGCTCTTGAGCTGAGATGCTGGGTGAACTGACCATCACGCATCCCTGGTTGTCTCTAAACAAAGCCCAGAAGTGCTGCATCAATGCACTGAGCAAAGGCTTTGGCTTCAGCATAGAAAGAAACATTTTCCTGGGGCAGGACCCATAATGGAGGTCATGGGCCCCCAATAGGCAAAGTATGGCATATTGGTATATACGGATACCACATATATGGATACATTCTTCTGGAGAGCTTTCATTAGCTACCCGAAGACATTCATGAGTCTAAAAAGCTCAAGAAAAGGTGGTGTATCTTCTTCCCAACAACTCACCCTAAGCATCCGTCCAACCTTGGGGGTGAAAAGTGGGGGCATTGAGAGCATAGACTTCAAGCTTCATCTCTGAATCCAACACCCAACTCTGTCCCTTACTTGCTATATGACCTCTGGCATGTCATTTAGCTTCTCTGTGCATCAGTATTCCCATTTGTAAAGAAGGGCTAATAACAGTCCCCCCCTCCCAGGAGTTTTGTGAGATTAAACTCACATAGTAAGTTGCAATGCAGTGCCTGGCATACAATAAGTGCTCAACAAAGGCCTGTGGAGAATGAAGATGGCACCTAAGAATGCTCCATATTCCCCCCTCTCTTCTCCCTAAAGCTTGGCTTTAGCAGGACCCAAGCCCTACTACCCTTGCCCACCACTGCTGACTGGTTGCATAGCCTTCCTTGAGGAGAGAGTGGGGACAGGAGAGCCAAGGTCAGGTAGAAACGGGAATCCTGGCTGGGCTTGGTGGCTCATGCCTATAATCCCAACACTTTGGGAGGCTGAGGCAGGAGGATCACTTGAGGCCAGGAGTTTGAGACCAGTGTGGGCAACATACGGAGACCCTGTCTCTAAAAAAAATAAACAAAATTAGCCGGGTGTGGTGGTGTGTATCTGTAGTCCCAGCTACTCAAGAGGCTGGGGTGGGAGGATCTCTTGAGCCCAGGAGGTCAAGGTTGCAGTGAGCCGTGATCACACCACTGCACTCCAGCCTGGGTGACAGAGCGAGACCCTGTCTCAAAAATAAATAAATACATAAATAAAGAAACAGAAGGCTGGGCACGGTGGCTCACACCTGTAATCCCAGCACTTTGGGAGGCCAAGGTGGGTGGATCACTTGAGGTCAGGAGTTCGAGACCAGCCTGACCAATATGGTGAAACCCTGTCTCTCCTAAAAATACAAAAATTATCCAGTCATGGTGGCAGACACCTGTAGTCCCAGCTACTCGGGAGGCTGAGGCAGGAGAATCGCTTGAACCCGGGAAGCAGAGGTTGCAGTGAGCCGAGATCACGTCACTGCATTCCAGCCTGGGTGACAGAGTGTGGCTCCATCTCAAAAAAAAAAAAAAAAAAAAGTTGAGTGTAGGAATTGCAAAAAAAAAAAAAAAAAAATACCCAACAGGAATCCTGATGGTCCCACAGAGGCCCCTGAGGTACTGACCAGCGTCACCCCATTTCTGCATGGAGCAATTTGCATAAACATCTGGCAAATGGAGTGGGAGAGAGATGACACCCAACAAGTATATAATCTGTGCCAAGTCCTTTGTCATGTACTTAGCCTGTGACACTCTATTTACCCTCCATATCAACGCCAGAAAGTAGACTTTGCTCCCATTCTATAGGCAAGGCCACAGAGGCTGAGCGATGTGCCTGATGTCACCGGCTTGTCAAGAGGCATGCAGAAATGTGAACTCTGAACTCTGAAGCTCAAGCTCATTTAAAGGTGCCCTGGGGAGTGCTTGCACTACCAAAGCCAAGGACTCCCAAAGCCCCATCTGGGCCAGCAATGCTCCGTCTTATCCTCACTGTCCTGCTTCCCATCCTCAGCCTCTCGGAGCTGCTCCCAAACAAACGACTGAAGAGGAGAATGGGAGGGTTTCCCATGTCCTCCTGCCCAGCTCCCAGACCTAAAAGGCAGAAGTAATCCGAGGAAAGCAGGGCGGGAGCTGGGAGGAGAGAAGCCTTGGCACCTAGCCCCTGGCACTTACCCATCTCCCCTTTCAGATCCTGTTCTCACCCGCGTGCTCTGCTTCCCTGCCAAGCAACCTCACCAAGGTCTAAAAAGCAATTTTCACATGGCTTAAAGAGCTCTCCTTCCTGGGGCAATTTGCATTTTTATTGTTATTAATTATTGTAATAATTGTCCCTCTCACACTACATGGCCAAGGGAAAAGAGCAGGAGCTCTGGCCTCAGATGCTTCTGAGCTGGAGTCCCCACATGGCGACATGTGGCCCTGACAAGGTGCTTCATCTCAGTTTCCTCATCTGGGCATGGGGTCACATACCTGCCTGTGGAGTTGCTGTGAAGTCAACAGCTTCAAACAGAAACGTAGGAAGCACACTCAATTCCTCTCTTTCCCTTATTCCCCCTCCTGTCCCATCAGCAAGTTTTAAATGTTTCTACTTCAAAATATATCCCAGATCTGTCCACTCCTCCCCATGCCACCATCAGTATCATCTCTCACTTGGAGGCCTCAGTAGTCTTCTGCCTAGCAATGTGCTTCCATGCCTGCCTCTCTCTACCCTTCATCAGTCCCTTCTCTTCACGATGACCAGAATTCTTTTTATTTTATTTATTTTATTTTTTATTTTTTTGAGATGGAATCTCACTCTGTTGCCCAGGCTGGAGTGCAGTGGTGCAATCTCAGCTCACTGCAACCTCCGCCTCCTGGGTTCAAGCTATTCTCCTGCCTCAGCCTCCAGAGTAGCTGGGATTACAGGCACATACCACCACACCCGGCTAATTTTTGTATTTTCAGTAGAGATGTGGTTTCGCCATGTTGGCCAGACTGGTCTTGAACTCCTGACCTCAAGTGATCTGCCCATCTTGGCCTCTCAAAGTGCTGGGATTACAGGCTACAGCCACCGCACCCGGACTCTTTTTATTTTTTATTTTGAGACAGAGTCTTGCTGTCAACCAGGCTGGAGTGCAGTGGTACAATATCAGCTCACTGCAACCTCCGCCTCCCAGGTTCAAGCAATTCACCTGCCTCAGCTTCTCGAGTAGCTGGGATTACAGGCGCCCGCCACCACACCTGGCTAATTTTTGTATTTTTAATAGAAACGGGGTTTCACCATGTTGGCCAGGGAGGTGGAGGCTGCAGTGAGCAGAGATCACGCCACTGCACTCCAGGCTGGGTGACAGAGTGAGACACCATCTCAAAAAAAAAAAAAAAAAAAGGCCTCTCAATAGCAAATGAAGATCAATATCAATTATCAAATAAATGAATGTGTCAGTAGTGTTCAGTTATTGGTACCTATTACCATGATTAAACTGATTTAGCACATTACAGTTTATATAGAATGTCACAGACTTAATCTCTTTAGTCTTCAGAACAATGAAGACAGAGGATGTGGACAGGACCAGTATTTTCCACCAGTTTACAAATGGAGAAACTGAGGTTGGAGAACTTAAATAATCTGGCCAGGATCCCAGAGAAGATAAGCCAGGAGTGGCACTGACTTTCAGTGTCCTGGCCAGGATTCTTCCATACCCAAAGGTATAAAGCTGTCCTGTTGTTACTATGAGGTCTGTGTGAGGCCAGCAGAAGAGACCTTAGGGAACCTTGCAATGATTTGAAATCACACTAAGCCTTTTTATTCTTGGCTGGCAAACAGGCAGAAAGAAAGGCAGTCATGGGTTCAGTCAAGCTGTGCTTGGAGAATCAGTCACCTAACACTGTCCACTGTCCATTGACCGTAGGAAAATCTGAGGAGCAGGCCTCAGAGATGCAAATTCTAGGCTCTTGGAAAGCCTCCTTACTTTCCAAATGGCCCCATAGATGCCACGTTTGCCCAT
The DNA here is from genome assembly GCF_000001405.40 of Homo sapiens. NCBI lineage: Eukaryota > Metazoa > Chordata > Mammalia > Primates > Hominidae > Homo > Homo sapiens. The sequence continues at coordinate 36,832,277 of NC_000006.12, forward strand.
CCAGCAAACATTGCCCACTCTCTTCCTGCTGACAGAATCCACATTGTTTAGATCTGATGACGACTCCCTGAAATCCGGGAAGATGGCCCCTGTCCCTAGTCTAGGAGTGCACATGAGACCCAGCTTTGGCCCCTGAAATAGAAAGGAAAGTTTGCTGAGAGACTTTGGAAAGGATTGTACTTTCCCGGTAAAAAGAACTTTTCAGAGAGAGGACTCTGGCCTCATGCCTAGCTTCCTGTCTTTGGATGCAGTTGTGATGCCTGAAGCAGAGGCAGCCATTTTGTAACAACGAGGCCTACTGCTAAGATGATAGCAAAATACAAAGACGACTGGGTCCTTGATGATAAAGTGAGCTGACAAAGTAGCCCTGATATAACCTACCTCCAGATTCATTGTGATCTGAGAAAAATAAATGCATATCAAGTTTAAGCCACCATCAGTCAGATTTTCTGTTACCTACAGCTGAATCATTCCTACCCAAGCCTGACTCCTCTCTGCCCCAGAGCTTTCCAGCCTAATTCCCCAGCCTCCTCCCTACCCTTTCTTCCCAAGGGTAGACCATCTCGAGTATCGCCTTGAGTCTAAACAGGGTGAACTGTGAGCTGGGAAAGGAGGGATGGTAAACTACTACCGTGCGGTCTGGATGGCATCGAAGGCTGGCTTCCATCCTGTGACTTTTTGTGGTTTCTGCTCCCCAAGGATTCCTCCAGTTCTGGGTTTGCTGCTCAGAACCACAGGCAGCTGTTAGCAAGGAAGGCCTCTCCCATCCCTGGGGAGAGACTGCCTACCTTTTGGTCACACCTACCATAGTTGGTACTCAGGCCTCCACCACCATCCTCCTGGAGAACCCAACCTCCAATCTCAAGAAGCCCTCAAGGTCTTAAGTCTGAGGGAATAGGAGTTGGATCCCTCTCTCCAAAGTGTACTCACTGTGTAACCTTGGCCAAGTCCCTTCACCTCTCTGAGCCTCAATTTCCTAATCAGCAAAAAGAGAAAATACTACTATCTATCTATCCTAGTTTAAAAGACGTAGCAATTGTGATTGGCAGAAATATAAGATGGCCTCCAAGATTCCAGTCTCGTGGCACACACGTCTGTATAATCCCCTCCCCTTGAGAGTGGGCGGGACCTGGGAATATGATAGGTTAGTCACTCATGCGATTGGGTTATGATGTATAACAAAGGCGATCAGATATTCACTCTTGTGATTACAGTTACTTTACATAAGACTCTGTCATAGCAGATTAGGAGAGATTCTCCTGCTGACCTTGAAGAAATGAGCTGCCATGCTGTGAGGGGGCCATGTGGCAAGGGCCTGGGGGTGGACTCTAGGAGCTGAGAGTCACTCTGGTCCAATAACCAGGAAGAAAACAGAACTTTAATCTATCTGCTGCAAGAAATTGAATTCTGCCACCCACCGGTGAGCTTGGAGGAGGACTCAGAGCCTTGGATAAGACCACAGCCCTGCCAATACCTTGATTCCAGCCTAGTGAGACCCTGAGCAGAAAAGCCACTTTATGTCATGCCTGGACTTCTAACCTACAGAAACTAGGAAATGAGAAATGGCTGTAGTTCAAAGCCACTAAGTTTGTGGTAATTTGTCACATAGCAATTGAGAACTAATATAATAACCTTAGTTTGAAATATATAAAAGTATTATGTGAGGCCAGGTGCAGTGGCTCACACCTAATCCCAGCACTTTGAGAGGCACAGGCTGGAGGACTGCTTCAGACTAGGAGTTTGAGATCAGCCAATCAGCCTGGGCAACCGAGTATGACCTCACCTCTACAAAACAAACGAACAAAAAAAAATCAAAAAAAATTTAAAAATTAGCTAGATGTGGTGGTGTGTGTGCGCCTGTAGTCCTGGCAACTCAGGAGGCTAAGGCAGGAGGATCGCTTGAGCCCAGGAGTTGGAGGCTGCATTGAGCTGTGACTCTACCACTGCATTCCAGCTTGGGCAACAGAGACTGTATCTCAAAAAAAAAAAAAAAAAAAAAAAAGGAAGGAAGGGAGGGAGGGAGGGAGGGAGGGAGGAAGGAAGGAAAGAAAAAAAAAACAAGTTGTGTTATTTATTTGAATAGGTTAAAAACAGATGGGCTGGGTGCGGTAGCTCATGCCTGCAATCCCGGCAATTTGGAAGGCCGAGGCAGGCCGATCACCTGAGGTCAGCAGTTCAAGACCAGCCTGACCAACATGGTGAAACCCCGTCTCCAGTAAAAATACAAAACTCAGCCGGGCGTGATGGTGCATGCCTGTAATCTCAGCTACTCAAGAGGCTGAGGCAGGAGAATCGCTTGAACCCAGTAGGCAGAGGTTGCAGTGAGCCGAGATTGGGCCACTGTACTCTACCCTGGATGACAGAACGAGACTCCATCTCAAAAAAAAAAAAAAAGTTGAGTGTAGAAATTGCATACGGTTCAGCCTAATATGATGTAAAGTGCCTAGCATGCAGTAGGCACTCAGTAAATGCCACTGTTATTATTCCCCTAGCTCCACTGACCTGAGTACCTTAGTGTATTCAATGGTTAAATGGACTTCTTTTCCTAGCACTGGCTTTGACAGCTGCCGCCCTCCCCCAGGCTCCTCCCTCCCCCAAACCACCCTCTCCCTGCCTGTCAGAAGAAAGCGCTCAGAGCTGTTCACACCCCTTCTGAGAGACCCAGGGCACAGCTCCTGAGCCGGGCTGCCTCTCTGGCTCCAGGGCAACAAAACGCCAACCCGAACAGACAGCAGAAAACAATATCTCTGGGGCAGAACAACAGCTGCCCACCAGCCCCATACCAGCTGGTGGGGAGAGGGAAGCCAGCAGGGCTAAGCAATGGGCTGCTTCCAGACTCGCCCCGCCGCGTCTTCCCTGGGTCTTGGGAACCCACCATGTGGAACTGTGCATTGCTTCTCCAGCAGGACCCTGCGCAAGTGCAAAGGTTTCTTGTTATGTAAAAAATGCAAATCATTCTTTCTAACCAACATGCTGGGCCAGATCCCTGCGTGGAGACCTGAAAAATAGTGGCGCCTTTGGAGAATGGAACGTCAGACAGGTAAGTTTTGATTGACTCGGCAGGATGGCTCACACAGTCAGGAAGGGTCTAGAACAGGCCATCAGAGGAAGGAAGAGCTCTTGGCTCGAGGGAGGAGGGTCTTTAAAGTCACATTTTTTATGATGTCTACTGGTATCTAGTTCCACAAACCATCTGCCCTACTCACTTCCAAAACAACCCTTAAGAATCTCTAGATTGGCAGGGCACAGTGGCTGACGCCTGTAATCCTAGCACTTTGGGAGGCTAAGGCTGGTGGATCACCTGAGGTCAAGAGTTCGAGACCAGCCTGGCCAACATGGTGAAACCTTGTCTCTACTAAAAATACAAAAATTAGCCCTGTGTGGAGGCAGGCACCTGTAATTCCAGTTACTCAGTAGACTGAGGTAGGAGAATCACTTGAACCCAGAAAGCGGAGGTTGCAGTGAGCTGAGATCGCGCCTTTGCACTCCAGCACTCCAGCCTGGGCAACAGAGCAAAAACTCCGTCTCAAAAAAAAAAAAAAGAATCTCTAGATTGATCAGATCTCCAGGACACACACAGACCCTGGGAGCCAGCTATAGAGGCAAATTTTTATTAACTTCCAGGTATCAAATAAGCAACAACATCAGTCGCTATTCATGGATTACTTCATTTAAGCCTCATAACTGATAAGGATCATTATGCTTTCTTTACAGATGGGGAAACTGAGGCATAGACAGCTTAGTAGCTTACCCAAGGTCATAGGAAGAGAGCTGGGATTTGAAACCAAGGAGACAGATTCCAGGGCTCACATTCATAACCGTTGTGCCAAATAACCAAAGGCTTTCTAATCTTGGGCCCTGAGTTTACCACAGTCAGTAAAAATAATTGTTTGGGAGTATAGTATACTCTACCTGAAGCAGGGGCCTGAAACTGTCCATCCCCAGTGTCATTTGCCTTCAGTGGAGACTTGGCCCCGTGGTGGCCCTGTGCTCTGACTCAGATGTGCACCTGTGCCAGGCAGCTTTGCTTAGCTAGCTGAGCCCTAGGATGGGCACAGCAGGTGCAGGATCCTCCCCTAGGCACAGAGCAGAAGAAGGCTCTGTGGTAGGGGAGTGGTAGGCCCCTTCATGAGGAGGAAGGCAAGTGGAAACAAGTGTTCCTGGGAGCCAGAGGTGGCAACTCATAATCTTCCCTGAAACATTGGCCCCTCTACCCCAGCTGCCCATCCTGAAACCCCCTGGAGTTCTCACCTGCCAGCCCCTCTGCCTGCCCTACTGTTCTGGGCCCACCAGCAGGTGTCACTCAGATGCCCAGGGCAGAGCCTCCCCAGAGCCTCCTCTCCTGGAGCCCTGAGAGCGGGTGCAGTGGGGAGGGACTTGACTTTAACTGGCGACCATGGAGTGAAGAATATGCTGGAGAAAGCCACTGTCTGCATTTCTCCCTCCTCCCTGTGCTCCTCTCCTCCTCCTTTTCCTCCTCCTCTTTCTCTCTGTTCTAGAACCTGAATAGTTGGGCCTGGCTGAGGCAGAGAGATGCATCTACAATTTCCAGGCCACCCAGACTGTTTTCTCACCTCCCCTCTGTTCTAAGTGACTGCTCCCTCCTCATCTCTCCCCACCAAAACCCACTTCCCCCCACCTCTGGCTTTCTGGAGAACATGAGCAGGCCCCAGGTCAGGGCCTTCCTCAGCTCATGGATCATGTCCCCCAAAAGGGTATTGACCCAGGGTCAGCCCCAGAACCACATCCCCCAGGAAGGCCTCTTATGCAAGAGGTTTGAGTCCTTTGGACATCTTTACTTCCAGAAAGCAAACAGGAGGGGCCAGGTGCTACCGCCTTCCGGTGATCATTGTAGCTACTTATTGAGCACCTACTGTGTGCCAAGCAAGTGCAAAGTAGCTTGCTAGGTGCTTCATGCTCCTCCACTCCTGCAAGTTAATTCCTCCAACAGTATTTGGCAAGTGCCAGGCACTGCTCTAAGCACATGAGCTACCTTGGTGAACAAGGTTTCTCCATGAGTACATGCTGCTTATTGTTTGTACCTGACAGGTGGGGGAAACTGAGGCTTAAAATTTGCCCCAAGTGGTGAAGCAGAGATTCTGTTTCAAGGTATCTGACTCCAAAGCCACACTATCTGCCCTCCATCTCCTTTCCTCTCCACTGGAGTAGAGGGTGCATGGGTCTGACTCAGGGTGGGAATCCCTGCCCTCAAATGCTTACACAGTTGCTTTGAGAGGGGAGGGATGACGTCTGCACACCTGAGACGTCTCAAGAGGTTTCATCCTCAGTATGTGAGTGACCCTGTGGCCCAGGCTGAGTACCTAGGGCCCACGGGACACAGAAGACAATGATTTGAGCTGTGTGTCTCATGGGTGAGAGGATGCCTGAAAGTGGGGAGCGTGAGGCCAGGCTTTTCAGGAGTGGGGGGATCATGAACTTGGGGAGATAAAGGAAGAGTGAAATCTGGATGGGGAATGGGCTGTTCAGAGGCTTGGAGGTGGGAAGGATCCCAAGACAACTGAAGATGACAGGCATGATTGAAGGCTGGGAGGGAGTGCCAGGCGCAGGGATGTGCGTGCAGGAGAAGGGTGGGGAGGCCGTGCTGCTTTTGATGGCTGAGGAGGTGAGACTGGAGCTAATGGGCCATCAGGAATCTCCCAGCAGAGTAATGACAAGATGCAAATGGCGTTGGGAGATGATCCTGACGGCATGGTGTATGGGACCTGGGAGCTATCACAGGAGCCCCCAGAGGGCCTGGCTTAGGGGGGAAGCTACGTTCAACCAGACTAGCCTTCACTGCCACTTATCCCCAAGTCTTCAAGAGAAAGTCACACTGAGTCCTTCCCTCCTTCACGCCCCTGCCCAGACTCTCCAGCTCTACCTACACCTCATCAATGCCACAACTTTGTAATACAGGACTGGGGGGCAACAAGGTTACCTCTCATGGAGGGTCTGACCAAGGAGCAACCTGGAAGAGGATGAGATGGGTGATTTCGAACAAGGGCACAGCCAGGGCTCCAGAAATGCTGTCGGTGATCTGGGGCAGGGGGCATGGCCTCTGTGGGGGAACCTCAAAGTGGGTGATGCTTGCGTGGCAGCACATGATCCTAGGCCAGCCACAGAGAGACTGAACTAGGGAAAAATCCCCCTTTGCCACCCATACCCTCTTACTGCCAGGGGCAGCCTTCCCCTAGCTAGGAGAACCTGGGGTCGACCCAGCTCTTAGACAGAGAAGTTACCCCCAAACCCTGTGTGACATGAGTGAAGATTTGGGCGTGGTAGCCCACAAAAATATTCCCCCTCCTCCTCTGTTGGACTCTACAGTTTCACAATCAGTGTTCTATTCCTTTGGCTTAAGATTTTTGACCCAAGTTATTTTTTTAATGGTGCCACTTTAAGTTGTTATCATGTATCCACACCTTAGTATGAATGAGTCAATCTGATCCTTTTCCAGGAGTCGATTTCGTTGTTGATAGAGATGAAGGAAGGCTTTAAAATCCTAGAGTCTAGGACAGTGGGGTGGGGGAGACTGGTGAGGGGAGGATCAGGATGCTGGGGCAAAGAAGGGGCAAAGAGAGAAGAGAGGAGGGCACAGAAGGGAGAGGGTGGACGAGCCTGGGAGGGATGGGGGCAAATCACTCACTTCGTGATTTGGGGATGGGGTGATCAGAGATAGCCTGAGCAGAGACCGTAGTACAGCCTTTTACCAACTCCCTCTCCCCACTTGGGTGCCTGGACCCCCTGTTCCTGTGTCTTCATATCTCCTCGATGCAACAGCCTGGAGCGCAAACTTTCTGGGATATGACCCCAGCCTGGCTTCCTATTCTGCCGTCGCCACCCGCAGCTGGACAGGACAGGGGCTCTTGGCAGATCGGCAGGGGCGCAGTCCTGGAGACCAGGACACTCTGGGAAGGGGGCGCGCGGAGGTTTAGGATCGAAGCGGCAGGGGCCGCGGGGCTCTGCGTCCAGGGCCGGGGCAAGGGGACCCGGCCAGCGGGAGGCTCACCTGCAGGACACGGTGATCTCCACCTTGGTGGCCGGGATGCTGCCCGCCAAGGAGTCGAACTCGCTCAGCGACGCCATGTCCTCAGGCTGCTCCATCGCCCACCGCACCCCCCACCCCAAATTAGTCAATCCCTGCGCGATTCACGCCTCCTCCGGAGCGACTGGAGCCCTGGGCTCTCCCCCAACTCCAGAGCCTGGGCTGGGCGGCAAGGGGAGGAGAGAGGAGCGCGAAGAGGGGGCGTGGGAAGTGAGAGAGGGAAGAGGGCGGAGGGAGCGGGGGCCGCGGATCGAGGAGGGGGCTCGGGTGACGCCGCGAGGAGGCTAGGGGCCCAGTGGGGAAGGGCAAGGAGCCCAGGGAGCGGGGGCACAGCGGGGAAGGCAGAGAGGGGCGCGGGGAGAGGGGCTCGGGGAGAGGGCACCGGGAGGGAAACGCGGAGTCGTGGAGAGGGGCACCAGGAGAGGGACGCGCGTCTGTGGGCAGAGGTAGAGGGGATGCAGAAGACAGGGAGAGGGGCGTGAGGAGCGGGAGGCGCCGGATGGGGCGCTGGCGGCGGGGGTGGCGGGGCGCCGGCAGCGCGGAGCCCGAGCGCCCGGGCTGCGCCGCCTCTCCCTGGGTCTTGGCGCCGGCGGCGACGGGGCTGAGACGCGGCTGCGAGCGCCACCTCCTCGGCTCGGGCTTCGGCTCCGGGGCGCCCGGGCTGCGGGAAAATCAAATCTGCCCGAAGCCGCAGCCTCCCGCCGCCCGGGAACGCCAGAGGGGGCGCCCGCAGGGGCCGGGGCGGGGCCGCGGGCGGGGTCTGCGCGCAGGGTGAGTGTGAGCGTGTGTGTGTGCGCGTGTGTGTGTGTGTGCGCGCGTGGCGGGCCGGGGGACGCGGTCCAGATGCTGGGGACGTGGCGGGTGACAGCAAGAGGTGGTCCTGGTCGCGCGCATCTTCATTTGCGCCCGCCCCCTCTCACCACCCCTATCTCCCATCAGGGGTCTCCATCCTGGGGGAGGGGGAGGGTTATGGGAACCAACGGGCGCCTTTTTGAGAAAGGTCTATGCAGGGTTGAGAGGGGGCATAAGTGGGAGGGAGGTGTGCAAAAAAGATCCCCTCCCAGGGGCTTGGGTGTGGAGGGTCTCTGCTGAGTGTGCGCCCTACTCGGGGGCGGGTCTCAGTTCAGAAACAGACCCTACATCTCCTTCTGGGGAGGTGTGTGGGGGCGACCCCAGTGCCAGGAGGGACTACCTCGGTTTCCCAGTGGCCCAGGTGGGGTCGGTGCATGGGCGCCTCCCCCATCCGTGGTTCCCGCCAGCCGCGGCCTCGCCAAGTCGGCTGCCGAAACCACGCGCCAGCGCCCTTCCACTCCCCCGCCCGTCGTGACCACACGACTGAGCCAGCCTCCAGGTCTAGAAGCTCCTGCCACCCAGTCTGGTGGCAACCAGACTGGGAGATCGGCCCGAGCTCCCTGGGCTTCTATGCAGCCAGCACCGAGTAGGCGCGTGCTGTGTGCCTGGCGAGCGAGGGGAGAGTTGGGACACCTCTCCTGCAGTCCTCTTCCCAGCCAAGCCCCTCGCGATCCCCCGCCCTAGCCCAGCCTTGCCCTCCCGGGCATGAGGTTGCAGCGCAGAGGCGTCTCCCTGAGTAAGGCTGCACACGTAGACTTGACTCTAGCCCATCCTCAGCCTCAGCCTAAGCTTTGCCGAGCTGGAACCTCCACTTCCTCGCCCACCGCCTGGCACATCGAAGCCGATGTGCCTCGGGCCGGCGGGGAGGCCAAAAACCTGGTGCTGGGCTGGGCAGAGTTGCGCTCTCTGGGCCTTGTTTGTGGCAGCGGGACCATAAGGGGCTCCTCCGGATTCTGTTTGAAGTCAATTCCTGGAACATCAGATACTGTCAGTCAAAGATAAATACAAGAACACATTCCTCTGCCTGTTACAATTTCCCCATGGCTCAGAATCAGCTGGACTGGGTTCTGCCTCCTGGAACAGGCAGCAAGGGACAGAGGCTGTTAATTCCCCTGACAGCCAGGCACAGCTGGGTCAGGAGGCCCCACTCCAAGGAGAATAATTCTGTCTTCCCTTCCTGAGGATGCAAAACTGAACTCGGAATCTCTATGTTCCCCATCCCCCACATACCTGGCATAAACAATGCTCAAAGCATGCTTGTGGAATATGTTCTCCATTCATTCCAGGAGTGTTTACTGAGCATCTGCTGTGTGCCTGGCCCAGTGACAGGGCCTTGGGAAACCTTGTTCATAACAATAATTAGCATCGTTTTATTTTCAAAGATCTGGGCCAGACACCATGCTTACTTTTTTTTTTTGAAATATTAGTCACATACCATAAAATTACCATTTTAAGTTGTATAAATCAGCGGTTTGTAGCATATTCACAGGGACCGTGCATGATTTTAAATTCTCAAAATAATTTTATAAGTGAGATATTATTACTTTTAATGGGAAAAGCTGCAGTTACTTTGCACCAACCTAATATTATCTACATTTAATAAGTAAGGAAGCCAGTGCCCAGAGAGGCTAAGTAACTTACTCATCATCACCCAGCTGGGGACTGGCATAGTGAGAATGTGAAACAAGGCAGTTGAGACCAAAGCCTGACTCTGAGCAAGAGGCTCCACTCTCTTTTAGGATAGGGCCAGACGATGGAAAATCATCCATGAAATGAGGCCTTGTTGGGAAAGGCAACAATAGGGAGCCATTGCAGGTTGTTGAGCAGGTGAGTAGTAAGATTGAAGTTCTACCCAGTAACCTTGCAAAGTGACAGCATTTGGAGTAGCAGCCCCAGGGTCTCTTGTAGACACTTGTCTGTGTCACTCCATTCCCTTTTAGTCGTTGCACTTTCACTGCTGGCTATTTGGCAAAAAAAAAAAAAAAAAAAAAGAAAAAGAAAAAAGAAAAGAAAAGAAAAGAAAAAGAAAAAAGAAAAAAATGTATATATATGACACATGCTGTGTGCTGGGTGCAGTCCTAGGCTCAGAGAATAAAAGGCAAAAAGGACACAGTATCTATCCCCAAAGAGTTCCCAGGCTACTGGGAGCCCCAGGACATGAAGAGAGAGAAACCACAGTGCAGCATGAGGAATGCGGTTGAGGTAGGTAGAAAGGGCTCTGGGAGGCCGGGCACAGTGGCTCACGCCTGTAATCCCAGCACTTTGGGAGGCTGAGGCAGATGGATCACTTGAGGTCAGGAGTTTGAGACCAGCCTGGCCAACATAGTGAAACCTCGTCTCTACCAAAAATACAAAAAAATTAGCTGGGCCTGGTGGCAGGTGCCTGTAATCCCAGCTACTTGGGAGGCTCAGGTGGGAGAACTGCTTGAACCTGGGAGGCAGAGGTTGCAGTGAGCCGAGATCGCACCACTGCACTCCAGCCTGGGCGACAGAGCGAGACTCCATCTCAAAAAAAAAAAAAAACAAAAAAACGGCTCTGGGAGAAGAGTGACCAATGGTTCTGCCCCAGGAACAGGAAGAAGGGAGGGTCAGGGTCAGGGGAAACTGCAAAAAGGAAGTGATACTGAGATGGACATTGAGGTGATGTCTTAGAAGTTTGTTTCCCCTAGAAGCTGACCCTGAGACAAAGATTTGTATGTGAGTAGTACATTTGGGAGGTGTCTTGGTCTGTTCCTGCTGCTATAACAAAATTATTTAGCCTGAGTAATTTAATAATAATAGAAATGTATTTCTCACACTTCTGGAGGCTGAGAAGTTCAAGATCAAGGTGCCGGCAGGTATGGTGTCTGGTGAGGGCCAGGTCTCTGCTTCCAAGATGGTCCTTGTTGCTGTGTCCTCCAGAGGGGCAAACACTTCCTCACTTGGTGGAAGGCAGAAGGGCAAAAAGGGGCCTAGCTCAGGGATAATGCCTTTCATAAGGGCATTAATCCATTCATGAGGGCAGAGGTGAGACGGGGAAGGGAAGGTAGACAATAAAAGGTGCTTTATCAAGCCAGTCATCACTACAGGCAACTAGGGTATAGTCCTGCTGCAGAACTCTGGGAGACTGTAGAACGCATTTCAAACTTAGGCTGCCAGAGGGGTGAGGAAGCTGGGATATGTTTATACCAACTTCTGCCAGTCATTGGCTCAGTGGCTGAGGGCTGCTTTTGGAGGGTATTAATTTCCTGGCACTTCTGGCCTAACCAGCACAGAGAGGCCAATGCAGGTTCCAGAAGCCAGAGAAAGCCTTAGGCAAAGAAAGGCAGTCGGGTGTGGGACTGGAGCACACTGAAGTGGGAAAAGTTAGAGGCTGCAGTGGGCACTGGCAAGGCAGCGGCTGCTACAGATGATGAGCTTCTGCCTGGAGGACAAGGCTGTGCAGGCATTCCTGGCAGGGGACTAGCATGAGGAAGGGCCAGAGATCTGCGACTGGGGGCTGTAGTGTGGCTGGAGCACAGGGTCAGGGTTGGTGGAGGTAGAATATGAGGCCAGGAGGCGATGGGCCATGATGCAAGGCCACAGCCTCCGCTGGGCACAGAGGCTTTTCAGAAGGGGACACTGGAGGAGGGGTGGTCTGAAGGACACCCTCCCGCTGCATGGCCAACCAGAACGTAAAACTTACTGATCAGGAGCTGGGTGCAGTGGCTCAAGTCTGTAATCTCAGCACTTTGGGAGGCTGAGGTAGGTGGATCACCTGATGTCAGGAGTTTGAGACCAGCCTGGCCAACATGACAAAACCCTGTCTCTACTAAAAATACAAAAAAAATTAGCCTGGCGTGGTGGTGCGGGCCTGTAATCCCAGCTACTTAGGAGGCTGAGGCAGGAGAATTGCTTGAACCTGGGAGGTGGAGGTTGTAGTGAGCTGAGATTGCGCCAGTGCACTCCAGCCTGGGCGACAGAGTGAGACTCTGTCTCAAAAAGCAAAACAAAACAAACAAACAAACAAACAAAAGAAAACAAACAAACAAACAAAAAACAAAAAAAAGCAACTTACTGATCAGGCCCAGGGGAAAAATGCTCCCAGCTCTTGCTCAAATGAATTGCTGATAGTTCAAAAGCAGCCCCACAGATGTTGCCGTTGGAGGAGTTGTTTCTTCTTTGAGAGATATGATAGTGCCGAGTAACCCTGGTCACTTGTGATGTCCAGGCAGGCCAGTGCGTGGGCTGGCAGGTGCTGCAGACGTGCCGTCTGTGCCTGGCAGCCAGATTAGAAACAACCATGGCCCTGGCCCACCCGCCACATAACTACCACTCGTCCCTCTGATTAAGAACGTCAAGCACGGAATGGGCCATGCCCAGAAGATCTGGAATAATCAGCATCAGCGTTTTGCCTTTGCCATCCAAGACTGCAAACATGCTCTCATCTGACCTAATCCACGGTGTTAATGACGGCAGAGCAATTTTGAGAGGCAACTCACAGCATTGATAAGGAGGGGAAAAGCACCACCGGGCTTAGGGGGCAGAGCTCCTCACAGAAGAGACAGCTGCTGTCCCCTCACCCCTCCCAAAGCACTACTTGTAAATGCTGCCCTCCTCTCCCCGTTTGAGGCTGGGGATGGTGGGAGAAAAGGGCACAGAAGAGCAGAAGCGGGGTTGTGCAGGGGACAGGAAAGTAGGGCTGCCCATGCTGCACCTAGAACAAACTAGAAAAAGGCATTCTCTACTGTGGGTAAATGCAACCTTGAGTCAGGCAGGACACAAGGTTTTCTGGACAGAATGTGAGCTGGACTGAGCCCCCACTCACGCCCTTGGCTGGGTGCCCTTGTGCACTAAACACCCTGCACCACTATTCATTGTAGCCCCGGGGAGAGAAGGAAAGACAAGGCATGGCAGGAACTGAAACCGTCATCGGAGTAGAGAGGCAGGGGAGATGCAGTGTCTGATTCCTCCCATTAATAGAAATCCTAGAAGGGGCTTGGTTGGAGACCATCCAGGTAAAACCCCTTCTTTTACTGAAAAGCTTAAAGAGGAAGAGTGATGGAATCAAGGTCATCCGACTCTTCCCTTGATAAGAAACTCCATGAATAACAGTGAGGCCAGGTACCCAAGAGCAATGAGGACCTGACTCCAAAGGTGTGGCAAGAGGCGAGCCATGGGACTCTCCATGTCGCCAGTCCCTCATTCCTGCTGGAAGGGTGGCAGCCTCCCTGCTTAATGCCCCACCATCCCAACCAGAGCCCATGTTGCCCCTCCCTTCCGCCATGTCACAGTGCCAGCTAGCTCAGTCCATGTTGCATCTGGGCAAGAAGCCCCATGGCCCTCCTGCCGCCAGCCCAGTAGCCCTTTCTGCCCCCAGGATCCACCCCTCCACCCTGCCTGGCCCTGGCATCTGTCTGCAACCTGGTGGGCACCAGCTCCCTGCTCACTTCTCTTGGCCTCCTCTTCCTTCCAGCCACTCCTGCTTTTCCAAGTAAGGGAGGCCCCCCATGCTTACAGTCTAGATACCAGAACCTTCACAGCAACCAGAGGATCCACTTAAAAGCAAGGTCAGGTCGTGTCGCTCCTCTGCTTAAGACCCTCCCCTGGCTCCCATCTCATTCTACGGAAAAAGGACTTGCTGGGCTTTGGGCTCTGCTCGTGACCTGACTTCATCTCCTCTCTCGCCCTGGCACTGACTCCATTCCAGCCACACTGGCCCCTCACTGGCCCTGCAGGCACCTGCCTCAGGGCCTTTCTATTTGCTACTCCCTCAGCCCGGACCACTCTCCCCTGGGTCCCTGAGGCCCCTCAGGTCTCTGCCTCAATGCCCTCTCCTTGAAGAGGCTTTCCTGGTCACACTACCCAACATAGTACCACGTTGCTCTCACTCCCCTTACGCGCCTTTATTTTTCTTCATAGCATGATCCTTGCCTGTTTCCCCCACTAGGATAGAAGCTTTCTGCAGGCAAGGACTTTGTCTTGTTCATTGTTGCATCCCAAGCCCCTAGGGCAGGGCCTGACACATGGTAGGTGCCCCGTTTGTGAGGTGACTATGTCCAAATCCACTGTTGGCCTCCAAAACAGTGACTCCTTCATGAGGACCCCTGGTGAGCACGTGTCAGTCTCAGACAGGGCCTGAATCTCCCCCACTACACACATTTCTTATCTATCTCCCCACTCCTAAACATTTATTCAGCATCTGTCATGAATTGAGCTGTTTACTTGTTGTTTGACAACTATCACATTGTGACTTTCTGGGCCCCTGGGCCAATACCACAGAGAAGGGAAGGGATTTTTATGTGTTTACTAAGGACTCACCATGCAATAAGCATGTAAGAATTTAACATCCATCACTTATTTATTTATTTATTTATTTATTTATTTATTTATTTGAGATGGAGTCTCGCTCTGTCACCCAGGCTGGAGTGCAGTGGCGCGGTCTCGGCTCACCGCAAGCTCCGCCTCCTGGGATCACGCCATTCTCCTGCCTCAGCCTTCCGAGTAGCTGGAACTACAGGTGCCCGCCTCCACGCCTGGCTAATTTTTTGTATTTTTAGTAGAGACAGGGTTTCACCGTGTTAGGCAGGATTGTCTCGATCTCCTGACCTCGTGATCCGCCCGCCTCGGCCTCCCAAAGTGCTGGGATTACAGGTGTGAGCCACCGCACCCGGCCTATTTATTTATTTTTAAAATTTATTTATTTATTTATTTATTTATTTTTTGGACGGAGTCTTGCTCTGTCACCCAGACTAAAGTGCAGTGGCGTGATCTCAGCTCACTGCAACCTACACCTCCCAGGTTCAAGCAATTCTCCTGCCTCAGCCTCCTGAGTAGCTGGGACTACAGGCGCCCGCCACCATGCCTGGCTAATTTTTTGTATTTTTAGTAGAGACGGGGTTTCACCACGTTAGCCAGGCTGGTCTCAATCTCCTGACCTCGTGATCCACCTGCCTCAGCCTCCCAAAGTGCTGGGATTACAGGCGTGAGCCACCGTACCCGACCTTATTTTTTAAATTGAATTTAATGTTTTAAAGACAAGATCTCACTATGTTGCCCAGGTTGGTCTTAAACTCCTGGCCTCAAGCAATCCTCCTGCCTCGGCCTCCCAAAGTGCTGGGATTACAGATGTGAGTCACCACGCCTGGCCTCCATCACATATTTAATCCTCACAATAAGCTCATTATCCCACTTAACAAAACTGTACTCCTCTGTACCATGTGCTGTGCATAGTTCACCATGAGGGAGAGAGAGAAGAGGGAGACACAGTCTCCTTAGAAGCTCAGTCCAGTGGGGTTACAGCGTAAATTTTGAGTTTATGTTCTGGGAAATATGTAGGAGAATAATGGGCATTATTTGCTCCATCTTTTCAGATAAGGACACTAAGGCCCAAAGTAGTTCGGTAATTTAATTTGCCCAAACTCACACAGGTCAGTGGCAGAGACAGGGTGCAAACCTAGAACAATGTATGACCAAAGCTGCTGTCTTTGCTCCTTAGGACAGTGCCTCTGCTCCCTGACCTGACTCAGGGGCCTGTCCAGAAGCCTCAGCCTCTGCCATGGCCCAGGCCCAGATCTGAGCCCCTCACACGTCTGCAGTGCCTAGCCCAGCACCACAAGATCTGTGCCCAGGCTGTGACCCTTCCACTCTTCACTATGTCCAAGTGTAGACATCCCAGTCTGTAACCTCCCCCACTCCTGCCCTCATACACATTTAACCCAATATTTAGCTTAATATTGTCAGTCATGGGATTAGAGGCCTCAGTCCTGCAAAGGACTTTAAAGATAATCCAACTCGCCTAGATTTTACAGATCTGGGAACTGAGGTCTAGAGAAGGAAAGACATTCACCCAAAGTTGTTTTGTTAACAAGCAGTAATTAGAGCAAATAGCTCATAGGCACGCTGATTAGAATCAGTCTCCTGGATCCTTCCTTCCTTCACCTCAGCTACTTCAAGGGGGGATGGATTGCCTTGACTTTCTGTCGATTGATAAGCAGAGATGTGCCATCTGTGCCATTTGGCACAAGGAAGACCAAAGTGACCTTTCACCGCCCCACCCTCACTACCAGGTATATCCAACTGGAACCAGCCCCATATGGTTGCCCCTGGGCCTTTCTTCCTGCCATTTCCTCTCTGCCCGGCCCAAATCCTAACCATGTTTCAGGTACCATCTCTTCCAAGAAGCTAGCCTGGATTCTCGCAGTCTAACCGAGTTTCTTTTTCCACTGAACACCCAAGCTCTTCACTTTGGTGGATGTTTCCCCTTTCTCCCTTGGCAGGGGATGTGTCCTGATGGCAGGGACTGGGCCTTCTTACCCTGGTCCTCCACAGCCTGGCCTTTCCCAGCCTCAGCCTCAGCCTCCTTCTCTTTCTTTGTGCTGGGTTTAATTTCATTTAAGTACATTACCCGCCAAGCCAGCCAGTCTACTCGTAGGCCTCCTGAACTCTCTCTCTGTCCATTCAATGTAAACCCATTTCCTCTTGTTTCAGCATCTTGGGAAATGGAAAATGAGTCCTCACATTTCTTCGGATGCTTAAAAGCAAACTAGGTCCCACCCTGAAGTCTCAGCCTCCCAACACTTGATGCCTTCCTGATTGGCATCAAGGGCGGAGACGGAGCAGCTGATTTTCACGTGGGCGGCCTCTCCTTTCTCTCCTGCTCCAGCGGCTGTGAGGGTTATCGGCTCAAGCTGCAGGACTCCGCCCCTCCCTCCCTCAGGCCATGTGTGTGGGAGGGGAAGGGAACTGACATTTCACTCCAGCCCTTAGATTCTTTGTCACCACTGCTCCTTGGCACCTGCCTCCCCTGGCTGTACCTGTACCGGGGCAGCCTGAGAAGCCACCGAGGGTGAAACACTTCTTTTCTTTTAAGCTCTAAATTCATTTTCATGCCAAGCTGCTTGTATTTGCCTGCCTGGCTGCCGAAGGTAACTGAAATGTGCACAAAATGCCACAAGCCTGGCTTTGTGCGGAAGCTTAAGTCCCGGTGGCCCTGCCCCCAGGGCTCGCCTGCTCGCTCGCATCTCCAGCAGCCCGCCGAGATTTCCTTGGGTTTTATTAGCTCTGACCCTACACTGGGAGAGGAACTCATCAGACACACTTCACATCTTGCCTCCTCCACCTCTGGCTAAGAACCGTCGCCCCGATTACGGGAAGTATTTGTTCCCCAGTTCTCTGATAATTCTGTCAGGAGCCTGCGTAAGGCTCAAGTGTCAGGCTGCAGGAGCTGCTGCTGACAGCCCCTTGGAGGCAGCTGGCCTGCGGAGGGGGCCGGCGGGGGAGTTTGCAACAGAGTGCCGGGTTCTCTGGTCTCTTCCTCCAGCTTAAAAATGGGGTTAATAATATAACCATACTACCATTCCTTCCAGAGTTGGTATGAGATTCCAATTAGATGAGGATGTACTGGGAGCTCCCTGGGAGAAAAATACTATTATAAAATCATAGAGGTTTAAACTAGATGCAGTTAGAATGAGAGTCTGGGCCTCTCATTCTACAGATGGAAAAACTAAGGCTTGGGAAAGGAAGTTACCAAAGTCAAAGTCAGACAGTGACTAGTCCTGGCTTGAAAACTAGTTTCCATATTTTTTCAGCTGGAGGGAGGAGGGGAAAAAGAACGGCAGGGAAACCATCCCTGTGTGAATTAAGAGTGCAACAGAGGGAAAGAACAGACTCCTAGCTCAGCCCCGCCAAGGCCCAGACAACTAAGGCGGTGCCTTCATCTATGAAACAGACTCATCTATGAGAGGGGCATTGTGATGCCCTGTCCACAGCTCTTCAGAGAGGATTAATGGAATAATATGTATAAAGTACCTGGCACGTCGTGAGCTCCCCAAACACAAATTCCTTCCCTTTTCTTATTTGATCTTAAACAGCATCACAAATGCTTTCAAAAAGGGAAGCACAAAGGAAACATTTCCTTCGGAGCCGAATGTTGCCCCCAAAATCACGAACTTCGAACTCCCTTTCCTTTGAGGGCCTTTCTTATACAGTGAAATTGCCACTTGCCCCCGTCAGTGTAATGAGGAAGTAGAAATATGACTTCTCTCTCCTCTCCACTATTTCTGCTGTATAAGAGCTTCCTCACAGGTATGCAGGGCAGCAGCTCTTAATGGAGCTGTGGCCAGATCCTCACGGAGAGGAAAGCGATTTCTATGAGATTAGCTGAGTGGTGAGGATAATACAGTTATGATCCAATAAACATCCTGATGAGGGTCATTTGTGTGCCCTTCCTCCTGCTGCGCCTCCACAGGCCTGGTTCAGGCTCTGATTGGAAGGAGCGTAGAGACAGCTGAGGCTAGGGCCAGCCAGTCAGTTTGGCCTGGGGACACGCTAGGATGGAGAAGTCAGTTGAACAACCCCAGCCAGTAAGGCAGGAGATTCAGGTTCTAACCTCTGCCCTGCCACCAGATTATTCCTTTCCTGCACCTCATCTTTCTCCTCTGTATGTCAAAGGTGGAGATCATAGGAAAAGAGCAGAACTTGGGATCCAAATTCCCCATATTCAAGCCCCAGCCCTGCCTTTTATTAGCCATGCAAGGTCCGGCCCTTTATTCCATCCATTCAGTCTGTACAAGGCTTTGTGCTACTTGCCTTTGGTCTTCAGTTTGCTCATCCAGGAATGGGCATAATAATACCAACTTCAGAGGCTGGTTTGGGGGATTAAGAGAAAAATACGTACGAGGAGCATCCACAGACCATGAAACACAGAAGGGACAATAACTTTTTGCTTTCCTCTAAGGTTCCTTTTCGTTGACTTTCTCTGATTCTTTTAAAATATTTGCTGGTGGTGGATGTATAAGAGGAGCTCCAAAATTACTTGTTGAATGAATGAATTCAACTGTAAAGCAGAATATTAAACAGCCAAGAGGGAACTAGCCCTTTAGAAGGTACGCTACAGAACCAGGACCTGGTCACAGGACTCAGCCAACCTTACCATGCACGGAGGGCTCCTCCATCTAGTCCCGTAGACAAAAAAGAAGGCCGGCCAGCCCGTGTCAACGGAGCACGTTTACAGGCTCATTCTGTGCCAGGTGGACATCTCAACTCTACCCTCTCACAATCTGAGCAGTTGCTGGCTTTCCACAACCAAGAAATAGCAGGCAAGTCTTAGTAACTCATGAAAGGTTTCTGCAGGCTTCTGCCTTTGAAAAAGCTGCAAGGCTAAACTGTATTCACAGCGGCCTCTAGTGGCAAATTTCCAAAATAGCATGCTAAATGGAAACTTGGCAGCTGGAGGAATCTTCTCAGAATGACCTAGATTCCCAAACTGGGGGCTAGTTCAAATCTTCCCTTAATGAATGAGCGCTCCAAGTTCCAGAAGTAAAGTGATTCATCAAAGGTCACAAAAAGGCCTCACATCCCTCAGTCCATAAACCTTGCCCACAACTGGCCATCTGTGGTTTCAGATGCAATTAAGGATCTTGAGTTATCCATTTGGAAAAACAATCGGGAACCCAATTCCCAAATCAGGCCAAGCCAACCTTAGAGTGAGACCCTAACATGTTTTCTTCCCACTTTGCTTCTCTCTCATCTGTAAGAGTGTTGCTGGAAGATCCCCTATCTTGGTATTTACCTAAAAAGTAGTAACTCACTCTTTAGGCAACAGGACTCTGAGACCACAAAGTGCTTCTTTGTAAGCGGTAAACTCCACCGCTTTAACGTGCTTTTCAATGCTTCCTCCTCCACATGTTGCAAGAATATGGTGCCAAAAGGGGCCCCAGTGATGGCTCTGACTGGCTTGAGGATCTGGGGGCAGCAATCGTGTTTGTGTGGGGAAAGCTATTTTGACATATTCTGGAGACACAATCCAAAAATACATCAGGCTGAGGACTTCCAGAGAGCTCAGTGGAAAGGCTTGGCTGCCATACCAGCTGAAGCCTGGGTTTGGAGAGTTGGGGTACAGCAATTTCTACAAGAGGATCTCAATCTTTTTCTGATGGAGAACATTTTATTTGATACATTCAGCAATAACCTCAAATTACTACACAAGGTGCTGGGAAGACTTACAGAGGGGAGTAAGACAAGGTCCTTGTTCTCAGAGGTTAGCCCAGTGGGAGGGAGAAGCTGTGAGGTGAGAGGCTGAGACAGGTCAGGCTGTGTATATGTCGAGATGAAGAGGTAGGACAGGTGTGTGGTGGCTTCAAGGGCCACTGGTAGTAACAACAACTAGCATTTTGGGGGTGTTTTCTAAATGCCAGTTCCTGTTCTAAATACCTGTTCTAGCTCATTTAATCTTCACAATAGCCCTTGAAGTTTGGCCCATTATTCTCATTTTATAGTGGAAGAAACTAAAGCACAGAGAAATTAAGAAACTTAAGTTCATGCTGCTGCTAAGTGGTGGAGCTGGGATCTGAACCCCGACAGTCAGGTTCCAGAGCTCTTTCCCCCAATGTCATCTTTGTTGATGCTCTTTTCCCTGCATTTTCTGTGATGTCTACTGATCACCCAATCTCACCCACCCTGGTGTCCACACAAGGTATCTCAGTGCCACATACCAGGGTCTGAAGTCCATGTTGTACTGCTGTGGGAACAGAACACTTTCATAAAGCTCAATCCCAGTAGCCAAAGCCAGCAGCTTATGTTAAAGCTCATCGTGTGCTTTGAATCTCTTCACTCTTCCAAGACCACCAGGATGAGGTGGAGAGCTCTGCTCCAGGAGGCATAAGATTGGTTCATGGTCCTGACTGCCCTTGCTCTTAGGGAAACCCCCCCTCCCCAGTTTCATGTTGGACAAATGTGACCTCTAGGACCTCACTACTCAAAGGGTGGTGTCTGGACCGGCAGTCACCATCTCCTGGGAGCTGGCGAGAACTGCAGACTCTCTGGCTGAGTGCTGAGTCAGAAGCTGCTTCCTAACAGGCTCCCTCAGTGATTCCTGCATGTAGTCATGTGAGAAGCCCTGGGCTAGGGCCCTTGGGCCATATTCTTTATAGTCTGTGTGCCAAGCTTCTCTTATCCATCATCCCAGGGGCACCTGTTTGAAAGCCTTTTCCACTGGTGTATCTACTTCCAACTTTAAGCCTTCTCCAAATGTCTAGAATCTCTTTCCCTTCCCCCACGAGAAGCAGCAGAGAGCTGTCTCTCTCCTGTGCCTTGATGAGCCCCCCATGGTCCTCCACACCTATCTTCAATAATCCCCATCCAAGTTTTAAACTTATCCTTGTTTTCTCCTGATAAGCCAGGAGAAAGCTCACCACCCTCACCGTGATGAGATGTAACAAAAATGAACTATCTCTAGTACACCCCACTTTTATGAGACCTGTCTCAATGGTACTAATCCTGACAGGATGTAGACACTCATATGACCAAAGAATTAAGCAGGATTCCTTTTAGATGAGCTTCCCTTATAAGGAAACGGGAACTTCTACAACTCTGGCTAACTGGCAGAACCACAAATTGTGAAACAATTCAAGCTTCACTCTCTGAGGTCATATCCTCTATGAAAACTGGTATGTGCCCACGTGACTGCCTTAGCATGGATTTGGTGTCCCTTTCCAAAAACAAGGAACTGTGCCTGTGTGGCTCTCCTCCCAAGGCATGCAGAACCTTCTTTGCTTCAGAGTAGCCATGATACGTTTCCACCACGCCTGTGCCTTGGATGAAAGTGGAGATTTTCAGGATTACGATTCTGGGAGGTTAGTGAACAGGTGCTATTCCTTGCTCTCAGAGGCAGATCCAATTATGTCCACCCAGTTCAGGCTGAAAGAAATACATTTCTATTTTTTCCAGAGTGTAGAACACTACTTTGCATACAAAAACCATCTCTGGGAAGTTACAAAGTCATTTATATGGTTTGTTGTTGGGTTTTGCTTTTTTGCTATTGAGAGAAAAGAGAAAGGTAGAGAAAGAGGTTGAAGGTAGGGAAGGCTTGGGGAACAGAACCTTGTTTGGCCATTCCATAAAGTAAATCACCATTTCCAAAATTGATAGAGTAGTAAGAAACATTAAAGTTATAATCCCCTCTTCAAGGAGCTACCAGCTTAAGGAACCAAACACCACAACATATACTGCCTCTGGTCCCATAATAATGTGCAGGTGGGCTCTCTGCAAATTCCAGGGATGGTGCAGGTCTCTTAGCACATACACCTGGTTCACTTACAGGTAATCCCCCCAACATGGTTTGGCTCTGTGTCCCCACCCAAATCTCATCTCGAATTGTAATCCTCTGTGTCGAGGGAGGGATCTGGTGGGAGGTGACTGATCATGGGGCATTTTCCCCCTGCATGCTGTTCTCACGATAGTGAGGGAGATCTCATGAGATCTGATGGTTTAAATATGGTGGTTTCCCCCGTGCTCGCTCTCTCTCCTGCCACCTTGTAAAGAAGGTGCTTGCTTCTCCTTTGCCTTCCACCATTATTGTAAGTTTCCTGAGGTCTCCCTAGCCATGTGGAACTGTGAGTCAATTAAACCTCTCTTGTTTATAAATTACCTAGTCTCAGGTAGTGTCTTTATAGCAATGTGAAAACAGATGAATACACCTCTTATTCAGAAATGTCAATTTCTGTCACTTAATTCTTTCTCTGGTTCTGCCCTTTTAAAGTTAGAATTGCTCTTAAAGAGGGAGAAGTCTACTGGAGATCCACAAGCCTAAAATGATGTGAAATCTTGAACATTCAATCTCTGTACTACTACTTAAGATGACTGGGATTAAAATGACCATTGGAACCTCATACAATATTTAGAATCAGACCACAGCAGCAATTTCAACCATCAATGGCATTTTATTGTGGAAGTTTCTATGTATTACATAGGTATTAACTTCCTTCCTCTCCTGCTCCTCCCCACAAAATCCAGAAAGTTATTTTTATACATAAACAACTGAACATATAAAAATCTTGGACCTAATTTCTCTAAAGTCTTGGGTTAAAAGAACTTGAGTGGCGCTTCTCCTTTCTGAGAGTACTACTTCTCAAGGAGGATTCATGGTCTGTCCTTTGCTCACTACAGATTTCTCCTCTTCTCTGGGAAAAAATGGTCAATGCTTCTGCTTCCTTTTAATAAACTAATT
This sequence comes from Homo sapiens, assembly GCF_000001405.40. Lineage (NCBI taxonomy): Eukaryota > Metazoa > Chordata > Mammalia > Primates > Hominidae > Homo > Homo sapiens. The sequence goes on from NC_000006.12 coordinate 36,855,136, forward strand.
TCTTGATTATTATACATTATTATTATTCCCCACTTGACACCTTCTTAGAAACTTGATTGTTGGATGTGTTTTTCATTTGGCAAAAATTCAATGTGGCTTTGCGTGGGATGTCTGAAGTGTCAGAAACAGCACTGTTGATGTTCTGGTTTTGAGAGGGAAAATATATATAGAGATGCATACATTCCCTAGAAGAACAAATGTAAAAGACTGAAATAGGGCGTGCACAGAGTTAAGAGGGCTGACAGACACTACTTGGTTTGGAATTCTGTGGCTGTCAGCCATCAAGGACTGCTGTGTAGGCCAGAATATAAATCTCCTTAGGAAGAAGTTTGGTTAGGCAAAACCACTGAGAAATGACAGTGGCTGCTACATTGTTCGACGTATATCAGAGCAGACATGCACAAGAAGCAGCATTATGGTTCATGTGTAGTAAGTAGTCACCTATTGATAAACAGGGGCATTTGTGCAAATGCTCTGGCAACCTAGGCACTGGGGGAAGAGAAAAGAAGCATCCTATTAAAATGTACTTCCATCTCTAACTCACCCAAGATGCCAGGCCTCCTAAGCTTCATGACTTGCAAAGCCAAAATGAATTTAGCATTACATGTCATTCTATGTCATCTAGAAGCTGGTTCACTGGGGCCATCTCAGAAGAGCTGCTCAAGAGGGTAGCAAGTCTACCCAGAAGGGTATGCCTTAATGATCTTCACGTCGTCCACAGGGCGGTCCTGGGAGTTTGTTTCTACCATTCCCACGCGATTCACCATTCCTATGCCCTGACACACTCGGCCAAAAATGGTGTGTTTGCCGTCAAGCCACTGGGTGGGGGCGAGGGTCACAAAGAACTGGCTGCCATTGGTATCTGGCCCCGCATTGGCCATTGCGAGAATTCCAGCCCCTGGTGGGAAAAAGGAAGAAAGGAAAGAGTATAAATAACCCCACAGGTCCAGTGTAGAGCTGCTGCCCCATCCTAGGGATGAAAAAGCAGCCAGGACTTTGTTCTGGCCTCTGTCCAGACCCAGACAACCCCTCAGGGCAGTCTCTCTGCCCTGTACAAAGGCCATCACTACACTATTCTGGCGACTTCATCTTCCTTGTCCTCACCTATTCCCCAGCCTTGACCCCTGATGCTCCTCACTAACTGTGGACCATGTTCCTGACTGCCCTCAAAAACCCAGCAAGGTTTCCTGTTTCTTTGAGGACACTTTTGATATCCTGTGACCTTTAACAAGTAGTTAGAGTCTAGAACACACCGACCAGTGCTCTGAATTGCTCAGAACTTTGTGAGAGGCGCTGCTTTCTCTAATCCACCAGGGCACTTCATGGCGCCATGGCTGGGCAGCTATCTGGCACCATGCCACGGTGTCAGGCATTCACCTTGAATCATGGCCAAAAGAGTGAGCTTTTAAAATCCCCGTTCCTACCCAGTCCAGCCAAATTATACACTTACCCGTGAATTTCAAGTCTGGATGAAGTTCATCTTCAAACTGTTTGCCATAGATAGATGCACCACCTCGACCTGCCCGATTGGAAGATGACACATGAATCAGCCAGTCACACATTCTATCTCACAGCAAGAATGATGGCCCAGGGTCAAAGGATTTCTCAGAGTAGAGGAAAGGAAAAGGCAGTGACACCTACCCCACTGCTAGGTATATTGCAACTACAGAATCTAGCACTAATAGCACATTCAAATCATTGGTTTCATTCCGATAAGACTTTCCTTTTCAAAATAACGCTATTTTTTCCTGCACATTAAAATAATACATGTTCACTATCAAAAAGGTAGAAAACATAGAACATTATCAAAAGAACATTAAAATCCTCTGTAACCTGACCATCTAGAGATAACCACCATTCATAATCTGATGTGTTAAGAGGTTTCTTGATTTTTAACCTTTTTTTGAGTATTTTAGACATGAGTGCCCCAAGTCCTATCCCTGTGCCCATCACAGACATTGCCAATCAATCAGTATTCTTCCCTGCTGAGCTAGATTTGCCTCTGAATGTTATCAACCCAGAACTCAGGCAGCCGTTATTAATTAATCAGTAATAGCCCCAGAGTTGAAACCTATTTGCCACCCTTAACCTAGGTGATGGAAAATAAAATTCATTTAAGTTAAAGCTATCCAGCTGAAGGAGAAATAGCTGGTAAGTGGCAATGTGGCAGAAAGGGACATTACGGTCGGCAGAGTCCACTGAGAGGTGAGGCAGTACATCATTAAGAGAAAACAGGGCCAGGTGTGGTGGCTCACATCTAAAATCTCAGCACTTTGGGAAGCTGAGGCAGGAGGACTGCTGGAGGCCAGGAGTTTGAGCTGGGCCACAGAGCGAGACCCTGACTCCATAAATTTTTTTTTTTTAGAGATGGGGTCTTGCTACGTTGCCCAGGCTGGTCTCAAACTCCTGGCGTCAAGCAATCCTCCCTCCTTGGCTTCCCAAGTGCTGGGATTATAGGCGTGAACCACTGCACCTGGCTCACAAAAAAATTTTAAAATTCAGCCAGATGTGGTAGCACATGCCTGTAGTCCCAGCTCCTTAGGAGGCTGAGGCAGGAGGACTGCTTTGAGCCCAGGAGTTTGAGTTTACGGTGAGCTATGATCATGTCAGTATACTCCAGTCTAGGCAAGAGGCAAAACCTTGACTCTAAATAAATGAATAAAGGGAAAATGAAGAAACATGGGATTGGGAATTATTTGCTAGCAGCATCACCACCAAATGTTATTTATATTATGCCCACAAGAGCAGGGTGCTGGGCTGGATACCCTAAGCTCAGGCAGGTTTTGCTCTAAGAGCAAAAGGATGTAAGTTAGACCAGGCGCGGTGGCTCATGCCTATAATCCCAGCACGTTGGAAGGCCAAGGCAGGTGGATCACGAGGTCATGAGTTCGAGACCAGCCTGGCCAACATAGTGAAACCCCCATCTCTACTAAAAATACAAAAAAAAAATTAGCCAGGCATGGTGGCACACACCTGTAGTCCCAGCTACTTGGGAGGCTGAGGCAGGAGAATTGCTTGAACCCAGTAGGTGGAGGTTGCAGTGAGCCGAGATCATGCCATTGCACTCCAGCCTGGGCGACAGAGCAAGACTGTCTCAAAAAAAAAAAAAAAAAAAAAAAAAGATGTAAGTTAAACATGGTTTTCTCACAGGAAAACATGTCAAAACAGGAGGCAACTTTCCTAACCAATACTAATCAATTATGTAGTCAATCATATGCCTTACTGAACTACATTGGTTTCTCCAAGTTGAACGGTCACGACAAAACAGCCTAGAACAAAGTAAACACTGGATTGGTACTCTGCTTGCCCTGCAGCCCAGTGCTGGCAGCTCACTTCCTCTACTGCCTGCTATAAAAGTAGCACCAAGTCCACCCCCAAGGCCCCTGGGCATGGCTAAGGTGTTTCCATGGCAAAAATCCTTTGCTTTACCTTTTAGTCGGCTTCACCACAGGGAGCCTGTCACAGCCCCCGTTTCTTTTCCGGAAGAAAACACTGTTCTCATGCAAAGAGGGATGGGGGTGAATCCTAACAGACTAGGGGAAACCTCCCACTTGGCCCAGGCTACCTATGCTTCTGGAAAAATACTGAACCACACTAAACTGTGTAAAACTCATTCCAAAAATTCCAACCTGTCAGTATACTTCCAAACAGCAATTATATAACCAATATGTTCCCTCTGACTCAATCCTCCCCTTTGCTTGGTCCTTTGGCAACCACTAGAGAGTCAAGGTTCCTGGCTGGGGTTACCAGAGACTAGGGAGAGGGCTGTGGGGCCAGACGCCACAGAGGCCAGGCTCTGCGTGCAGGACTTGAGTGAGCAAGCTAAGGATTCAGTTCAGTAGTACGCTGTCAGTCTGTGGCCTGAGCTTCAAAGTGTGATCCCTGCAACCTGAGGGCTACCAGAACAAACCCCCCAGGACCCTGCCCTCTAGGAATGGTAAACTATCACACAAACATCACCACAAACAAGAAGTGCATTAAGGAATAGGTCAGTCAAGAGTCACAGATGGGCTGGGCATGGTGGCTCACACCTGTAATTCCAGCACTTTGGGAGGCCGAGGCAGGCAGATCATGAGGTCAGGAGTTTGAGACCAGCCTGACCAACATGGTGAAACCCCATCACTAATAAAAATACAAAAATTAGCCAGGCGTGGTGGCACGTGCCTGTAATCCCAGCTACTTGGGAGGCTGAGGCAGGAGAATCGCTTGAACCTGGGAGGCAGAGGTTGCAGTGAGCTGAGATCGCACCACTGCACTGCAGCCCAGGCAACAGAGTGAGACCCTGTCTCAAAAAAAAAAAAAAAAAAAAAAAGTCACAGATGAAGTGGGAATCAGAGGATACAGGAGGAAAGAGCATGGAGATCACCTTTACTCAATAGGCAGAGTTTTCATAATATCTTACTCATAATATGTTATCTTTTCATAACCCAATTCAACTCAGTAGGGTTTGCGGCAAAATTTCAGAAAGACAAATCATTCTAATTCAAACATTCCTCTGGGCACGTGGAATAAGTGAGAGGTGGCAGAGGGACAGAGAATGATTAAAGAGTTCTCCAGTGCAGAGCATGCTACTCAGATGTCAATTATCAGTTAGAAAGCCAACAATTTGGAAGCTTTGCAGGTTCTGTGCCTGGTCTAGCACAGACACAATGAAGATAGGCAGACCTGTTTTCTATTGTGTGTGTGTGTGTGTGTGTGTGTGTGTGTGTTTTGAGACAGAATCTCACTCTATCACCAGGCTGGAGTGCAGTGGTGCGATCTCGGCTCACTGCAACTTCTGCCTCCCGGGTTCAAGTGATTTTCCTGCCTCAGCCTCCTGAGTAGCTGGGACTACAGGCGCCCGCCACCATGCCCAGCTAATTTTTGTATTTTTAGTAGAGATGGGGTTTCACCATGTTGCCCAGGATGGTCTCAATCTTGACCTCATGATCTGCCAGGCTCGGCCTCCCAAAGTGCTGGGATTACAGGTGTGAGCCACCACACCCGGCCAAGACCTGTTTTCTAACCTTTGATTACAGGTTAGAAAAGAACCTTCAAGATTCTTTTCTGGCCAGGTACAAGTGGCTCACACCTATAATCCCAACACTTTGGGAGGCTGAAGGGGGCGGATCTCTTAAGCCCAGGAGTTGAGACCAGCCTAAGCAACATGGTGAAACTCGTCTCTACAAAAATTAGCCAGGCGTGGTTGTGCGTGCCTGCAGTCCCAGCTACAGCTACTCAGGTGGCTGAGGTGAGAGGATCACTCAAGCCCAGTAGGTCGAGGCTAGAGTGAGCTGTGATTGCGCCATTGCACTCCTGTCTGTCTCCAAAAAAAAAGAGATTCTTTTCCTCTTCTGTCCTCTGTCCTCTCTTGGGATCATTTATTCAATGTATTTATTTCAGACACGCAAACATACAAAGAATAATATGACCAATATCTATGACCACCTCCGCCCCCAAGAAATAAACTATTGCAAATCCAGCTAAGACCCCATGCATACACCCCACTGCATCTCTCCCCACCACTCATTCTCCTGAGAGCTAACAGCTGATTCAAAGAATCACATTTTCCTCTCAGGTAACCACTATTCTGACAAGAATTTGGCATTTCCATGCATTTTCTTTTTTACTACACATATATGTATCCCTAAAAAAAAAAAAAAAAAAGTATTGCTGTTTTGCATGTTTTTAAGCTTTTTTACTACACATCTATGTACCCCTAAAAAAAAAAAGTATTGTTGTTTTGCATGTTTTTAAGCTTACATAAGTGGTATTACACTTTATATATTCTCAACACTGTTTGAGAGACTCATCTACTTTGTTCCAGGCAGGTCTCTGTAGTGTTCACCTCACTGTATGACCATAATGCTCTGTCTTATCTTTTCTGGTGTTGATACTGAGGATCTTTCCAATGTTTTGGTTATTATCGACCATGCTATAAAAACTATTCTTATACTGTCTCCGAAATCCAAGTGCAAGAGCTCTCGGGGGCCAATACCTCACAGGGGATACACAGGGTCATAGTTTGAGTATTTCATCATTGCTAGATTTTTCTAAGTGCCTTATTGAAAAGGATGAACCAACATGCACCCCACCCCGCAGCACTCTCACTCTTACTGCTCTAGGTCCTTCTGTCAGTCTGAGAAGTGTGAGACCTCTTGTGGTGTTTTAAACTGCATTTCTCTGAAGTTTGGCATAATTTCATGTTTACTGGCTTATTTAGCTTGTCCCCTCTGTGAACGGCCACTCAGTGGTATGACATTTTGGAATTGATACATACAGTCATCCCTTGGTATACTCAGGGGATTGGTTCCAGGATCCCTGTGACACCAAAATCCCTGCTCGCTCAAGTCCCGCTGTGGGCTCTGAGAAAACTGTATGGACCTCCATGGTTCAAACCCATGTTGGTAAAGGCTCAACTATATACTATAGATACTAATCCTCTGTCAGTGAATGTTTTGCAAATACCTTCTCCCAGTTAACTTTTTTCACTCTTGTAATGGGATCTTCCAATGAACAGAACCTTTGCAGTTAACATTTCTTAACCTTCTTCTTTATGATCTGTGTTTTTTTTTTTTTTTAATTCCTTTTTTTTTTCTGAGACAGAGTTTCGCTCTTGTGGCCCAGGCTGGAGTGCAATGGTGCCATCTTGGCTCACCGCAACCTCCGCCTCCCAGGTTTAAGCAATTCTCCTGCCTCAGCCTCCCGAGTAGCTGGGATTACAGGCATGCGCCACCATGCCTGGCTAATTTTGTATTTTTAGTAGAGACGGGATTTCTCCATGTCGGTCAGGCTGGCCTCAAACTCCTGACCTCAGGTGATCTGCCTACCTCGGCTTCCCAAAGTGCTGGGATTACAGGTGTGAGCCACTGTGCCTGGCCTGTGTTGTTTCTTAAAAACAAAACACAAAAAACCCTTTTCTCATCCCTGTGACTCCTGTGATGTCCCTTCCTCCTCCTCTTAGTCACTGTGGAAACCTGTCAAAATGATGTCTAAGGCATGGGACATGCAGTGTCTTACACCAAGATGACCACACTTGGTGCTACTTGTCCCCGCCCCTCCCACCCCACAGTTGATGGGACAATAGATTAATATCCAGCCCCACAGATGGGCAGTGGCCTATAAGGAGAGCCAGTGGGGCACCTGACACCAGAGGGCAACTGACCAATCAAAGCCTCTCTTCTGGCAAGAGTGCCTCTAACAGACACTGTCCGTCAGTAGTCTCCTGAGCATCCCCAGCCTCCTCCTCCACAGCCTGCCTCAACCTCAGAGACAAAAAAGGCAGGTGCTGACAAGTCCATTTTGCAGACAGGCGTGGCCAGATGACCCAGTTGTGACTTACTGATACAAACAGAAGTCGCTGAGTCAAGCTTCTGAGAAAGCTACAGCTTTCCTGATAAAAACAGACATACTCTTTTGTCCTTCATCTACAGCTCTTTCCCATCTTCCTTCTTTGAAAGTAGGGTGATGCCAGAACAGCAGCAGCCATCTTGCAACCATAAGACTAACAAGTTCAAGACCAAAGGCCAACACATTACGAATGAAGTGGGGAAAGATATGGCAAGCCTAGATCCCTGACAACTCTTCTGGGCTGGTGAAGAGATGACAATAACTGCTCACTTCCAGACGTTCTGTTGTGTAAGAAAAAACAGCCCGTGGGATTAGGTTTTCTGTTACTTGTAGCCAAAAGCAGTGCTACCTGACACAAACACTTTGTTAATATACCAGACGGGAACAATGCCACAGTCCTCCAAGGGGCTTTGTGGTTCTGAAGATGCTGTCTTCTCTTTCTCACTTGCCTTTGGGGTCAGAGACGTCTGGATTCCAGTTCTGACCCCACCAATTACTGTTTAACCTTAATCAAGACACTTTCTCTCCAAGCCTCAGTTCCCCTGTCTGCAAAATGGGAGTAGCAGTAACACCTATGTCTCACAGGCTTGTTATGAGAATTAAATGAGACAGCATATGGAAGCTATCTGGTGTGTAACATGAGGCAAACACACAGTAGTGTCAGTGATGAAGAGCCCCTTTAACTGAGGTAACCCGAGCATTTTCTCTGAGAAGCTGCTGGTCATGATTCAAAGTGCCACCTCGGGAGGCAGCCTGCCTGGGTTTATTCAGTTCCTCTGTCCTCAAATTTCCACCACTCCCTCGCTGCTGCTCACTCTTTGAGGAGAACCTTGCTTCTTATTTCACTGAGAAGAAGGAATTATCAGAAGAGAACTTTCACATGCTCTCACCACCAAAGCCCCTTCCCTTCCTACACCTCTACCCACCTCCCTTCCCTAAGACACTGTGTGAATAAGCTGTCCATGACTATCCTACCACCACGTACCCAATCCCGCTCACCTTTAAAGAACTCAGCAACTACAACCTCCCCCTCTAGTAGACCAATTTTTCTCTTTCTAATGGATCATTCCTGTCAGCATTTAAACATGTTATTGATATTTCCTATTTTAAAAAGCAAAACTCTATTTCCAAGTATCCTCCTATTTCTCTACATCCCTTCACAGAAAAACTCCTTGAAAAAGCTGTCAACACCAAGTGTCTCTACTTCTCCCCATTCTTGCTTGAACATGCTCCATTCAGACTTTCGCCCCTCACCGCTCCGCTGAAACTGCTCTTGTCAAGGTCGCCAGTGACCTCCACGTGGTTATACCCAGTGGTCAATCCTCAGCACTCACTTTACTTGATCCACACTCGATGTCACCCTTCTGCTTGAGTTGCTGTCTTCCTTTGGCTTCCACGACTCCACATTCTCCTGGTGTTCCTCGCTGCTCACTGGCAGCTGCTCCTCCTCCGCCCCTCTGCTTTCACAGGTGTTACTCAGGCCTGCGCTGCTGTGTGAAGACCTTCCCTTCCAAACCTGGTTCCCTGACCCTTTATCTTTCACAGGTGTTACCCAATAAACCTCTATCTTGGTGTTTGCTTCCCAGAGGACCAGAACTAACACAGCTGCTATCACCCTAGTTCAAACAACAACCATCTCCAGCTTGAATAGGAATAAAAGCTTCCCACTGGTCTCCTTGCTTCCAGCCTTGCCTCCCTCTTTCCCCACCCTCTATTCTTCACATGGTAGCCACAGGGATCCTTTTCAAACAAGCCTAATCGCAGCACTCCCCTGCTTGAAACCCTCCATCAACACTGTATCACTCTGAGAACAAAATCCACAATCCTCACCACAGCTTACAACACCCCCCACGATTGGGCACTCTGCTACTCTCTGAGCTATCTCCTGCCACTCTCTCAGGTGTTCCAGCTACACTGGCCCCTGTGCTGTTTCCTGCCAGGCACACTCTGGTCTAAGGCCTCTGGCTGCTGTTCTCTTCAGAGTGCCCTTGGCCTGGATGGTCTCATGGATCACCACTTCATTTCATTCAGAACTATGGTCAAATGCTCTCAGAGAGGTTTCCCTAATCACACTCTCCAAACCAGCACTTCCCTCACCCTCTAGCCTAGTGGTTCTCAACGGGGAGTGATTTTGACCCCTGGCGACAGTGGGCAATGTCTGGAGACAATTTGGGTTGTCACACTGAGTGGTTCTATCAGTATCAAGCAGTTAGAAGCCATCACGAAGCTAACCATCCTTCAATGCACAGGACAGCACCCCCTCCAACAAAGAATCATCCAGCTCTAAATGTCAATAGTGCCTAGGTTGAGAAATCCTGTTCCATCCCAGCAGTACATTCTTTTTTCCATATCATCTGCCATCCCTGAGAGTATATTATGTACTTTTTCATTCTCCGTCTCTCACCAGAATGAGAGCACCGCGAGGGCTTTCTTATTCACTGTTGTATCTCCAGCTTTTAGAAGAGTGCCTGGCCTACAGAAGGAGTCTAATAGGTATTTGTTAAATGAATTAACAATAAAAAAAAAAAACCAGTCACATTTGTTTGAGCTCCCACTTTGTGTCAAGCCCATGCTAACCACTGTACCAACATCAGCTCATTTACTACTCACAACCAGCCTAGGAGGTGCACGTAACCACACTCCCGACAGGTGAGCTGGCTCAGCAGGGTAAGGCAACTCCTCTACATTTAGTAAGTATTCATGTGAAGCACAAGGCAAGCCCAAGCTCCACAGTCCTGCTCTACCCTGAACCAAACTGTCTTGCCATAGTCCACAGCTGGATGAAATTTCCTCAGATTTGTCTTATCCCAGACTCAAGAGTCCCAAATGGTCCCTGAGTCATGCTCAATCAAATCTGAACTCCTCTGTCTAGGAGTCTCCATTAACTGGCCCCAAACTGCTCCTTACTGTCCCCTAAACAGGCAGTTCCGAGATCTGTAAATTTTACAGGGGCCTTTGAATCACATTTGATGCATTTGTTCTGGGTGTGGAGAGGTGGCTGGGTGATGTCACAAGAGCCAGTCTAGAGTGGAAGATGTGACACCGGGGGTGGCGGGCTCCCTCCCTACCCCTGCATGCCTCTGTCACTCCTGCCCTGTACCCACCCTTCTTCCTAAATTCAAAATGCCCTTCCCTCTACTTCCCAAGACCCATCTCGCATATGCCTCCTTCCCATCCTAATCTCATTCCATTGTGCTTTTTCCCTTATTGTGAATTACTCCAACCTATATTATATACATAATCCACACCGTACTATCATACATTTGCATATTTATATTATCCCATTCTAGTTGTTTCTTATAATGAATAGTTTGTTTCCTGGCAGGGCAGGGAACTGCAAGGAAAAAGAAAATGCCTTGGCTTTTAATGCTTAAGTGCTTCTCCCAGGCCTTAGAATAGCACAGGATACCCAGCAGACTCTTGGCAAATACTCATCAAATGAATAAAATTAACAGAGCTTGCTGTTCAACACGTTACATTTCAGGTGTTCCTGGGGCTACCAAGAGGAGAGATGAAATCAAAGTGAGAGTGACGCACAGGATAATCAGCATATAATTAATCACAGCAGCTGGTGAGCACTGTGAGGCCAAGTGCAGAGCAGGAAGAGCTAAAGGAAGAACTTGACAGGATGTTATGTCTTACAGAGAGGACAGAAAGGTTAGTAGAAACAAATAAAAGACACTCAGAGGGCTAAGGAAAGAGCCTCTATAGTTATTATAATATGGGAAAGTTGAAGGTAGAAAAATGGTTTAAAATGAAATGAAGCAGGAAGTCAAAGGGTATTTGAATTGACAAGGCATCTGGCAAAGATGTATTACAAGAAAGCATGTGGAAAGAATGGTTCCACAGTAGTCAGACTGAGGGACAGCTGGGAATGGAAGTGGTACATCAACTTGCTGAAGAGCCCAGGATGTCATTTGCTGCCCATCTGAGATGTTTAACAAAAAACGTGTCACCTAATCAGCTAGAAAATATGAACTAGTGACCCAGGAGAGCCTAACTCCTGCTTGCCTTCCACCATAGACCTGCCAGTGGGCTGCTCAGTCATTCATTATACTTGAGGCTGGGTGCAGTTATTTGAAGATCTTTTGAGTGATTCAATTTCATTAAAATTACACCATGGAAATGTGACATTATGAAGGATCATGAACCAACTACAGAAATACAGAAAAGCTGTGGCATGAGCAACTCACACCTGAGTCACTTCCAATACTTGTACCCTAATCATGGACTCTCAGTTCACTGGTATTAAGAATTAAAATTTATTTCATAACAACATGAGGGGGAGAGAGGAAGAAGACAGGAAAGAAGTACATCGAAGTACCGACGGAACCCTTTCAGACAAAGAAAGTAGAATGAAGCAGGACTAGACTCTGCCTCCCTGTTGTGCCGAACCTCTATTGACTCCAATGGGGATGGCATCAGGTTCAATAGACCGAAGAGACCTAATGCCAGCAAATGAGACATGGGGTTTTATTGGGGACTTACATACAGGGCAGAGAGTCCAATGGTGGCGGAGAACCACAATGGCTTGCAAAAAGCATGCAGTTTATATAGCATTTCCACTTAGCACCTTCTCCCTAACAATCTCCACCTGGCAATCTTCATTCAACTCAAAACTCGGGGCCTCAACCCGTGTGCGGCCCATGTTTCACAGGACGAGCCAGGGGCTCAGATGTCCCTTTATAGACAAGGAAGGAACCTCCAGGTTGGCTACTCCTGGATTCCCTAGCTCAGAACACACATTCAGATGCGTCTGCCATACAGGGTCATTCTAAGGGTATGTTTCAGTTATTGCTATCAGGCACGTTTACCACATGCTCCCAACACCCAATAAAGTGAACATACAAAAATTAAAAATTAAAAAGTCAAAAGTTCACCAGCATCAACCAAATAAGAAAAGGGAACCAAACATGCTAAAATTGTAAAAAGAGTCAGCCAAGAGGAAAAAATAGAAAATTCTTCCATCTGTATTCCCTGAAACCAGTAACCAGGAAAGAAATGTCATGCTGAGATTCTCACAAATACCCTCCGATTCTGAACAGCCAACAGGGGAGTGGGTGAGCAGCTCTGAAAACAAAGCCCTTGAGGGCAGAAGCCCACACATATCACAGGGGCTCGGGAGTGGCAGGGCAGGCACGCAGGGCTGGCCACCTTCCAGGGTGCTGGGCCATACTTGGGGACTACCCAGAGCCTGGAGTGGTGACAGAGGGACACCACTGGCTGGTGGAGGGGGCTCTGGGACAAGACTTTAAGGGAGTCTGGGAAGATAGAACAGAGGCTAGCCCTCCCACAAGGGGCTCGCTCAGCATGAGCTGAGCTCCAGTTCTCTCCCACACCTCTTCAGGCTAGAATAGAATAGAGAGAAAGCAACCTAACATTTGAAGTGGGGAAGACAACCAGTTCCACATAAGTGGGGAGAATGACAAGGAGACTCCACTTACACTGTATCTGAGCAAGTAAAAGGTGGGGATAATGTAGGTGTTGACATCAAGCATGGATAAGATGAAAACAAATGGCATGGAAACTAGGCAAACATACCACAACCAACAGAAGGACAGAAAGGAGGAGGGGAGAAAGGAAAAGAAAACCCAGGAACTCAGCCTGGGAGAAAGTGGCTTCTCCATGGCTATCTCAAGCTATGGATGATTCAAGAGAAGTAAAAATATAATATAACAAAAGCTCAAAGACAAGATAATACACCACAGAATAAGATGAAAAGATTGCAGAGTGAAGGAAACAAATTTAGATTCAAATGGCATCAGTAATGAGCTAGTAGATAAATTAGAGCAGTAAAGAACAGAATAAAAATGACTGAAAATTGAGTAAGGCACAGAGTAAAGGTCTGAGATTATTTTAGTGAATGCAGGGAAAAAAGAAAAAAAAATCCTATCACACAATCAAAAGAAATATGATAGATATGGAAGGCAAAGGTGATGAAACAAATAACTATATTTCCTGAAATAGAAAATCCAGTAAGTATAACAGAGAAAATATTCAGAAATAGAAATCAAAAAATTAACCCTGATGTAAAGGAAGGAGTAAATCTGGCCTCAGTATTCTCCAAAACCATATTCAAAAATGAGAAGGCAGCCAGGCATGATGGCTCATGCCTGTAATCCCAACATTTTGGAAGGCCGAGGCAGGAGGATCACTTAGGCCCAGGAGTTTGAGACCGGCCTCAGCAACAGTGAGACCTCAACTCTATAAAAAATTTAAAAATTAGTGAGGCATGCTGGTGAATGCCTGTAGTCTCAGCTACTCGGGAGGCTGAGGTAGGAGAAATGCTTGAGCCCAGGGGATGGAGATTGCAGTGAGCCATGATTGTATCACTGTACTCGAGCCTGGGCCTAGGTGACAGAGCAAGATCCTGTCTCCAAAAACAACAACAACAACAACAAAAACAAACAACAACAAAAAACCAAACCAGAAGGCAATTGATCAGAAATGTCTAAAAAGATCTCAGAATGCTATACCCAGTTATGGTCTTTTTTTCTTCCTTTTAAATATTTTTATTTTATTTTAATTTATTTATTTAGAGATAGTGTCTCACTGTGTCGCTCAGGCTGGAGTGCAGTGGGCACAATCATGGCTCACTGCAGTCTCAACCTCCCAGGTTCAAGTGATCCTCCTACCTCAGCCTCCCAGTAGCTGGGATTACAGGCATATGCGACCATGCCCAGCTAATTTTTTATTTTTTGTAGAGACGGGGTCTCACTATGTCGCCCAGGCTGGTCTTGAACTCCTGAACTCAAGTGACCCTCCCGCCTCAGCCTCCAAAGTGCTAGGCTTACAGGTGTGAGCCACCATGCCTGGCCTAAAAAATTTATTTTAAAAAAGTAATTTATCTCTTACAGTTGTGGAGGCTGAGAAGTCCAAGGTCAAGTGGCCACATTTGGTGAGAGCCTTCTTGCTGGTGGGGACTCTGTGAAGTCCCAAAGTGGCACAGTGCATCACACAGTGAGGGGGCTGAGCATGCCAACATGCTATCTCTTTTCAAGTATAAAAGTAACAGGCAGAAATTCTGAAACATGAATGAACTTAAAAATACAACACATTCCAGCTCTTGTAACAAAAAACCACTGGACAATTGTGATTCTTGAGCATTCTGAAAAAAAAACACTAAAAAACCACTAGACAAGAAATCCTGCCCTCCAGCACTTGCGAAGGTAAAAGCGAAGCAAGTTGTGAACACTAAATACACTGAAACGTAGGACCCACACTGTAGCTGAAGGAATGATGAGTGCAGAACAGATAATAATAAAACTAACAACAAAAATTAAGGTCGGGGAAAAATAAGAATGGGTAGAAATTTAAGTACTAATTGCCTCATCTTTCACTGTAGGAAGTCAAATATTCTGTTCTATATATATGAAATTAAATGTAATATGTTCTGTTTTAAAAACAATAGCTTATATATCCTATTTTTTTGAAACTACTTCCATTTATCCTGTCATCCCTTAAACCAGACATGATGGGCACCAAAAGTTAACACTGTTCCTTTCTGAAAGATGGGATATTTAGGGATTAGTTAATGATGGTTAGAAATCTTTAGGAGCTATGCTTATGAATGATTTTTCCCCTTTTCTCTGCTTTCTTATATATTCTGTATTTTGAAATGCATCCATATACATTAAAAAAAAAAAAACCCAAAAACCTGAATGCTTCTGACCATAGATGATAAATCATGAGACGATTAAGAATGACAAAAAAGAACAAGACTGAGAAAAGACTCTGCTATAGAGAAAACCAAACTTGTTTAAAGGCAAACGAGCAGAAATTAGCAGAGAAGAAGCAGACTGAGAAGCAAGGGCCCTTGAAATGAGTAAGGGTTCCACCAGTTCACTAATAAACCCCATCTAAATGCCAGTAACTCCCAAATTAATACCTCCATACCAGGTCTTTCCCTGAACCCCATATTCCTATCCAACTACTTACTCATGAGCATAGTCGGCCCTCCCTACATGTGGGTTCTACATTCATGGGTTCAACTAACCGCGACTGAAAACATCTTGGGGGGAAGCATCTGTACTGAACATGTATAGAACTATTTTTCTTGTCATTACTCCCCAAACAATACAGTACAACAACTATTTACATAGTGTTTACATCTTGCCCCTACATCTATTCTCTAAACAGCAGCTAGAGTGATCCTTTTATTTATTTATTTATTTGAGAGGGAGTCTCAATCTGTTACCCAGGCTGGACTGCAGTGGTGCGATCTTGGCTCACTGCAACCTCCATCTCCTGGGTTCAAGCAATTCTTCTGCCTCAGCCTCCCGACTAAGAACCTGAGATTACAGGTGCCCACCAACCCGCCCGGCTAATTTTTGTATTTTAGTAGACAGAGCGTTTCACCATGTTGGTCAGGCTGGTCTTGAACTCCTGACCTCAAATGATCCAACTGCCTCGGGCTCCCAAAGTGCTGGGATTACAGGCGTGAGCCACCGTGCCCAGCCTAGAGTGATCCTTTTAAAGCATAGATCAGATCATGTCTTTCCTTTGCTCAAAACTCTCCAATGACTCACATCACATCTTACTCAGAATAAAACCCAGTCTCTACCATGCCCTATAAGGTATCATATCTTATGATTTCCAGCACAGGTTCCTGCCTCAGGGCCTCTGTGTTTGCTCTTCCCTCCATCCAAAATGTTCTCCCCACAGTTGCAAGGTTCACTTTCTTACTTCATTCAGATCTCTTCTCCAATAATGTCAGAGAGGAGTTCCCTGACTTTTCTACTAAAATTCCATCCCCACACCCTTTTCCTGCTTTATTGAGAGCAATAATTCTGTCTCTTTGTTTATAGGTATCTCCCTAGAGCTTAAAAAAGTATCTGACACAAAACAGGTACTCAGTATTTGTTAAATGAATGAATCGATAAAAGAACCCAGGATTTTATTATTCTCAAAATATTATAAAGTCTTTCCTTCTTATTGATCAGACTACTTGCATCACTATAATTCAGACAAATATTATTTGTTCTTAGTGAGCAGTACATGTAAGTTATGAAAAACTCTACCAAGCCTAGGAGTAAAGGTTGGTTTCTGGTCAATTCCACACATGTGTGTTTGAGGAAGGCAGGCGTTGTCACCAGAATCAACCAACACAGACCTTAGTAAGTGGAAAAGAGAGCTCTGGCTGCCTTATCACCTATTTACGACAGAGACTTCAGAAACTAATGCTGGCTTTAGAAAAAAAGACGAAAAGGAGAAAAAAAAAAGAAAACATAAACTAATGTTGGCTTAACTGTACCTGTCCCTGTTGGGTCACCTCCTTGGATCATGAAGTCTTTGATAATTCTGTGGAATTTTGTGCCATTGTAGTAACCTCGACGAGCCAACTCAGCAAAGTTCTTACAGGTCTTTGGAGCATGCTTCCAGTACAGCTCCAGCACAATGATTCCCATGCTGCAGAGGGAGAGGACAACAGCTCCAGTAAACAAAAAGGTCAGGGCAGACAGGAGTATTATGGAACTGCTCCAGGACTCTTGATTTTCAAGCTTGTAAGTCATGAAATTGTGATAACCACTGGATTTCATGCTCAGCAAAGGAAAACACCACAATGCAAGTAACATAAACACCCATTATCTTTTTTGAGTAAAACACGCAGGTGTTCTGGGTACTTCTTTTCAGCAAAATAACAAGCATGGAGAACTCAAAATTCTAATACTATACATATATACATATGTATATATATATAGCTATATCTGATTATCTGAAACCAATATAACCAACCCCTAAATTAGGAAAAAAATTCTTACACTTAATTTTTAATTTTTTAAAAAAAGAGACATTAAAATATCAGGAGTTCATATTTATTTAGAAGTTTCTGGGTGGGGGTAGGGACTGGGTAGATGGAAAATAGGAAGATGTTTAATGAATACCTTTTAAAAACTTTTGTATTTTTGATCCATGTAAATACATTACCTATTCAAAAAATTTCAATAAAAGGTACAGTTTGTGTTTGTTTGGGAGGGAGTATAACAAAGGCAAAACCTGGTAACTTTGAATCTTTGCACCTACCCAATAGGATGAGTGCTTTTTCCTCACCAGTACTACTAAAAGATAAGGAAGAGGCAAGAGAAAGGACGAGTGCCTTCCCCTCTACTCCAGCACATACCTAGACTTTAAGCTCCAAGGATGTGACAATTTTTTTTTTTTTGAGAAAGGGTCTCCTCTGTCACCCAGGTTACAGTGCAGTGGCACAATCTCAGCTTATCGCAACCTCCACCTCCCGGGCTCAAGTGATCCTCTCACCTCAGCCTCCTGAGTAGCTGGGACTACAGGCATGCATCACCAAGCTCAGCTAATTTGTTGTATTTTTTTGTAGAGATGGGGTTTCACCATGTTGCCCGGGCTTGTCTTGAACTCCTGGGCTCAAGCAATCTACCTGCCTTGGCCTCCCAAAGTGCTGGATTACAGATGTGAGCTATGGCACCTGGCCAGATGTGAGAATTGAGTCAACTCTGTATAGTCTGGATACCCAGTGCCTTGCACAGTGTAAACACTCTATAAGTATATGAGGAGTGTGCTAGAAAATAGCTAACAGCCTTTCTGCCTGAAATTCATCCAATTCATCTTTCACACTGCTCCCATTCAACACAGATTGACAGTTACTCTGTGTGTGGTACTCTTTCCCTCATGAAGCTTAC
Organism: Homo sapiens; assembly: GCF_000001405.40. NCBI lineage: Eukaryota > Metazoa > Chordata > Mammalia > Primates > Hominidae > Homo > Homo sapiens. The sequence continues at coordinate 36,873,117 of NC_000006.12, forward strand.
ATTCTGGAGGATATTTTCAAAATACAGAAAGTAGCCTTTTGGAAAGACAATCAGGAAGTACGTATACAATTCTGAAATGTGCATACCTCAGTAATTTCAACTTCCAAGTATCCTCTAGGAAAATATACAAAAGTGCCTAAGGATACAATATGTGCAAGGATGTTCATCTCAGTATTTGTCATAGCCAAAAAAAAAGGAAGCAACTTAAATGTCCTTGAAATAGGAAATGCCTAAAATATCAACTATCCATACTATGGGCAGCTACCTGAATTACTGAGTGAAAGAAAACCAAGTTACAGAAAAAACATACATACAGTATGATCATATGATCCCATTTTTTTGTTAAAAAAACATGAGAGAGGTTTATATGTACATAGAAAAAAGTCTGGACAATCATCCAACAAACTGTTGATGGTGTTTTCAGGAAGGAGGTGACTTTCACTTCTTACTCTGTATGTCTACATTGCTTGGATTTAACAATTTATTTTGTAACTTTAAAAAATACCAACAGGAGAATTCAGAAATTACAGGTTGGAGCCTGAAGATGTAGAATTTTGCCATATAAGGTGGGGAAGATGGCCAGGGAGCATGAAATGAACAGCATGAGCAAATAGAGAGAGGACTGACAGAACTCTGCTTTAGCTGAAAGCAGCAATGGGCAAGAACAGAAAGGCAGAGGACCTTGGCTGGTCCCTGGCTGTTGAGGGGAGAATGGCAGGTAGACAAGGGCCAGATGAAAAAAATCACCTTGAATGTCAGGATTAATACGTTTTTACTTTATACTGTTATAGCAGCAAGACGTTATTAAAGGTTTTTTGAGCAGGATCCCTTCCTTGTCCTACTTTGTAAAGATCACTTTGAGCTTTTTCCAAAGAGGCAATGGAATGAATAGAGCTAAAGGATCTAGCAAGGTGAGACGAGCACACCAGGCTCCAAACGAGGTTCTTCCAGTTACTAGCTGTGTGGCTTTGGTCAAGGCTTTAAGCTGTAAATTCCGGCGTTTCCTCCTGCTAATATTGAAAGGGAGAAAGTTAAATAATACCTTCATGATTTGAGTTGCTAAGATTAAACTAAATGAGATGACATACAGCGGGGCATGGCGCCAGCAGGTTGGTTACCACATCACTCTTTGATAGTGGGGAAAATGTGCTTCTTCCTGTATTTTACTGGAATTTGTTTCTACAACTGTATTACTTATCACGTAATGTTTACATGTCTGTCTCTTTCATTATACCGTAAGCTCCTAAAGGCAGGGCTGTCTGTGTTTTATCTACCTCTGTATCCTCAGAACTCATATTCCATATGCCTGGCTTGCGGACTCATTACACGTTTGTTGAATGAATGAATGAATGAATGAGCGGACTGGGGGAAGGAGGACAATCAGGCAGCTATTGCTGAGACCTCAGCACAAGACCCCGCGGAGCTTGGACGCGGGCGATGGCGGTCCCCTCTCAACCCTCTGGGGGCCGTCTCGGCCGCTGCTCCACGCCCCTCCACGTGGAGGCCGGCCTCCCGGAGGAACGCGCCAGGAACGCAGACCCGTGGTGAGGCCCGGGCTCCGCGTCTCCTCTGCCAGCCCCAGACGCCCGAACCCCCTCACCTGGTCTCCAAGTAAACGTTGGGTGGCTGCCAGGAATCTGGGGGAATTGCCGCCATAGCGAAGCCGGCGGCGGAATGCTTGTCTAGTAATTGCTACTTCCGGCGTCGATTAGCTGGGGACCCGTCGCTGCTGCACACTTCCGGTCCGTTCAACCCTTTCGATACCAGGATTTGGGTGGCCAAGACAAGGAAGAGGACGGTCCCTTCTTCCAATGCCGGGAAGCTGGGGTGGGAGACGAGAAGAAGCTGGGCTCAAGAACAGAGGAAAATGCAAACTTCATTCGCGGTGGTCTCCAAGTGGCGATACCGCGCCACTCTGGGCGATCTGATTGGTTCGTTTAGGCATGGAAGGCGGGAACAACCAGAAAAGCTGCGCTCTGGTTGGAGTTATGTCCTAATATTAAATTCGAAGAATTTCTTAGTCTCACAATTGGGCAGGGACGGGAAGGGGAGGCAGAGAATGAAAGAGGGTAGTTTAGAGATGCCAGTAAAGAATTTTTGTAAGGCGCTGTACGATGTACACAGTGCTTGCACTTTCTTATCTCATCTACTCCACAAAACAATTCTATAAGTAGATAGTATTATTACCATTTTTCAGATCTGAAAATAGACTCGGCAGTTAATACTTGTTTTTCCATAGTCATAAAGCAAATCTGAGCCTGCAGAATCCAAAGACGAGGAGTCTGAGGAGAAAAGAGAGGGAAGGGGCAGGAAGAAAATAGGAGATAAAGAAAGGAAGAGACAGGAGAAAACAGGACAAACGGATCAGAGCAAGAACAAGGCTTAACATTGGCTGGGATAGATGGTACCTGAAAGTTGTTAGGAGGGTTTGCGCAGGGCGCGAGGAACAGAAGCAAATTAGAGGAGCTATAATGTTTGGAGGGAGGACAAAAATGAAATAGAGTACCTAAACTTAACGCTGTAAATGCTTTGCACACCACTTAATAATGATGGTTGAATGTTTACCATGTGCCAGGCATCAAGCTAAGCATTTTATTGCGTATTTTCACGCTTAATCTTCAAAATCCCACAAGGTAGATATTACTATTCCCATTTTACTTTGAGGAAGCTGAGCCTTACAGATTAAATAACTTGCTTAAAGTACTACAGCTGGTGCACTTGTGCTCTTAACGACAGTTCAACTGTAATGTCCCTAATTGTCAACAAGGAATAAGGATGTACAAGGTTGTAAAGATAAACTAGACAGCTCCTTGAGAGAGGAGCTGGGCCTCCTTCATCTTTGTGCTCTTCTTGCACAGTACAGAGCACAGGGTGCTCAGCTTTGCTGAATGAATAATGAACGGAACACTACATTTTAAACTGATAAATGCTAAAGTATAATTTTTACACCTCCTGCAGTTTCAAGTTCATGCCCACCTTGTGGCCCTTGAGCTGGATGAAAAAGTCTTAATCCTTGGTCTGTTTAGTCTGTTGTTAAGTTGCCTTTCTCTGGACTTTATGTAGTTCTTTACTGTGTATCTCGGGAGTCATGTGCCATTCCCAGGCTCCAATGTCTGAATATTGAAAAGCCACCCCCAAGATCATGATCACTTTCTTCCTAAATCTTTTACTGCAGCTCCTACCAGTCACTTGGCACTGAGGAGACAGAGATGAGTCTCACACACACAGTGCCCTGCCCTAAAGAAACTCACATTCTAGGAGAGATGGGCAACTAAATACGTAGCTGTAGGAGCGTGGAATGAGGACTGTAATAAGAAGCACACAGTAGGTTGGGTGCAGTGGCTGACACCTGTAATCTGGCACTTTCGGAGGCCGAGGCGGGCAGATCATCTGAGGTCAGGAGTTCAAGACCAACCTGACCAACATGGTGAAACCCTGTCTCTACTAAAAATACAAAATAAGCTGGGCATAGTGGTGCATGCCTGTAATCCCTGCTACTTCGGAGGCTGAGGCAGGAGAATCACTTGAACACGGAAGGTGGAGGCTGCAGTGAGCAGAGATTTTGCCTTTGCACTCCACCCTGCACAACAAAAGTGAAACTCCATCTCAAAAAAAAAAAAAAAAAGAAGAAGAAGAAGAAGAAGAAGAAACACAGTTTTCCCTGAGCTCTGGTTACTCCAGAGTAGGTTTGGACAGTCAAAAATTTCCCCTGGAGTGACAGCCTGGGTTGAGATCCAGAAAATAAATTGGAGTTAGCCAGAAGCCATGAGGGGTCAAATCAAATCAAGAAATAAAATGTCTCCAATTCCTCAGAAGCCCCCCTACTAATCATTACCCATTCCTTCCTCCCAAAGGGTAGACCACTTTCTGCCTTCTAATATCATAGATTGGTTTTCCCTGTTTTTGAATTTTATATAAATGGAGTTATAAAGTACGTATTTTTTTGTGCCTGGCTTCCTTTCCTTAACAATATGTTTGTGAGATGTATTCATGTTGTATGTAGTGGCCATTTTTCATTTTTCCTTGCTGTGTAGTATTCTGTTGTACAAACATACCACAATGTATAATGGTGCTGCGATGGATATTTTGTGTATGTATCTTAGTGCACTTGTGCATGAATTTTTGGGAGTATATACCTAGAAGCAGAATTGCTGTGTCATAGGTAACATGTATAATTTAGTAGTTAACACTAGACTGTTGCAAAGTGGCTGTAGCAATTTTTTGTTTTTTTTTGAGACACAATCTCACTCTGTCGCCAGGCTGGAGTGCAGTGGCACAATCTCAGCTCACTGTAACCTCCACCTCGTGGGTTCAAGCGATTCTCCTGCCTCAGCCTCCCGAGTAGCTGGGACTACAGGCGCATGCCACCACACCCAGCTAATTTTTGTATTTTTAATAGAGACAGGGTTTCACCATGTTGGCCAGGATGGTCTCAATCTCTTGACCTTGTGATCTGCCCACCTTGGCCTCCCAAAGTGCTGGGATTACAGGCATGAGCCACCACGCCTGGCCAGTGGCTGTAGCAATTTATGTATGCACCAGCAGCCTGTGAGAATTGCTGTTGCTCTGCTTCCAAGCCAACTCTTAGTATTGCTAGTCTTTTTCATTTAAGGAATCCTGAAGCCTCTATAACAATATCTCAGTAGTAATTTCACTAACAACTAATGACTAATGAAGTTGAATTCTTTTTCCATATGTGTGCCATTTAGATATCCTCTTTGTGATACCTTTTTGTGTTCAAATCTTCTACCTATTTTTCTATTTGGCTGTTTTCTTATTTGTAAAGTTCCTTATATATCCTGGACAGAATATAACACTGGAAAGTTTCTAATTTTAATGTAGTCCAACATATGCATTTTCTCTCTTACAGAACATGTCAGTGTTGGACAGACATTATTGGACATCTCAATATTGCAGCTCTATAATTCTGTTTTGTTTTTATCATATAGATCTGCAATGCATCTAGAACTTATCTTGGTGTATGGTATGAGGTAGGAGCCAAGTTTCATTTTTTTCTATATGGATATACAATTGACCCAGCACCATTGATTGAAAGCATTATCTTTTCCTCACTCCTCTGTTTCACCTCTTTGTCATAAATCAAGTGTCCATATATGTGTTTTCTGGTTTTGGTCTCTCTATTCTGTTTCATTGGTTTCATACATTTATGTCACTGTCACACTACCTCTGTAGCTATAGCATTAGTCTGAACCCAGTAGTATTTTGTTTGCAGATTTCTTGTAGAAAGCAGTTAAGAGATTTGGCGCTACACACAGGGCAGGTTAAGGAGTCTGGGTTCAAATGCTGATCCTTCCATTCCTTATCTGTAAAATCTTGAGCAAGTTAACCTCTCCATAAACTTCAGTTTTGTTTGTATGAGGATGTTATGGGGCTATTTATGCCATAGGGTTGATGAAGTGGCTCCATGAATTGAAAGTGCTTAGTACAGTCTGTCACAGTGTTAAAGCAAACTAAATATGGCCTGAGAAGGGCTTTGTACTTCTATATTTGAGTCCTTGTGGATGAACTATAACCTAGCTTTATAGTCAGACAAATTTGAAAACTTAACTTAATAGTATATACCTGTAACAATAGCTGAATGTTGGCCAATCCCAGCGGCCATACTTCAACAACTCATAGACTGCCGAATGTTCAAATTGCATTCAAATAAGGCAAACACTGAGCTTTAACCAATCTCGCTGTTTCTGTACCTCACTTCCTATTGCTGTACGTTAGTTTACCTTTTTGTCTATAAATTTGTTCTGATCACGAGTCACCCCTGGAGTCTCTGTGAATCTGCTGTGATTCTGGGAGTTGCCCGATTTGCGAATCATTCATTGCTCAATTAAACTCCTTCAAACTTAATTCAGCCAAAGTTTTTCTTTTATCAGATGGTGTCAGGAATGGGATCTAAAGTGGAGCTTCTAGCGACCCCCAGGAGCACTGAGTGAACATGCAAGGTACCTGCAGGATCCACTTGTGTCTATTGATCTCTCACAGCAGCTGGGGATCACAGGTAAGCTCCCTCTCGGATCTCTCTTTCCTTTCCCTTTTTTATCTTTTCTATTACTCAGGGCAACCAGCTTGCCCAGAGATCACGTGTTGAAACCCCTAGTCAGACATTGGATTAAAGATAACGGGGCCCATCTGAGGGCAAATATAAACCTTGCCAGTTTGATATTGAGTGCTAAGCAGAGTGGCTAATGTCTGTGTTTTATCACATGTATTTTGCTCTGGCCGGAACAACAACAAAAAATTTTTCCTTTATGATGCGGCTTGGCCCCCAGTGTGATGGTGTGGCAAGCTGGGTCACTGGGGCCGCTGAGGGAAAGGGAACCCAGAAGGCTGGCATGCCAGCAAAAGAGTAAGAATTTCTTACCAGTCAGATTTTTGGCTTCTCTCTCTCTGTGCAAATGGTTGAATGAATGGTAAAAATCACTGTTTATTTATCTCTTCTCTAAGGTTTTGATTAATGCAAAAAAAATTCTGAGGTTAGTCTTAAACTGATGTATTTGTGCTATGAATTCGTTTTTCTGGGTCAAGGGGTACCTTAGGATAAAACACGGGCTTAGGACCCCACAAGCTCGCTGGTCAATAACAAACTTTCCTGCAGGTCCCTGAAACACAAAAAAAAAACTGGATGGGGTCTCCATCTTGTTTTATGTCCTTGGGAACTTGACCTCGTAACCACGTGGCAGTACTTTCTCTTGGTCTCCACCTTCTAGGGAACAGGGATTTTAGGGTTTATGCCATAGTTAGCTCTAAAAATTATCCTGAGTCATTAAAAGCCTCTGCAAGCTCAAAATTAACTACTCTAGACTCCTTCTGGGAAGGGCAGTAGACTGCTCTGTGCTGTGGCTCACTGGCCTTTCACACTGGCGGTTCCAGTTCCATTCCCTGCTTAGGAAGTAAGTCATTTCTGATTTAATATCTGCATAACCTTCTCTAGTCTCTTCTCCTCCACAGACTATCTTAAATTTTCCTTCCTCGAGCACCTAGGAAGTTACCTTTGGTAAAGTTCAAAAGCCAGAAATATCAGCCATTTGGCCTGGGTAAAATCAGTAATAAGAAATTTAAAAGGACTTTATTAAAGAGTGCTATGCTTAAAAGTCAGGTTAATTAAAAAATGAATATTCAGGCTCTAATGGCCTGGAATCCATGGGAAAAACAGGAGGCACCAGAAACCCTTTTCCTGGCCCTGTTCCTCCAAGGACTCCACCATAAAGCCAATAACCAATTAAGAAACTTAAAAACTGGCAAAAGAAAAATCTTACAACTACTATAGTAATCTTCTTCTGCCTGTCTGTCTAATTATATATGTATTGTGTGTAATGTTTATATAAAAGAGCTCAAATTAATTGGCTTAAACAAAAATAAGCACTTAAATATTTTGAAAGCAAAATAAAAACTGTAATGCCTCTTGGTTCATGTAACTTTAGTAATCTTTGGGAAATAAAAACAACTTTAAATATTATTGATAAAGACATTTTGTCTAAATTATGCAGGTCAGATATTAGCTTTGCTATATGCTTCAAGGTCATAAACTGCTTTGACTTTTGAAAATTGTTCAATTTATTTTGGAGACATTAAATTCTAAATAAGGCCTGGGGATATATGGAATTAGCCATGCCCCCTAGCTATACAAAGGCTATAAAGAAAATAGATTTCATTAAGAAAGGATGTTGTATGGTAAATTCTTGTCCTAAAGTAAAATGACTGGTTGTTTAAAAAGAGGGATGTTTAGGGCAAGTCAGAAAGTCTAAACATGTCACACATAGTCTGTGTAAGTTGTGAAAAAATTTATGAAAAGGAATTCATGCCAGACATGTTGTACAATTTAAGGTGATTAGGCCTCCTAAATGCTTCATAAAATGCCACCATGACTCTTAACTGTACAGCCTGCCTGCTTTATAGCTAGGTAAGGCCTGGGACACCTGTAGTTAGATGCTGGAAAGAGTCGGACCTTTATCTGCATTTCTGTCTGGGTCCTGGGCTCCACACCTAGTACATAATTAAAATCCTTACTTACCAAGGTTTTCACCAAAAGTAAAAGTTGCTAAGAGTTAACATTGTAATATGTAATTGAGAGTACTGAAAAAATAGGTTTACATGCAAGGTGTGTAAGGAGAATGAAATGTGTTTTTTGTAAGAGATTATAAGAAAATACAGGAATGTAAATTTTTGCCTAGGTTAGAGGGTTAAAGGATTGTTTTAAATTAAATAAAGCTAAAGGTTTGAACAAGTTGTGGAAGGTTTATAAAAATTAATTATAGGGGCCAGGCACGGTGGCCCATGCCTGTAATCCCAGCACTTTGGGAGGCTGAGGTGGGTGGATCACCTGAGGTCAGGAGTTCGAGACCAGCCTGGCTAACATGGTGAAATGCCGTTTCTACTAAACATACAAAAAATTAGCCAGGCGTGGTGTTGCACGCCTGTAATCCCAGCTACTGGGGAGGCTGAGGCAGGAGAATCGCTTGAACCTGGGAGGCCGAGGTTGCAGCAAGCCAAGATCACACCATTGCACTCCAGCTTGGGCAGCAAGAGTGAAACTCCATCTCGAAAAAACAAAACAAAACAAAACAAAACAATTAATTATTAGGATTCTATGTGTGAACATATTGGCTAAAGTTAAAATGGCATTATTCAGTTTTTTTTTCCATAAATGGGACATTGGAATAAAAGCACAACAGAGTTTTCTTAGAAGATTGTTCTGCTCTGAGAAAAAAAATAGTAAAGGGTTATAAAAGGTTTATAAAAATCTTACCTTATGGTCAAACTAATTAAAACTGAATAGATTTCTAAAATATTATTAAAAACTAGCTTTAACATTAAAAATACACTAATGGAAACATAAAATTTGGTTCCCTCTTTTAGAAAGGATTTTTATTTAATATTAAAAGATAATGAAAGGTTTTTGTTTACCTTTTAAATAAACAACAAAAAAAAATGGTTGAGGAAGGAAAGAAAGGAGATAGTCAGTTGGCCTCATGCTATCCTCATTGGATCTTGTTTGGAAAGCTGAGTCTCCTTTCTATCAAAATACTGTTTTTTCCTTTAAAATTTTTTAAGTTATCATTTTGGCTAAATGAATGACTTATGGTAACCTAAGATTCTATTTTGTAATATCCAATGTTTTAAACCTTTGGTATTTAACAAACCTTTCAAAATCAAGCTCTAGATTATCATGCTAAATAAGCCAATACTAAAATTGTTTAAATATACAATTTGAATGAACTCCATGGTCTAAGTCAAATTACCTATGATAACCCATTAGCTATCAGTGCTATGCACCTAAATTGGAGAAACAACTGGTATTCAAGAGGACGTAAGTCCCGTGTTAAGCATGGACTCATGAAGAACCAGGATGGCCACCTTGTCCTTCTTGAGTCCTTAAAGCTTTTGTTATTAAACGTTCTGGAAAAGATAAAATAATCCAAATTTAATATATTGATGTGGTGACTTATAAATTGCAGAAATAATTTAAATCCAATGTTTGGTTCCATATTCCTGGAAAGACGATCAAAGCTTCAGATGCGTTTGGCTACCTGATGGGCCATTTAAACATTTATAAAGAGATTTCATTCAATTGTCATTTTCTTTTTTTTTTTTTCTTTTTTCTTTTTTTTTTTTTTGAGACGGAGTCTCGCTCTGTCGCCCAGGCGGGACTGCGGACTGCAGTGGCGCAATCTCGGCTCACTGCAAGCTCCGCTTCCCGGGTTCACGCCATTCTCCTGCCTCAGCCTCCCGAGTAGCTGGGACTACAGGCGCCCGCCACCGCGCCTGGCTAATTTTTTTTGTATTTTTAGTAGAGACGGGGTTTCACCTTGTTAGCCAGGATGGTCTCGATCTCCTGACCTCATGATCCACCCGCCTCGGCCTCCCAAAGTGCTGGGATTACAGGCGTGAGCCACCGCGCCCGGCCTGAATTGTCATTTTCAATGCATGTTTTCTGGTTGTATAAAAGCTTTCCCATGCAATAGGGCTGATGTTATAACAGTAGATTATAGTGTATTTTCACCAGACAAAGAAAACTTTTTATGATTCACTGAGGACAATCCCTTCACAATCTAGAACCTGCAGATTGGATCGTCTGAGAACACCAGAGAAAGAGAAAGACTGTCCTTGCCATCCACACTACAGCAAAACTTTGGAGCTTTAAACCTTGGGTTCATAATCTCACAGCTGAGAAGGGTCCCTCCACACTCCTGGAACTGTACATCCATTGGAACCCTTAAGGTAAAACTAACCAGAAAAGTTTCTCCCCAGAAGATGGCATCCTTGATTAGAATAGCTTTTCCCAAGATCATAGATCAAAACTTCTACTATCACAAGACTCTTATCTTTGAATATTTTTTCCTTGTTTATGCCTCTATGAACAATAGAAATTAAAAGTGGGTCTATTATATGCACTTATAGGGTATACTTTTATTTGTGAAGGATTTTGCAGCCAGCCTTAAACATGAATAACCTTATATTTCAATAGATAAAAGATGAAGGCCCAATGTAGGTAACAAACTTTAGTGGTACATACATTGCCTCATAATCAGTCAAAACTCCTCTTAACCCACATCATGGATTAAAGAGAACATTGACAAGAGGCCTTCACTCTTCTAGAAAGACATCCATTTGTTAGGTCCTTTTTCCATGGTTTAGAATAAAAGAGGCAATAATTTGAAATGTCTCCCTCATAATAGGCTCTACAGCAAATTCTACTTTAAAGGCTATCGTTACACAACAGACTTTAAATTCTCCTTTGAAAATTATACTAAGTAATAGAATTGGCTAAACAGAAAAGTACCTGTGCAGCTGTTGACACCTGTGGCCTATGGAGAAATACAGCAAATGTAAATTATAAACAATTCTGGCCGGGCGTGATGGCTGACACCCGTAACCTCAGCACTTTGGGAGGCAGAGGTAGGCGGATCCCCTGAGGTCAGGAGTTTGAGAGCAGCCTGGCCAACATGGCAAAACCCTGTCTCTACTAAAAATATGAAAATTAGCCTGGCGTGGTGGCAGGTGCCTGTAATCTCAGCTACTCAATAGGCTGAGGCGGGAGAGTCACTTGAACCTAGGAGGTGGAGGTTGTAGTGAGCTGAGATCGCCGCTGCATTCCAGCCTTGGTGACAGAGCAAGACTCCCTCTCACAAAATAAATACAATAAAAATAAATATCCAGTTGTAGGGGATTAGTGAAAAGACCACTTAGTCAAGCAAGGAGACTCTTCATCTAACTCATTCTTCAATCTATTTAATTTTAGGTGGTTTGGCTTATGGGGACCCTGGGTAAGGAGCATACTCCAAACTCTTGCTATTATCCGCCCGATAATGATAATAATAGTCTCCCTGGTGCACTGTATTCTCTCAAAGATTTTAAATGCTTGCATGCAGCCATCTCTACAACGTCAAATGATCTCTTTTCAACTGGAATAACAAAAACTGAAAGAAATGTGTGACCATGAAGGCACCGTAACCTATGAATGACATGCTGAGACCAGAAACCCAAAATGATGTAACTGAGAGTGGCGCTAAGGCCCTAAGTTCTGGTCACGCTGTCACCTAAGTAAGAACCTGGCCAAAAGTGAGGAATTTTTTTTTAAACAAAATCATGGGAGGCCATTATTTTGGACTGAGCTCATGCACTAGGCACCAACAAACCAAACCAAACTAAAATGGAGTCACTCATGCTAAATGTGACATAATCAAACCAAGGCTTTAAAAAAACACAAAATGCTAGAACAGACCAGGTTTTTTCTCCTGTAAACAGATGTTTCAGAATAAGGAGGTATCCTCTACTCAGCCCTTATTCTCTTCCTGCAAAACCCACTGTTCTACTGTTTCCTAGTGAGTTTCAAAACCATACAGGTACACTTATGACAGCGATAATAACATCAATGACCAAGGTTTTGGTCAATCTCTCAAAATTGAGAAAATGACCAAAACGGGGGAATTGTTAAGGCAAACTAAATATGGCCTGAGAAGGACTCTGTCCTTCTATATTTGAGTCCTTGTGGATGAACTGTAACATAGCTTAATAGTCAAACAAAATTGAAAACCTAACTTAATAGTATACACCTGTAACAATAACTGAGTGGTGGCCAATCCCAGCGGCCATACTTCAACCACTCACAGCCTGCTGAATGTTCAATCTGCGTTCAAATCAGGCAAACACCGAGCTGTAACCAACCTCACTGTTTCTGTACCTTACTTCCGATTCCTGTGCCTCACTTTGCCTTTTTTATCTATAAATTTGTTCTGACCATGAGGCACCCTGGGAGTCTGTGAATCTGCTGTGATTCTGGGGGTTGCCTGATTCGTGAATCTTCCATTGCTCAATTAAACTCCTTTATACTTAATTCGGCTTAAGTTTTTCTTTTATCAACAGAGTAAGCTCTCACTAATGAGTGGGCTGAGTGAAAACTGGAGGGATTTGTTCGTCTTTCTCAAGAGTAGTAGCTTCCAGAAGGAAGGGGCTGCTCTTCATTTACATTTCCCTTCCACTCCCATCCCTTAATGCCTAACATGCTGCCTGGCACATAGTAGGGGACTCAGTAAATGCTTGTTCTATGGATCAGTTCAGCTATGAAGTCTGTGTGAGCCAGTCCAGGTAAATTAGGAAGACAAGGATTTAGGACTGGGGCGAAAAGAGCCAGAACGGAAGAAGGACGCCAGGGGGAGCAAGAACCTACACTCTCCAGATATCGCGAGAGGTCCCGCGCTCGCCACGACACTGAGTGTTCTGTTTTGGGCGGAAGCGCTGGACGAGAGGAGGAATTACTCTAGGGTACAAGGCCTCGCCCAGGAGTGGGGGGTTGCTTCCGGGTCGCGCTCCCGGAAACAGGAAGTTGCCCATCCTCCTCGCCCGGCGGCAGCTGTCCCCGAGGCGGGAGGAGCCCGAGGGGCGCGAGCCCCGCATGTGAGTGACTGGGGCCCGAGGCTGGGTGGGGGGAGGCCGCCCTGTGACAGCCTCGCCGCGCCCGTCTCTGACATCCTCGCGCAGCCGCTTCTCGCCGCTGCTACCACCCTCTATCCCAGCGCGGATCCCTTTTCTCAGTCTCTCCAGTTTTGTAGACTGACAGCATCCCCTGGCAGCTCCCCCGGGGTCGACTCCCTTAAGACATCTGTCACTTTCTTTGACTCCGCCGGGGAGAGCAAAACGAGGTGGACCTTGCTTGAACTTGGTTCTCAGGCATCACAGCAGTGTCCATAACTTGAGCGTTGCTAATGAAGTCCAGATTTCTGCCCTTTTGACGGAATTTTTAAGAAATTAAGAGTAGATTCCCCACCCCCTTCTGAAAGATCTTTTTCTAATAATCGTTAGGGGGCAATAATTTTTTTTCTTTAAATGTGTACTTGGTATGTGATAAACCTGGCATCTTGGATTTCAGAAAGAAATATGACTTGGTTTCTTGACACAAGTAAAATAGTTGTTTGTAATCACCTCTTAGTAGAAGGAAATTTGCCTGCGTCGTGTTTTGTAGTATTTTAAGACTGTTAACCGTGCAGGCCACACTTTCTAGTCTCAGAGCCCTCATAGCCTTTGTATTCGCAAATATGTTTCTTTTAAAGTATTTAGTCATAAATCACTTTATAATAGAGACTACTTCCAGATACTTAGTATTCTGACTTTTCTGATGGCTCATTTGGTAGTTCCTGTGGTGGGATCTTCTATAGACGTCTCTCCCTTAATAAATTCGTTCATTTGAATTTGGGTTGTCAAAATTTCCCTCTAGGGAATAACATGCCTTTAAAATAATAACTAATAAATTCAATTCTGCTACATTGAAGTTTTGACTAAAGGTTCATGTAGCCCAACTTGCATACCAGAAAGAGGTCCTGTTTCTGTCAGACCTTTTCTGCCTTGGACTGAGGCATTTTTCAAGACCTGCTTTGAATACCTGTTCCTCCACAGCTACTCCACACACCAGAAACAATGTCCAAATGCTAGATTCCTAACCTGCTAACCTTAAACCCTCATCACATTGTTGCTACCTCTGCGTTTTTTTGTTTTTTTTTTTTTGAGACGGAGTCTCACACTGTCGCCCAGGCTGGAGTGCAGTGGCGTGATCTCTGCTCACTGCAAGCTCCGCCTCCCCGGTTCACACCATTCTCCTGCCTCAGGCTCCCGACCTCTGCATTTTTAAAAATGAATAAAATAATAAAACATAAAATGAATAAACCATGAGCCACGAGTTACATTCAATTAGTTCGGAATGATAATTTTAGGTCCTTTCTATAAATTTGTTCAACATTGATCTGATTCCACATCTGAGGTGAATTCCCACGTCTGTTCTTAGTTTTTTGTGTTTTCTCCATTTATCTCTGCTTTCAAGAAACACTATTTAGGGTGGGAGGTAGACAGGAAAATAGATGTAATGCCAAGCCCTAGAGGTGCATAGGACAAAAACTGAGGTCAGAGTCTTAAAGAGTTCACTTATTGGACAAAGCACTGGAGACTAGGCTTTTTAGGCAGAGGAAATTGTGTATGCAAAAGCAAAAAGATGTGAAATAGTATGACAGTGTAGAATGTGAAGAAGGATTGATGGGAAATGAAACTGAACAGGTAGGCAGTGACCAGATCATAAAGGGCCATGGTAAGTAATTTGGACTTTATCTTTTAAAAAAGACAGGAATCTCATTCCATCACCCAGGTTGGAGTACAGTGGTGCTATTACGGTTCACTGCAGCCTCGAACTCCTGGGCTCAAGCTACCCCTCACCTCTGCTTCCCAAGTAGCTGGGACTACAGGCAGGCACCACCACACTCGGCCAATTTTTATTTTTATTTTTTTTGTAGATACAGGGTCTTGCTATGTTACCCAGGCTGGTCTTGGAAGTCCTGGGCTCAAGCAGTCCTCCCACCTCAGCCTCCCAGTGTTGGGATTACAGGCATGAACCACCATGCTTGACTTAGGACTTTATCTTAAAATGATTGTTATTAGGTATTTAATTTGTCTGGCTATTGGAACAAATGTGTTACATCATTTTATAATTCTCTGAAATAAAACATTGTGGGGTAGAAATAATTATCCCCATTTTATACATGAAAACTGAGGCTTAGAGAGGATGAGTAGTGTCTCATGGCCACACAGTAAGTGGTAAAATCTAGAATTTGCATCCAGCTTTTTCCAACTCCAGTATCTGTGTTCTTAGTCACCATGCTAAACTGCTCCTGCAGAGGATGGGGAGTCTTGGAAGGTGCTTAGCATGAGCCAATTTGTGTTTCAAAAAAATAAGTGGCCGAGTGCAGCGGCTCACGCTTGTAATCCTAGCACTTTGGGAGGCTAAGGTGGGTGGATCACTTGAGGTCAGGAGTTCAAGACCAGCCTGGCCAACATGGTGAAACCCATTTTTTACCAGAAAAATACAAAAATTAGCTGAGTGTGGTGGCGCGTGCCTGTACTCCCAGCTACTCCAGAGGCTGAGGCACGAGAATCTCTTGAAGCCAGGAGACAGAGGTTGCAGTGAGCTGAGATCATGTCACTGCACTCCAGCCTGAGCGAAGAGTGAGACCCTGTCTCAGAAAATAAAAATAAAAAACTGGACAAGGTAGAGAATGGATTGGGGAAGAGGAGAACTGGAAGTATAGAGATTAACTACATCTTTGTGATGGTCCATAGGAGAGATGTTGAAGACCTTAACTGTGCTGTTAATGTAGAGAGGAAGGGATGAATGTGAGAATTATATAGGAGGCTGAATCAAGAGGACTTAGTGATAGTTTCATTGGTGGGAGTGAGGTAGGAGGAGAATAGTTTTTAAATTTGGAGGATTAGTGTTTCCATTAAGAAAAGAGGTGCAGTGGGAGGAATGAGTTGAAGGGGAAAACAGTAAGTTGGGTTATAGACACATTACATACAGGGAGCTATGGGAAACTTGGATCACCGTGTCTGGTAGGCAGGTAGATAAATGGGTCTTGAACCCTAGAGAGAGTTGTAGACTGGAGAAGAGATTTGGGAATCACCAATAGCTGGTGGTCAAAGTGTTGGAGGGAATAAGAAGGTCAAGGATAACTGGTGGATACCAGCAGAGAACGAGAGAATTATGTTAAGGTTTGAGTACACTTGAGGGAGATAGATAATGGGGTAGCAACAGCAGCTGCTGCAGAGAGGTCAGATAAGGTAATAACTGAAAAAAACGTCCTTCGAACTTGGCGTTTAGAAAGCCATTTGTGGCCTCAGTGAAAGCAATGTCGGTGGAGTGAGGAGGCAGAAATATGATTTCAACAGGTTAATAAATGAATGGAAACCTGAGAAACAAGAAAGTGTGTTACTTTCTCCCCCCAACCCCCAAAGGAGCTTTCCTCTGAAGGGAGGGAGGGAGAGAGTACCAGAAACTTAGAAAGGAACTATTATGGCATTTTTCTGATAGTAGAAACTGGAAAGGGTGAGGATGGAAGCAAGTAGAGGTAAGCTTAAAAATGTGAAGACTTCTTCAAGTATGTCAATGTCCTAAAAGACCAAAAAACAAAAACAAAAAAAAAAAGAAAAACCACACACTGGGGACTTGTTCTGAAGTTAAGTAGATTAAAGAGAGGCATGGCAGCCAAATTCAATGTGTGGTCATTGGTTGGATCCTGGATTTTTAAATAGCTATATGATCTTTTTAAAAAAATTTGATAGTTAAGGAAACTTGACTATAGACTGAATATTAGGTAATATTAAGAGATTACTCATTTTAATGGGTATGGCAATAATGCCAATGGTTGTGTGTAGAATAACGTCGTTATTCTTAGGAGATGCATGTTGAAATATTTAGAAATGATTTTATAATGTGTTGCAAATAACTTTCAAGTAGTTCTGGTAAAAACAGAAAGAAAATATAGCCAAATGTAAACAACTGGTAAATCTAAATGAAGGATATCCAGGTGTTCATTGTACTATTTTTGTACAAAAAGCTTTACACATTTAATGTGTACAGCTTGATGAATTTGGACATAAGTATGCCCTTGTGAAACCATCACCATGATCCATGCCATCAACCTATCCATCACCTTCAAGTTTCCTCCTGCCTTCTTACTTATTATTACTATTAGCAATAAGAACACTTAACATAAGACCTACCTTCTTAGCATATTTTTAAATATACAATACAGTATTGTTAACTCTGGGCACTGTGCTGTATAGTAGGTCTCTAGGAGTTATTCATCTTGTATAACTGAAACTTTGTATTCTTTGCCCAGTACCTCCCTGTTTCCCCCTGCCTGCAGCCTCCTGCAACCACCATTCTGTTCTTTGCTTCTATGAGTTTAGCTATTTTAGATTAATCGCACAAGTGGTATCATGTAGTATTTATCTTTCTGTGTCTGGCTTATTTCACTTAGCATAATGTCCTCCAGGTCCATCCGTATTGTTACAAATAGCAGGATTTCTTTCTTTTTTAAGGCTGAATAATATTCCATTGTATGTATATACTACATTTAAAAAAAAAATTTTATTCTTTTGACACAGAGTCTCAGTCTGTTGCTCAGGCTGGGGTGCCATGATGTGATCTCTGCTCACTGCAACCTCCACCTCCCAGGTTCAAGTGATTCTCATGCCTCAGCCTCCCGAGTAGCTGGGATTATAGGCATGCGTCACCATGCCTGGCTAATTTTTGTATTTTTAGTAGAGACAGGGTTTTGCTATGTTATGTTGGCCAGGCTGATCTCCAGCTCCTGGCCCCAAGTGATCCACCCGCCTCAACCTCCCAAAGTTTTGGGATTACAAGTGTGAGCCACTGTGCCCTGCCTGTACCTTGATTGTAAATTTTAAGCATTTATTGTAGTTTTAAGTTATTACTCTTTTAAATCGTATTAATCATTTCAATGTTTTATCAGTTATTTTTCCTTTTAATTGATGTTTGTTTCTTTGTAGTGGTTCTTATTATAATCTAAGAAGCACTTTTTCTTTTTATTATTATTATACTTTAAGTTTTAGGGTACATGTGCACAACGTGTAGGTTTGTTACATATGTATATGTGTGCCATGTTGGTGTGCTGCACCTATTAACTCGTCATTTACATTAGGTATATCTCCTAATGCTATCCCTCCCCACTCCCCTACCCCACTACAGGCCCCAGTGTGTGATGTTGCCCTTCCTGTGTCCAAGTGTTCTCATTATTCAATTCCCACCTATGAGTGAGAACATACGGTGTTTGGTTTTCTGTCCTTGCGATAGTTTGCTCAAAATGATGGTTTCCAGCTTCATCCATGTCCCTATAAAGGACATGAACTCATCCTTTTTTGTGGCTGCATAGTATTCCATGGTGTATATGTGCCACATTTTCTTAATCCAGTCTATCATTGATGGACATTTGGGTTGGTTCCAAGTCTTTGCTATTTGTGAATAGTGCCACAATAAACATATGTGTGCATGTGTCTTTATAGCAGCATGATTTATAATCCTTTGGGTATATACCCAGTAATGGGATGGCTGGGTCAAATGGTATTTCTAGTTCTAGATCCTTGAGGAATCACCACACTGTCTTCCACAATGGTTGAAGGAGCACTTTTTCTTTACTAGAACATATATTTAATTAATGGGATCACTGGATAAAATAGAATGGAATATATTCATAACACTAAAGAATGGATACCATACTTCATGGGTAGTGTAATATTAAAGAGCCAAGTAGAGAAAAAAGAAAATTTAATTTACTCTGGATATAGCTCCTAGTGTTGAAGATTGGGATGTATCTTGATGGACTTTTGAAACTTTCTTTTGAACTGTACTGTTTCCCCTTTTGTGCTTTAACTAGATGAATCAGTTTTCTATCCTAGAGTTACCTCGCTGGCATAGCTCTTCAGAAAACAGAACGTCCAGGGTAATGGCATATCAGTGTTCAGGACTTACTTATCTCTATAGAGGAATTAGTTCTCTGTTAAACAGGGCAAAAGAGAAGTTTACATTTCTCTTAACTTCTTTTCTGCTTTAAAGAAACATTTGTATTGGTAAGTTCTATCAGAGTTTTTCTGTCAGATATGCCTCTACCCTGTTTCTTCATAGGCAGAGACCCAGAAGGAATTGTGGAGAACATCTCATCAGAGCTCTCAGTTGTCTCCTCCTATTTCTGAAGTACTCCAGAAGTGAAACAACTCCCTGGCTTACCTCCGACAGGCCTCTCTTGAAAGCAAGGTTTCTTGACCTCGTTTTGAGGAGGGGTAGGAGGAGGTTCTCCTGTGCATTGCAGGATGTTTAGTCTTTACCCACCAGATGCTAATAGTACCCCTCCAGTTTGTTGATTTTTAATTTTTTTAAAAGAGCTGGAGCCTCCCTGTGTTGCCCAGCCGGGAGTGCAGTTGCTGTTCACAGGCGTGATCGTAACTCACTGAGCCTCTAACTTCTGGCCTCAAGTGATCCTCCTGCCTCAGCCTCCCGAGTAGCTGGAACTATAGGCATGTGCTGCTGTGCCCAACTCCTGTCCAGTTTTGATAATCAAAAATGTCTTCAGACATTGCCAAATGTCCCCTTTGGAGCAGAATTACCCTGAGAACTATTGTTGTAAAGTAGTGTCTCTTAATTGGGGGTGTGTGCCTTTAATCAGCAGAGAAGAGGCTTGAAAGCGTACACACCTGAGCTCCACTCCTAACAGTTCTGGCAACTTAGCATATCCGAGGTGGTGCATGATACTTTGATCCTAATAACTCCACTAGTGATCCTGCCTGTGCCCTTGCAGGTCTATGCCACTGTTAGAATCAGGCTAACTCTTCAGAACTTCCCCCTGTAGCAAAGCTCACTTTGGCCAGAGTTGGAACTACTTTCTGCAGGTAAGTGGATTGCCATCAAGCCTCAGCCGATTTCACTCAATCCTCTCATGCTTGATGCATAGTAATGACCTTATGTTTGAATTTTTTTTTTTTTTTGAGACGGAGTCTCGCTCTGTCGCCCAGTCTGGAGTGCAGTGGGGCAATCTCTGCTCACTGCAAGCTCTGTCTCCTGGGGTCACGCCATTCTCCTGCCTCAGCCTCCCAAGTAGCTGGGATTACAGGCCTCCGCCACCGCGCCCGGCTAATTTTTTGTATTTTTAGTAGAGACGGGGTTTCACTGTGTTAGCCAGGATGGTCTTGATCTCCTGACCTCGTGATCTGCCCGCCTCGGCCTCCCAAAGTGCTGGGATTACAGGCGTGAGCCACCGCGCCCGGCCTTGATTTTTTTTTTTTTAAGGGATGAGTTTTTTTGTTCTTGTTTAATTACCATCGTATCCAACCAAATCCCAATAGTGTCCCTCTAGCAAGACAATAAAAAATGTCTCCAGGCATCCCTGGGGGCAGAATCTTTTCCAGTTTAGGACGACTGATATAACCAAAGCCAAAAAGAGGGCTTATCACAATCCACAGGTATTCTTAGAAACGTCACTAAGTTGCTATTAACTACCTTTCTGATAACTTGAGAAATGTGTCATAATCTCTCGGAAGAAGGATGCATGGCTTGCAAAAATATATTCAGTGTTTTAATATCATTTTAACTTGAATTACCCAACAAGAAAAGAAACGTATTTTTTTGTGTGTGATACAAACTGGGAGTTTAATAAGATTTTTATGTGTATCAAAAAGGCTTACAGGCCAGGCGCGGTGGTTCATGCCTGTAATCCCAGCACTTGGGAGTCCAAGGTGAGTGGATCACTTTAGGCCAGGAGTTTGAGACCAGCCTAGCCAATATGGTGAAACCCTGTCTCTACTAAAAATACAAAAATTAGCTGGGTATGGTGGCATGTGCCATTTTTTATTGTCTTGCTAGAGGGACACTGTTGGCATTTGGTTGGATATGATAGTAATTAAACAACAAAAAATATCATCCTTTAATCCCAGCC
The DNA here is from genome assembly GCF_000001405.40 of Homo sapiens. Classification (NCBI taxonomy): domain Eukaryota; kingdom Metazoa; phylum Chordata; class Mammalia; order Primates; family Hominidae; genus Homo; species Homo sapiens. The sequence goes on from NC_000006.12 coordinate 36,893,900, forward strand.
TGTAATTCCAGCTGCTCAGGAGGCTGAGGCATGAGAATCGCTTGAACCCGGGAGGCGGAGCTTTCAGTGAGCCAAGATTGCACCACTGTGCTCCAGCCTGGGCAACACAGCGAGACTCTGTCTCAAAAAAAAAAAAAAAGGAAAAAAAGGAAAAAAAAAAGACTTGAGGAGGCTTACAAAGGTTGCAAAACAGCCATCAAAAATAATGATGATTAATCCTGTTTTCCTCACCTGTACTTTTGTCCCCTTCAGGATTCTCCTACCGGCACACCGTGTTCTCTTCTGTGTGTGATGTTCTCTTCTGCCTCAGGGATACTTGCTTGTGACCCCACCTCCCAGCATCCACACTAGTTTTTCACTGGAATTTGTTTCTAGCAGTCCTTTCTGGATCCTTTCCATTCTGGTCCTCTACTGAGTTTTAATGGGTTTTGACTGGGTATTGTTAGATAATGAATTGTAACATATTTAAATGAATATTATTCCTACTTGCTTTCATAGAATGTCTTTGTTAGTTTAAACAGGAAAATGGCATCTCAGAATCACTGATCACAAAACCAAGATGTGAAAAATGTTGTAATAAGTTATCCCTTTACTCTATTTGCAGGAATCATTGTAGTCAATCATTTTCCAGTTCTCAGCCGCTCAGTTGTGATCAAGGGACACGTGGTTTCCGAACTGCCAGCTCAGAATAGGAAAATAACTTGGTAAGGGAGGCAGCATGCAACAACCCTGAAGTCAGGACACTTGGGTTCACATCCTGGCAAGTTATGAAACCTTTCTGAGCCTTGAACATGTATGAAATGGGATCGATCACAGCTACCTTATGGGATCACAGTGGTGATTCACTGAGATAATATTTCCAGAGTGTTTAGCAAGGCACCTGGCATATAGGGTGGGAACAGGAATAGGAGTGCAATTGAACATGAGTCTTCAGTTTCTAATGAATTGAATTTTTCTCCTTCCTGAAGTGTTCATAGATTCTTAGAATTTTAGAGCGAGACTCTAAAATTTGTAGTCCAATCCTCTTATTTTTTGGATGCAGAAGTAGACCAAGTAATTTAACCGAAATCATCTCACTAGCAATTGGCAAAGCTTGTCTCCAGGTTCAATGCTGTTTCATTTTTCCAGCTGTAATATTTGAATACAACTCTATAGAGAACCAAAAAGTCATTGGCATGGCAAATCATGCCTTGCTTCTTCCCTATGGTGCCATGGTCATGCATTGCTGTACATCTCTGACTCATTTTGTGCCCAGTGATGTTCCTTAGAAGTGACTGTGAGAATTTTGTGATTACAAAATTGATACAGGAAAAGTTTGGGAAATATGAAAGTCACAAAGAAAATAAAAACCAGCTGTGATCTCATTTTCCAGAGATCATCTACTCCTGAATTATTTTTAATTGGAAATGCTACATCTTAATTTCTGGGGGTTTTTTTGGTGTTATTGTTAGTATGGCTCTTAATGCTTTGTAATCCATCCTCCTGGCTGCTAATCAAAAATGGCTTAGTGAAAAGAATGTGGGGTCGAAATGAGGCTCAGGTGACAACCGACTGGGTGGTCTCAGATAAGTCACTTCCCATCTGGAAATCTACTTTATATCTCTATAGATTTGCCTATTCCTTGCAGGTTTGTTAAAAAGGTATTAAGAAAAAAAAGATGTGTCTATTCCTGACTTCTCATCTAAATGCAGCTATATAATCTGTAGTTTTTCGTGACTGTCTTCTTTCACCTAGCATAATGTTTTCAAGGTTCATCCATATTGTATCATGTATCAGTACTGCATTCCTTTTTATCGTCCAGTGATTTTGCATTATATGGCTCTACCACATTGTGATTATCCTTTCATCAGTTCATGGACATTTGGATTACTTCCATTTGGGGGCTGTTATGAATAATGTTGCTGTTCACATTTGTGCACAAGTTTTTGTGTGGACATATGTTTTCATTTGTCTTAGGCACATACCTAGAAGTAGAATTGCTGGGTCATATGGTAACTGTGTTTAACTCTTTGCGGAACTGCCAGGCTGTTTTCCATAGTGGCTGTACCATTTTATGTTTCAATTCCTCCATGTCCTTACCAACACTTTTTGTCTGACTTCTTGATTGTAGCTATCCCAGTGGATGTGAAATGATATCTCACTGTGATTTTGATCTGCATTTCTCTGATGGTTAATAATGTTGAGTATCTTTTTGTGTGTTTATTGGTCCTTTGTATATCTTTTTTTGAGATGGAGTCTCACTCTGTCACCCAGGCTGGAGTGCAGTGGTGTAATCTTGGCTCATTGCAACCTCTGCCTCCCAGATTCAAGTGATTCTTCTGCCTCAGCCTCCCAGATAGCTGGGATTACAGGTGCCTGCCACCACACCCGGCTAATTTTTGTATTTTTAGTAGAGACAGGGTTTCACCATGTTGACCAGGCTGATCTCGAACTCCTGACCTCAAGTGATCTGCCACCTTGGCCTTCCAAAGCGCTGGGATTACAGACGTGAGCCACTGCACCCAGTCCATTTGTATATCTTTTCTGGAGAAATGGCTATTCAAATCCTTTGTCTATTTTTTTATTTGGTTGTCTTTTTATTACTGATTTGTAATAATTCTTGATGTATTCTATATAGACCACCCCCTTATCAGATATATAATTTGCAAAAATTTTCTCCCATTCTGTGGCTTGTCATTTTACTTTCTTGATGGTATTGAGACACAGAATTTTTGAGGTTTTTCCCCTCCTCTTGTCTTCTACAAAAAGTTTTTAATTTTGATGAAGTCCAATTTATTTTTTCTTTTGCTACTTGTTCTTTTGGTATCATATCTAAGAAACCATTGCCGAATCCCAGAATCATGAAGCCTCCCTCTCTGTGTTTTCTTCGAAGTTTTATCATTTTAGCTTATAAATTTAGGTATTTGATCCATTTTGAGTTAATTTTTGTGTATAGTATAAAGAAAGGGACAGGCATGGTGGCTCACACCTGTAATCCCAGCACTTTGGGAGGCTGAGGCAGGCGAATTGCCTGAGGTCAGGAGTTCGAGACCAGCCTGGCCAACATGGTGAAACCCCGTCTCTACTAAAAATCCAAAAAAATTTGCTGGGCGTGGTGGTGGGTACCTGTAATCCCGCTACTTGGGAGGCTGAGGCAGGAGAATCGCTTGAACTCGGGAGGCGGAAGTGGCAGTGAGCCAAGATCGCGCCACTGCACTCCAGCCTGGGCAACCAGAGCAAGACTCTGTCTCAAAAAAAAAAAAAAAAAAAAAAGAAAAGAAAGAAAGGTCCAACTTCATTTTCTCATTTGTGGATATCCAGTGGTCCTAGCATCATGTATTGAAAATAATACATTAAAAATTATATAGCTGTCCCTTGGTATATGTAGGGTATTCGTTCCAGAATCTCCATATACACCCAAATCCTTGCATATTCAAGTTTCACAGTTGATTCTTCAGAACCTGTTTATACAAAAAATCATCCCTCTGTATATGTATATGCAGTTTTTGCACCCTGAAAATACTGTATTTTCAATCCTGGGTTGGTAGAAAAAAATCAGCTTTTAAGTGTATCCACATAGTTCAAACCCATGTTGTTCAAGTCTCAACTGTAGTTTGTACTGTCTTTTTATCTGAATGTGGGGGGTATAGTGTGGTGGGCTCTTCTCTCATTCCCCCAGTTCCTGGAAGTCTAGATTGCATGCCTTTTAATCCACCATTAGAAGTCTTCTGATTCTGATTTAATTGCTCTGAGTTGATGCCCAGGTATGAGCATTTATGAAACGCTCTCTAGGTGATTCTAATGTGCAAGCCAGGTTAAGACCTAATGAACTAAACACTTAATAGTCGTAAAGAGGACCAAACAGGAGTGATTGGGAGGCACACTGCTGGAAGAGGAGGTGTGCTGGCGTGCGCTGGGTTGTGTTGTAACAACATGACTATGTCCTCCACCCTACAGGTGGCAGCATCTCCTTACTGAGAGAATACACGTACTATGTCAGTACTTTTTGGGGCTAGAAGTACTGTAGGAATGAAGTATGCAAAATAAAAGGACCCTCTGTATTGAAAATAAATATATAAATAAATAAAGCCCAGTAGAAGAGAGCACAAACCCGAAGAAGCACTCTTCTTCCTCCTGTAAATGAAGAAAAATATTATTGTTCTGTAACTTAAACACCTTTTTAAATAGCCATTTAATTATTTTATCTTATTTTATTTCTCTAGAGATGGGATCTCGTTCTGTCTCCCAGGCTGGAGTGCAGTGGTATGATCATAGCTCACTGCAGCCTCAAACTCCTGGGCTCAAGCAGTCCTCCCACCTCAGCTTCCCAGGTAGCTGGGACTACAGGTGTGTGCCACCAGGCCAAGCTGATTTTTAAAATTTGTTTTTCTTTTCTTTTCTTTTCTTTTTTTTTTTTTGAGATGGAGTTTCGCTCTTGTTGCCCAGGCTGGAGTGCAATGGCGTGATCTCGGCTCACCACAACCTCTGCCTCCCGAGTTCAAGAGATTCTCCTGCCTCAGCCGCCCGAGTAGCTGGGATTACAGGCACCCGCCACCATGCCAGGCTAATTTAGTATTTTTAGTAGAGGCGGGGTTTCTCCGTGTTGGTCAGGCTGGTCTTAAACGCCGGACCTCAGGTGATCCGCCTGCCTCAGCCTCCCGAAGTGCTGGGATTACAGGCACGAGCTATTGCGTCCAGCCTTGGAACTATTTAATTTCATTTTACAAATGATACAGAGAGAACTCTACTTTGCCCCATTAGTTTTTACCTTTTGTTCTCTGGGCATGATGAAACAATCTGTCTTTAAAATAACTATAGGAACACAAATTGAATTTTTAAATTAGTTAAAAATCTTAGGTATTTTAAGTATATAAAATACAAATAAAATGCCCTTTATTTTCTAAAATTGTATTTGTAGAAAAGCATGAGGACTCTGGTTGCTCCAGAAGAAATTAAAAAAAAGAAGAAGAAAGAAAAGTGTGAGGACTGCAAGCCACATGCCATGGTTTTTGTGTTGTCTGAAATCTTTGCTCTGCCAAGAACAAAGCTTATCAGCCTGTTGCTCTCAGTAAATCACCTTCAGTAATCTTCAGTGATCAGTTCTTCCTCTTGTGTTGAACACAAATGTTCAACAACAGCGTTAAACAACACTGTGCATAATCCATTTTTTTTTTATTTTAAGGAATCTCCAGTAGCAGATCTCCCATCATTGGTGTCAGAAATCTTTTTTGGATGTCATTAGTGCTTCAGAGTCCCATTAGGATATATTGTGCTCTAGACCAGTGCTCCTCAGTTTGCACTAGTTTGGGAACTAGTGCAGGTCTGTAAACTGTTCCTGGCCCACAGTTAACGAATATTTTAAAACTTGTATGGCAATTTGACATTGTCTCTGTGTATTCATTGTGTTTCATGAAAGTATTGGTCTGTAGAGGATTGAGGAAAGCACAAAACTGGTCCTTCTCTACAGATGGTCAAGTAGCTTTGAAGAGGAAGTACCTAAAGAAACCACCTTTCTTTTTACATTTATTTTCTCTCCGTCTCTCTCAGGGATTTTATATTGGAAGACATGGATCTTGCTGCCAACGAGATCAGCATTTATGACAAACTTTCAGAGACTGTTGATTTGGTGAGACAGACCGGCCATCAGTGTGGCATGTCAGAGAAGGCAATTGAAAAATTTATCAGACAGCTGCTGGAAAAGAATGAACCTCAGAGACCCCCCCCGCAGTATCCTCTCCTTATAGTTGTGTATAAGGTAAAATGTTTCCTGAGTTGGTAATTGCTTCAACAGAACACAAACTGTTCAACATTCTTCACAAATGCTATTGTTGACTAATCCCACCACTGAGCATTGGTTTTTCCGTGAATAAATTGGCCTTTGCTCTTGTTACCATGTGTTACTAGGAAATTTGACTGTGTTGTTAAAGGTCCTAGATGAAAGCTGCATATTTACAGTTAAATTATATTTGTGTAATATTATTATTTAATTTTTTATTATTTGTTTGTTTGTTGTGTGTGTGTGTTTTGAGACGGAGTCTCACTCTTGTTGCCTAGGCTGGAGTGCAATGGCGCAATCTCGGCTCACCGCAACCTCTGCCTCCTGGGTTCAAGTGATTCTCCTGCCTCAGCCTCCCAGGTAGCTGGGATTACAGGCGTGCGCCACCACACCCAGCTAATTTTGTATTTTTAGTAGAGACAGGTTTTCTCCATGTTGGTCAGGCTGGTCTTGAACTCCTGACCTCAGGTGATCTGCCCACCTCAGCCTCCCAAAGTGCTTGGATTATAGGCGTGAGCCACCACGCCTGGCCTTGTGTTTTGTTTTTTTTTGTTGTTTTTTTTTTGAGATGGAGTCACACTCTGTTGCCCAGGCTGGAGTGCAGTGGCGTGATCTCAGCTCACTGCAACCTCCGCCTCCCAGGTTCAAACGATTCTCCTGCCTCAGCCTCCCAAGTAGCTGGGATTACAGCCATGTGCCACCACACCTGGCTAATTTTTGTATTTTTAGTAGAGACAGGGTTTCTCCATGTTGGTCAGGCTGGTCCTGAACTCCTGACCTCAGGTGATCTGCCCTCCTCGGCTTCCCAAAGTGCTGGGATTACAGGCCTAAGTCATCGCACCTGAACAGATTTTTTATTTTTCTAGTCAAGGTCACACTGTGTTGCCCAGGCTGGAGTGCAGTGGTGCCATCATGGCTCACTGCAGCCTCGAACTCCCAGACTCAGGTGATCCTCCCATCTCAGCCTCCCAAGTACCTAGGACCACAGGCATGTGCCACCACACCTGGCTAATTTTTCTATTTTTTGTAGAGATGGGGGTTTTTCCGTGTTGTCCAGGCTGGTCTCGAACTCCTGGGCTCAAGTGACTTGAGTCCAGTCAATCACTGTCAGACTGAGTTCGAGACTGCCCACCTCAGTCTCCCAAAGTGCTGGGGTTACAGGTGTGAGCCACTGCAGCCAGCCTTTATGTATGTATTTATTTATTTTTTGAGACAGAGTTTCACTCTTGTTGCCCAGGCTGGAGTGCAATGGTGTGATCTTGGCTCAGTGCAACCTCCGCCTCCCAGGTTCAAGCAATTCTCCTGCCTCAGCCTCCCAAGTAGCTGGGATTACAGGCATGCGCAACCATGCCCGGCTAATTTTGTATTTTTAGTAGAGATGGGAGTTTCACTATGTTGGTCAGCTGGTCTCGAACTCCTGACCTCAGGTGATCCACTCACCTCAGCCTCCCAAAGTGCTGGGATTACAGGCATGAGCCACTGTGCCTGGCCTAATACTTGTATTTTTGGTAGAGGTGGGGTTTCACCATGTTGGCCAAGCTGGTCTCGAACTCTTGACCTAAGGTGATACACCCGCCTTGGCCTCCCAAAGTGCTGGAATTACAGGTGTGAGCCACTGCGCCCGGCCCCTTTGTGTATTATTATTATTATTATTATTATTATTATTATTTTTTTTTTTTTTTTTTTTTTTTTTTTTTTGAGATGCAGTCTCACTCTGTTGCCCAGGCTAGAGTGCAGTGGTGCGATCTTGGCTCACTGCAAGCTCCATCTCCCAGGTTCACACCATTCTCCTGCCTCAGCCTCCTGAGTAGCTGAGACTACAGGCGCCCATCACCACATCCGGCTAATTTTTTGTATTTTTAGTAGAGACAGGGTTTCGCCGTGTTGGCCAGGATGGTCTCGATCTCCTGACCTCGTGATCCACCTGCCTCGGCCTCCCAAAGTGCTGGGATTACAGGCGTGAGCCACTGCGCCCGGCCCCCTTTGTGTATTATTATTATTATTTTTATTTATTTATTTTTATTTTTTTTTTGAGACGGAGTCTCTCGCTCTGTCGCCCAGGCTGGAGTGCAGTGGCGCGATCTCGGCTCACTGCAAGCTCCGCCTCCCGGGTTCCCGCCATTCTCCGGCCTCAGCCTCCCAAGTAGCTGGGACTACAGGCGCCCACCATCATGCCTGGCTAATTTTTTTGTATTTTTAGTAGAGACGGGGTTTCACCGTGTTAGCCAGGATGGTCTCGATCTCCTGACCTCATGATCTGCCCGCCTCGGCCTCCCAAAGTGCTGGGATTACAGGCGAGAGCCACCATGCCCAGCCTGTGTATTTTTAAATGGTGAATTTTAAAATACACTGATTATATGGTAGCAGCTTGGTGAGCCTTGCAGTCCCTATAGTTCTCAAATTCTAAATTCTTCCAGAAGTAAACCTAAGTGGCTTGTTTATGAAAATGGATTAGTTCTTAAGGCACATTGGAAGTAGCAGAAGAAGCCTGTTTTGTTTTGTTTTTTTTCTTGGTATTAAGGTATTTGTTTGCTGGGATTAATGCCTTTTCTATCTTTCCTTGTAGGTTCTCGCAACCTTGGGATTAATCTTGCTCACTGCCTACTTTGTGATTCAACCTTTCAGCCCATTAGCACCTGAGCCAGTGCTTTCTGGAGCTCACACCTGGCGCTCACTCATCCATCACATTAGGCTGATGTCCTTGCCCATTGCCAAGAAGTACATGTCAGAAAATAAGGGAGTTCCTCTGCATGGGGGTGATGAAGACAGACCCTTTCCAGGTAAAATGCAACATTTATTACTTATTAGATATAGTTTTCTTGACAGTATATGATAGGAAAGGAAGTAACATTTATTGATACCTAATGAGAGGCAAGCTCCCTATATTGTATCTTTTAATTCAGTCCCCACTAAAACTCTATGAGATGGGGTTTATTATCCCCGTTTCACAGATTAAGAAACCAAGGGTCAGAGAGATTAAGAAACTCGCTAGAGGAACATCTGGTAGAGCCAAATACACACCCCCAAATTCCAGAACACACATGATGGGGACAAATGTCTTTGCCCATAAAAAGGATTTGATTGTATCTCATCCTTTTCTCTCCTGTGATTCCTGTCCATAATGCATATTTAATACATAGGTATTGGTTTATTGAAAGCAACCGAGTTCAGCTTGCTTCTAAAGGTCCTCTAACAGTCCTTGGCCTATTGGGCTAGGTTTTTGTCTGGGTATATCCCACTCTTTCAGTTTAGTCCTTCTGTCTGTCACAGCTCATTTAATTTAGTCCTCTAAAGTATATCAATTTTGCCAGTAAGTAGAAATTAAAAAACACATAAATTTAGTAACAGTGCATCGGTGGCATAAGAATTCATAGTCTGATAGACTATTTGAGGGGTTTCCTTTTGAGAACAGTGTTAACATGTAATAAGAGTTGAAATTTACTTTTTCAGGCTGGGTGTGGTGGTTTACAACTATAATCCTAGCAATTTGGGAAGCTGAGGCAAAAGGATTGGTTGAGCCCAGGAGTTCAAGACCAGCCTGGGCAACATAGCGAGACCCTGCCTCCAATTTTGTGTGTGTGTGTGTGTGTGTAAAGAAATTTACTTTTTGAGAAAGGGGGATATTATTTTGGGATTTTTTTGGTGATGTTTATCTTATTTGGCAATGTAGAATAATATGTGTATTAATATCACAAATGGATTATAGAATTTATTGTGTAACCATGATCCGAAACTTTTAGAATGTGTCTTAAATTTTAGGAAAAATGCTTTCAGAAAAAATGTATTTAAGCTTTATAATCATAATGTCATTCTCTTTTTTTTTGAGTTGGAGTCTCGCTCTGTCGCCCAGGCTGGAGTGCAGTGGTGCGATCTTGGCTCACTGCAAGCTCTGCCTCCTGGGTTCACGCCATTCTCCTGCCTCAGCCTCCTGAGTAGCTGGGACTATAGGTGCCCGCCACCACGCCCGGCTAATTTTTTGTATTTCTAGTAGAGACAGGGTTTCACCGTGTTAGCCAGGATGGTCTCATAATGTCATTCTTTAAGATCTAATGAGTCATAAAAATCATCCCTTGGATTGGGTCTCCATCGAAAGCTATTTTTGTATACTTGAGGAAGTCATGGAAAGGTTTCCAAAATTGTATCAAAATCAGAGGAAGGGAACATTGTAAGACAAGAATTCCACCTCAGGAGTTTTTGTTTTTTTTTAAAAAATCAACAGCTCAGATATTTCATTTGAAAATTTCAGATGTAACTTCCTTGTATTTATTGGGAAGGTTGCTTTTGAAATGTCACCAACAGAGCTAAAAAAAAAAAAATGCAGTCTCAAACTCCTATTAGAACGGTTCAAAGTGTTTGGAGGAAACAGCGAGAGAAACTTGTCAGTTAGGCCAGTCTGTGCCTCTTCCTCAGACACACCAGTCTCCTTTCCTGACTGTCTTCCCCTCAAAGCCTCCCTAACGGCAACTCCTGATGAGTTTTCCTGACCTGGTTGATGGCATTATCTTCTTCCCCAGTCCTATAAAGTAAATCTCCATACACGGTTGAACTGAGAAATGGGGCATCGTCAATGAACACTGCTCGCTTCTTCTCTAAATCATAGTTTAAACATTCCAGAAACATTAGTGTCTTGTAAACAAGCTGGATTATTTGGACTACTTCAAATCAATATTTTGCCTTGCAGATGGAAATAAAATGAGTCCTTGGAGCTCAGTTGTAGAGAGAGCGAGTGAGCATTGGAAGGGTGTGGCTTTAGCTCTTTAATGTTGTTGATTCTATTAAAGTGCTGTTTTTACTTGTAAATGTGGATGTGGAAGCACCATATTTTCCTATGTATGATAATTCTGGGAAGCTGTAGACATGTGAAACTAACAGCATTTTGCGTAGCATTTGGAAGAAAAGTTAAAAACACGTAATTATATGAAGAGTAAACAGAAACACATGAGGGAGAATTAAGTGCAACTTAATCTGGGCCTGTAAGAGGGCAGGAAAAGTAAAAATATATCATTTTTTAATGTCCTGGTATCAAAAAACAACTACCTTCAGGTTAGGATTAGTTGGCCATACATTTAAAGTAAATGCAAGGGGAGAATGGTGTGACAGATTCCCGAAAGGAAACCCCATATGGTTTCCTGAAGTGCTGGCCTGTCTCACACTCCCAGGGTCATCTGGTGCTCCTTGCAGTGGCACCTCGGGAATGATGGAGGGCAGCTGCAGCCTTGGTGATGTACAAGAGGCACCACCACCAATGACTGGAAGTTTCCCCTGACCCCACCCAGGGAACAAAAAGGTGACAGAGGTGGGGTTCTTTTTCTAGATTTCAGCCTTAGATAGGAAATCCTGCCCCTAAATGCTCTCAATAAGAAGAATGAAGTGACTTTGCAGCGAGTCATGGAAACATCCCGCTCTGCAGCAAAAAATAAGTAAATAAACTGACAGTTGTTTATTACTTACCAGATGCCAGACCCTGTTCAGGGGGCTTTCCATATATCGGCTTATTTAATCTTGACAACATCCCTATAGGGTAGCTTCAGGTTTTATGCCCATTTTACAGATGAGGACACTGAGGCACAGTATGGTTAGGTCACTTGCTCAAGGTCCCAGGTCTGGTCACGGAGCCATGATTTGAACCCAGGCAGCCAGTCTTCAGAGTCTGAGCCCTTCGCCTCTGATGTGAGTAGTCTGTAGCTGTGCAGTAGACCTGAAGAGTCTAGCTTTAAGTCTGATGTTGGAGTTCTACCACTGTCTCTCTCGGATCATCAGTTACTTTCTCTTAACTCCCTAGTCCCTGAAGAGACAATATTCTTTCTGGCTGTTCCAAAGATAAGTGGTCTTCCAAGCTTCTGACCCTTTAGAATTTTCCCGACCTGGTGTTGTCTTAGACATTCAGCCCAGTTCATCCTCCCTAGTCTGCACCCTGACATTCAGCCCAGTTCATCCTCCCTAGTCTGCACCCTTATGGATAATATTTGACTGACTTAATCCTTCCTCTTACTGACCCAGAGTTTTCTCTTTACATTCACATTCTTACTGCTTTTCTCCCCTCCTGGCTTCATATCTTTATAGTCACTTTACTCCTGCCGGCCATCCCCTTGGTTTTTACCATTTCCATGGAATCATTGAGTCTTAAAGCCAGAAAAGAATTTTAGAGTTAATCTAGTACATACCCCATTTTATAAAAGAGGTAACTGAGGCCAGGAGAGGTAAAGGAGCTTGCTTACCCAGCTAAAAGTGGCAAAATCACACTTGAACCCTAGTTTCTTAACTCCCTCTAGCATTCTGTCCAAGATATCACACTTACAGCCTGCCATCTCTGCCCTCAGTCAAGCCAGGCGCTAGCATGTTCAGCCAATTATTTTTTTTACTTTGGTCATTTTCTGGCCAACTTAAAAATAACATATTCATTTCTACTGAGGAAGCCTGGGATAGTTCTCACATACAGTGAAAAGGCACACATTTGGAACTCGATGCATCCCGTAACCTTCAAAGGAAGGATGAAGTAGATCCAGCAACATCAAGAAGTTTTGGAAATAGCAAATCATTTATTGGCCTCAAACTAAGAATCTAGTAAGACTTAGAGAGTCCAGATCTGTGCTCAAAGATGAACTGCTTAGACCGCAAGGAAAACCTTCCTCTTTTATTTGCAAAATAAGCTTACCTTCTGTGATAATAACAGCTCTGTCAAGCACTTACTGTATACCAGGTACTGTGCCGTGCAGTTTATTTCTCAGTCTTCACAGCAGTCACATAAGGTAGATACTGTTTTTATGTTCATTTCAAAGATGAGGAAACTGATGTGCAAGGGGATTGACTGACTTATCTGAAGTCTCACATTTATTTATTTTTAATTTTTTCTTTTGCTGTGTTTTTGATAATAAATTTTCACATTTAGAAACAAATTTTTGTACAAGTGAGAACTCATGAAAATAGACTTTCTCTGTGGTTTGGAGTGGTTCAAATGCATTGCTTCCTGGAGGCAAGGCTGTTGGTGAAATGATTTCTTGGGCTCTTTCCCTCTACGGTGTGTGAAAATGGCTCTGGGCATGGTGCCACACATGCAGGGACCTGGCAGAAGCCTCCTTCATTGTCAAGGCTTCACCCCTGCCTCATGCCCGGGGTACTAGAAGAGGTGCTATGCACAAACAAGCTTCTGGAGAGCAGCCTGATTAAATATTGAGCACACACTAGTGAAAGTCATGGGAACTTTGTCATGGGCTTTGCAGGGTTTTCTTGGCTATATTTATAATGCAAGAAATGATGAAGTTATATTTATTTAATCTTTATTTTGAGGTTTCTGTGAATCCAGATTGCTCATTTGATTTTTCTCCCCATGGACTTAATTCTATTGTTAAAGCTTCTGAAAAATCAGCCTTCCTGCCTGCCTTCCTGCCTTCCTCCCTCCTTCTTTTCCTCCTTCCATCCCTTCCTCCCTCTCCCCAACTTCATTCACTCATTCAGTAAATGTTTATTGAGACCCTGCTATATATGCCAGGCACTGTTCTCAACAAAGCAGTGAACAAAACAGACAAAACCACTGCTCTTGTAGAGCTAGTATTGGCTTTGTTCTTTTCTTTCTTCCCTATCCTTTTTATCCAGAGGGAGTTTTTTGTCCTGGAAAGAAATCTTTTGTTTTGTTTTGTTTTGTTTTGTTTTGTTTTGTTTTTGCCAGGTAAATAATCTATGTAACAGTACTCTCCCCACTCAGAATTCCAGGATATGTTATGGTTGTCTACAGAGAACCAGCCTAAGTGAGTTTTCTTGTAAATAACTCTCAGGCACCAGGAAGCTCCCTGATGGGTGAGACGCTGGCCCATCCATTTTTCTGCCCAGTGCCCAACTTGTAAAGAAGGGTGGATAGTTATGGTCTCTGCACGTTGACTTCAAGGCTGTGTTTTGTCTGAGAGACTGTTTTTGACATCTCCAACAGTGAAATCATTCCAAATCATAGTGAAAACTTGAAATACAAGTTATAAGCTTTATTGAACTTTTATATGTAGGATTTCTCTTCTCTGTCATACCTTTAAAAAATGTTTAAAATATCTGGTATGAGGGATATCTGGAGTAAAGAAGCCTTAGAAATTAAAAGTAGGAAGTTGCTATATAATTTACGCTGACTTTTCTGTCTGGTGCTTCAGGAAAAGTGGTTAGAAACAGGAGGGCTGGAAAGAAGTGAGATGCAGCATATTAGGTAGTCAAAAGCCGTAAACTAGGGTGGCATGGGCTCGGCTGGCTGTGTGCTGTTGGCTGTTTCCCAGGATGGAATTTTGTTCACTTTGTGGCATGATGGCTCCAGCCAGTTGTATAGAGAACACGTCAGACAAAACCTTTTCAGATGGACAGAGGCCAAGCTGGAGTCTGGCCACATCTCTTTCTGTTGTCAGGGACTCTGTGGGGAGAGGAAGAGGAGCCTGCACCCTACCTCCACCCCTAGTTCACCGTTTGCCCGTTCCTCTCTCTAAGCTTATGCTTTATCCACCTTGGTGATCTCAGGCTACAGAGAAATCAAAAGTAGTTCTTTCTTTTAAAGTTTGGGCTCCCTTAGTTCAGGTGGATGGCATAGGCTACCCCATTCCAGTGATCCTTTTTTCTTGTTACTTCCCTTCCTTCTTTGCGGGCCACCAGCCTGGCCACCTCTGCTCCTGTCAGATACCTCTCTGGGGCCAGCCTTCTGAGATGATTTACCTCTACACTTCAGCATTGAATTCTCAGCTTCAGTTTTCATGATCTCCAAGGACATTTTGACTTGGAAAGTACATAAAATACATGCATACAAAGACAGTAAGAGGTGTAATATTTTGATATTTAAAAATACTTATAATAAAGTAATATTTCTCATCTCTATCCTTTTAACTTTTCTACTCAAGCAACTGCTAATAATAACTTGGTATACATCCTTCTGAGTTTTTCCATGTCTATACAAATAGATATACTTAATATATATAAATAGAAATACTTTTTTGTTCACACACATACAAAAGATCTCATATACATATTTTTGGCTAGACACATTGTATTAGTTTCTAAGGCTGCTGAAACAAAGCATCACAGGCCGAGCAGCTTAAAACAACAGAAATCCAGTACCTCACAGTTGTGGAGTCTAGAAGTCAGAAATCCAGGTTGATAGGGCCACGTCCCCTCTCAAAGGCTCTAGGGAAGAATCCTTCCTGGCCTCTTCCAGTTTCTGGTGGTTTTCAGCAGTCCTTGGCATTCCTTGGCTGTGTCAGCATAACTTCAGCCTCTGCCTTTATCTTCACGTGGCCATCTGCTTTCTATGTGTGTCTTTGTGTCTTCTGTCTTCTTCTAAGGACATCATTCAGATTGGATTCAGGGCTCATCCTACTTCAGTATGACCTCATCTTAAATGACTACATCTGTGGCCACCCTATCTCCAAGGTCATGTTCTGAGGTTCCAGGAAAATGTGGATTTTGGGAAAACATAATTAAACCCTCTCTATATATTTTTGAGGATTTTATATTAGTTGATTCTGTGACTCTTCTATAATTTAACCATTTTCTAGGGTTGTTGTGGGTTTTTTTTTTTTTTGCTATTACAAAAATATGTACCTGAGAGATTCATATACACATATCTTTATATAGATATACTTTTTTTCTGTAAGATATATTCTTGGAAATGGACTCGCTGAGTCAAAGGGCATGTGCATTTTAAATTTTAATAAATGCAACCAAATTGTCTTCATAAACTTATACCAGCTTATACTTTCATTAACAGCATATGTTGATCATTGACACTGGATGTTGTCAATGTTTTGCCAGTTAGAAAACTAAATAATAGTATCTCATTTCAAGTTGCATTTCATTGATTATTAGTCAAATTGCATGTCTTTTCAAATGGTTTATAGGCCATTTATATTTATAATACTTTTCTGTGAATTCCTTGTTCATATTTTTTCCCCATTAAAAATTTTTTTATCTACCCTGGGCAACATGGAGAAACCCTAGCTCTACAAAAAATACAAAAAATTAGCCATATATGGTGGTGCACACCTGTAGTCCCAGCTACTCTGGCAGCTGAGGTGGGAGGATCACCTGAGCCCGGGGAGGTCAAGGCCACAGTGAGCCGTGATTGTACCACTGCACTTCAGCCTGGGTGACAGAATGAGAGCCTGTCTCAAAAAAAAAAAAAAAAAAGTTTTTTGTTAATTCAAACAGAGGCTTATATATTAGAAATACTGATTATTTGTCTCGTATATGCAAATATTGGTCAAATCTGTCCATTTTTCCTTTATAGCCTCTAGGAAGCCTTCCTTGTCCCAAAGATTATAAAAATACTCATTTCTCAGTCCTCACAACAGTCACTTAGGGTAGATACTGTTTTTATATCCATTTCAAAGATGAGGAAACTGATGTGCCAAGGGATTGACTAATTTATCTAAAGTCTCACATTTACAGACACATTTTTATACAGGTGAGAACTCATGAATATATGTGAACTCTCTATGGTTTGGAGTAGTTCCTCTAGCTTTTTTTTTTTTGAGACAGGATCTCACTGTGTTCCCAGGCTAGCCTTGAACTCCTGGGTTCAAGAGATTATCCTGCCTCAGCCTCCTGAGTAGCTGGGACTAAAGTGCCACCATGCCCAGCTCCTTTAGTTATTTTTAAAATTTTATGTTATCTATTTGTATCTTTTAATCAATCTAGAATTTAATTTAGTATATGGTGAAAGGGTAGGAATCTAACTTTATTTTCTTCCATATAGATGGTCACTTGTCCCAATTTGATTTATTGAATCTACCCTTTCCTCACTTAATTAAAAATCTATGTTTATCCTTTATTGGCCAGGCATGGTGGCTGACACCTATAATTCCAGCACTTTGGGAGGCCAAGGCGGGTGGATTGCTTGAGCTCTGGAGTTCAAGACCAGCCTGAGCAACATGATGAAACCCTGTCTCTTCCAAAAATACAAAAATTAGCTGGGTGTGATGGCACACACTGGTAGTCCCAGCTACTTGGGAGGCTGAGGTGGGAGGATGACTTGAGCCTGGAAGGTCAAGGCGACAGTGAGCTGAGATGTGCCACTGTACTCCAGCCTGGGCGACAGAGCAAGACCCTGTCTCTAAAAAAAAAAAAAAGGCTGGTCTCAAACTCCTGGGCTCAAGCGATCCCACCTCAGCCTCCCAAAGTGTTGGGATTACAAGCATCAGCCACCACCCATAAATGTTTTATCTTGTTAAATTTATTGCTAGTTATTATGAATGAGATTATTTTCCATTTCAGTTTTTAACTGATTGTGGCCAGTAGAGTAAGAAAGCTATTGATTTTTATGTATCTGAAAATCTGTATCTTGTATTCTGTCACCTTATTAAATTCTCTTTTTAGTACTAACAGTTTTTTACTTGTGTTCGCCTCTAACTTTCAGTTCCCTCAAGGAACACCACCTCCAAGTTTTTCTTTTAGTTTGCTATTCCTACTTTCTTTTTCTTTCTTGATTTCCCTTTACTGGGTTTTCTTCTACCTGCTTTTTAAAGGGATCTCCACCTGGAAATCCCAAGAATATCTAAAGCTCTGAATAAAATTAAAATTAAATAAGTTAGGCTGGGCTGGGCGCAGTGGCTCACGCCTGTAATCCCAGCACTTTGCAAGGCTGAGGTTGGCGGATCATCTGAGATCAGGAGTTTGAGACCAGCCTGGCCAACATGGTGAAACCCTGTCTCTACTAAAAATACAAAAATGAGCCAGGCTTCGTGGCGGGCACCTGTAATCCCAGCTATTCAGGAGGCTGAGGCAGGAGAATCGCTTGACCCCAGGAGGCGGAGGTTGCAGTGAGCCGAGATCGCGCCACTGCACTCCAGCCTGGGCGACAGAGCTAGACTCCATCTCCAAAAAAAATAATAATAATAATAATTAAATAAATTATAGTTAAAATAATTCTCCTAACTCTTAGGTTAAGAGCTGCTCGGTGCTAGCCCATGCAGCACCTTTATACAAATTCGAGGAAGGTGCCCCTTTCTCCTGGTGCTTTACTCTCATCTCCTGGGAAGACTGTCATAATTAACTGATTCTGTTGGAATATGACACGCTACTACAGAAAAGTGTCATAATAAATCTGCAGATGACGTTCCCTAGATGAGCACTAATGACATAGGTGATACCAGAGATCTGCAGGTTTATTATGACACTGACCAAGAGGACAGTATAGTGCAAACATTCACAGTAGTGCTCCTTGGGGCTGTAGATTTCATCTTCACTGCTTCTAGAATCCACCCCTTTTTTCCATTCCCACTGCCTCATTCATTATATTTCACTTCTCATCACAGTGAACCCCCCCCCCCCGACCTTTTCCCTAAAAAAGGGCAAAACCAAAATATAACCAGATCTTCCTTTTCCCAGCCTCTCTCTTCTAGGGCACCCTAATCACAATCCAGAATAATCTTCCTAGAACATCGAGAAATTCCTGCTCAAAAGCCTCCAACAGTTCCTCTTTTTGTTCTGAGTAGAGCCAGACATGCTTCAAGCCCTGGAAGCCCTCACCACATCTTCCTCTGCAGCCTGTTTCCTTACCCAAACCCCCACTGCACGCCCAGCATCTGCTGTGTTCTTCCTGCCACACTCTGGCACCTCAGGAACTTCCTATCACCTCTAACTTTCAGTTTGTTCATCCACAGAATGAGAATAGTGATTCCTCCTCAGTAATTACACAGTGAAAATTAAATGCTATAACATGGGAAAGTGACTAACATAGGGCAAGCACTCAGTGCATTAGCTTGCTTTCTCCTTCCCCTTCCATCGCAAGTACTTTGGAAACCGAAATGCTATATAATTGTAACATGTTGTTATGATTATGCCCCATGGTGTGTCCATTACCCAGAGCTTTTGCATATTGGCAAGAATTTATCATATTTGACACTGAATAAGAAGCATTTGAAAATATTGGAGAAGAAAAAATGCAACTTTGCAGCCTCAGTGTGCCACTGAAACAGGTGGTACTAAAGGGTTTTCAGCTACCCCCAGAGTACTGTGGGAGGAGAGGCGCCCTCCCAGGAGCAGGGTGTAGCGGTAATCCTCTGACTAATAATCTTCCTGCGAGTTGAGACTGGCTGAGAAAGGTAGGTGGCAGTTGCCTCCAGGAAACACAGATACTATCTTCAAGAGATGGAGGATGCTCAGCAGACCGGCCAAGAACAAACACGGTCTTTCCCTGACGAGGATTTCCTATGCCCCACTACTACTGCCTCAGAGAAAACAAGCATGTAGTGCTTACTGCCAACCACAGAAAATGTTTTGTGGTTAAGAGTCAGTTTCCAAGTATGTTTATTGGTTTAAAAAATTGACTTCGTTTCAGCCACATTTGGTTGTCTGTTATCATTTGTCGTAGGCTCTCTCCTGATTTGGTTTCCATTGGGTTTTAATCAGAACCGTCTTCTGAAACGTTTTAGATTCAAAGCAGAGTTTAAAACAAACACATCTCTCAGAGAACCTAGACGAAATCCAAAATGGAACAGAAAGTAAACAAGAAATAATGAAATAACATTATAAACAGCATGGTAACAGAGGGAAGCTGGGAAAGGCTGTGCAGAAACAAGAGCCCCTCAGAGAAGGAGCCAAACCAGACAGGCATGTCAGGGAGCCGCTGTCACACAGCAGGGTCTGGGTTGGGGGTCTTCCATTTCTGACCAGCATGTGGGGCTGGAAACTATGGCTGGCGGCCCCACCCCCTCCTGAGCTGGGATAGAGGGCTGTCTTATGGACAGATGCAATTCACTTTATTCCAAAGATGGCTCCAGAAAAGTCCTGTCTACCCTCTCCATCCCTTTCCTCTTCTGTGTCCTTTTCTCACTCTTCCTTCCCGGAGTCCTGGCTCCCATGTGTACTTGTGAAGCAAGGGTCTATGCACACATCCAGCATGTGTGAGAAGTGCATTAGGGCACAGCGATAATAGGGGTCACCCTTCTATCCACACCAGCCCCCCTGTGCTGTAGACGTTTCAGCCATATGGGTCATAGGTTAGAAAATGTTGGGGGAACTACATCTTTAGCTCCACATTGCTGAATGTTTTTCCTAGCTGTTATGCTTTATTTGTTGATTTGATTTAGGAAATGCATGACAGGTTAAAAGATATTTTCCACAAAGTGTAAAAAGGTATACAGAGAAGAGTACCTCTCCTTCCTGCTCCTGTCCTCTACTCCCTCCTCAGAGGCTGCTTCATATATACCTTACCTTTTCAGCGGTCTCCAGTGCTTATCATTGTTTGTTTTTAAAAATTATTATGGGCTGGATGCGGTGGCTTGCGCCTGTAATCCCAGCATTTTGGGAGGCCAAGGTGGGCAGATCATGTGAGCCCAGGAATTCAAGACCAGCCTGGGCAACATGGCAAGACCCCGTTTCAACTAAAAATACAAAAATTAGCCATGTGTGGTGGCATGCGCCTGTAGTTCCAGCTCCTCGGAAGGCTGTAGCAGGAGAATCCCTTGAACCCAGGAGGCAGGGGTTACAGTGAGCTGGACGGCACCACTGCACTCCAGCCTGGGCGACAGAGTGAGACTCTGTCTCAAAATAAATAAATAAATAAAAGTCATTATGATGTCTTTCCTTTCTTGTTTCATTGTTGGAGCTACTGGATGTACCAGCTATGCTCTTTCAGTATCTGTTTTCTCCATATCCCTTCCTCTCTCAGACTTTGACCCCTGGTGGACAAACGACTGTGAGCAGAATGAGTCAGAGCCCATTCCTGCCAACTGCACTGGCTGTGCCCAGAAACACCTGAAGGTGATGCTCCTGGAAGACGCCCCAAGGAAATTTGAGAGGCTCCATCCACTGGTGATCAAGGTGAGCAGAAGCCTGAGTCTCCCGCTGATTGGCTGCTTGCTTAAAGGCTAGGTCAAGCTCTAGGAAATTTCTGACAAGTAACTCTGTGTTGTTTTGTTTTGTTTCCTGCCTTGCCAAGACGGGAAAGCCCCTGTTGGAGGAAGAGATTCAGCATTTTTTGTGCCAGTACCCTGAGGCGACAGAAGGCTTCTCTGAAGGGTTTTTCGCCAAGTGGTGGCGCTGCTTTCCTGAGCGGTGGTTCCCATTTCCTTATCCATGGTGAGTGTGAAAAGGGCCGGGCACAGTGGCTCATGCCTGTGATCCCAGCACTTTGGGAGGCCGAGGCAGGCAGATCACTTGAGCCTAGGAGTTGCAGACCAGCCTGGCCAACATGGCAAAACCCCATCTCTACTAAAAATACAAAAATTAGCCAGGTATGGTGGTGCATGCCTGTAATCCCAGCTACTCTGGAGGCTGAGGCATGAGAATCACTTGAACCTGGGAGGTGGAGGTTGCCATGAGCTGAGATCGCGCCATTGCCCTCCAGCTTGGGTGACAGAGTGAGACTGTGTCTCAAAAAAATGGGGGGGCTATGGGGGCACTTAGCGTGCGAGTAGGAAAGGGGCAGACCAGAAATACCTGCAAAACAGTAATAGCTATCACTGAGCCACTACCACAGGCCCAACACTTTACAAATCCAATGCTGGGATCCCACTGATAAACCAGTGATGAGAGATAAAAGGGATGGATGAAGAGGTGTGTCAGAAGGAGGGGTGCCACCATGGGGGGGACAGCAAGTTTGTCTAATAGAGTCATAATTTATTTCGAAGTATGCATTTAGCATTTTATGTAGAATGGGGCCTCATGCAGGGGGCTGAAGAGAGAGTGCAAATAATAGAAGGAGAATTGCATTTTTTGGCACTTGTTTCTGCCAGGCAGTGTGGCTTGGTGCTTAGTGTCTGTGTCTCACTGGGGACACTGATAATAACTCTGGAAAGTAGGAATGATTGTTGTCATTCTTCAGATCAGACAAGTGGGGATCAGTAGCTAGGCGTGGTGGCTCATGCCTATAATCCCAACACTTTGGGAGTCTGAGGCGGGTTGATCACTTGGGCCCGGGAGTTGGAGACCAGCCCAGGCAACATAGGGAGACCCCATCTCTACAAAAAATATCCAAGCTACTTGGGAGGCTGAGGTGGGAGGATGGCTTGAGCCTGGGAGGTTGAAGCTGCAGTAAGCCATGATCATACCACTGCACTCCAGCCTGGGCGACAAAGTGAGACCCTGTTTCAAAAAAAAAAAAGGTTGGGGGAGGGGGAAAGAAAGAAAGAAAAATGGGAAACAGAGAGATTAAGTAACTTGCCTAAGGTTACCCAGCCAGGATCGAAACCCCAGTTTGTCCTGCTGTTCCTTCCTGTGCCCTGCGGAAGACATGGTTCATTCCTTGTGGTTAAGGTTGCTGTCTAGTAAGAAAAGAAAGCCAGTTTCCATCTTAGAACTGTTTCGAAAGAATTAAAATGACTTTTTCAGGCTTTTTGTTAATTTCTTAATGCTTCTATCTTTCTTTAAATGTGCTGTTTGTTTGCGTGCTAGAGTGCCCAGTTGAACAAGCTGAGCAGGCTTCCCCCTGCGTCTCCCTGTGCCTCAGAAGAAGGGTCATGCTTTTTGTCCCTTCCTCCTTCTCTCTTCTCCCCTTCCCCCGCCTGGCCTGCTGTTACTTCAGTCTTTTCCAAGATAGAATGAATAGATTATTTCTTTCCTTCCAATATATATTGTTTTAGCTGCAATTTAGAAACACTCCACCCACATACTCAAATCATGGCTGTAGAGTTTATGCCTGTGTGTGTACACATTATAGTTCATTGACTCTGTGCAACTATTCTTCAGGGACCTAGTACTTAAGATACTGTACTCATATTTTTCCCTCTTTACCCACCGCCCACAGTTTTCCCACCCTTACTTGGCTCTCTCTTAGTCATGGGCTGGCTTGACCAGTTTAATTACTTTTTTTCTGTTTCATACTTCTACAGGAGGAGACCTCTGAACAGATCACAAATGTTACGTGAGCTTTTTCCTGTTTTCACTCACCTGCCATTTCCAAAAGATGCCTCTTTAAACAAGTGCTCCTTTCTTCACCCAGAACCTGTTGTGGGGAGTAAGGTAGGAAATTTTGAGAGGACTTGGATCTAGAATTTTCTTTATTTGGGACCTGGACTGATGTCATAACCAAGGCCTTCCCTGCATATTGGCTTAGAGGGTTACAGGGTGAATTGAGGGGACACCCACACAGTCTAGTTCTCCCCTCCTGCTGCTAGCCAGGAGACTTGCAGGGGCCCACCTTGTCATGAAGGCAGGTTTCCAGAAAATCTAGTTACCTTGCAAATCTGCCTCCTGCCCTTAACACCTGAGGCAAACTACTTTTCTATATTAAAAGAAGTGAAATCTTAAAATTTGAAGGACTTGAGGGTGCAATTAGTCTGGCTTTCCTACCTTAAATTAGAAAGTAGGCAAGCAGCCATGATCGGTGGTCGCTCACGCCTGTAATCCAGCACTTGGGGAGGCTGAGGCAAGAGGATTGCTTGAGCCTAGGAGTTTCAGACCAGCCTGGGCAATATAGGGAGACCCTATCTCTATTTTTTCAAAAAAAGAAAAGAAAGCTATAAGGTAATAGTATGTGGATGAATAGAATAACTGCTCCATTTTGTGGATAAGGAAACTGAGTCCCAGAGAGATTAAGTGAGTTGCCCAAGGACACACCCTTTACCCTCTCACCCCCAGGATGGTTTTTGCCAGAAATAAACAATTAAGAGATTTCAGGTAGAGAACTTGAAAGGCAAAAAGTGTGGGAGCCTGGGAAGGATTTGATAGGCAGGCAGCCCAGCTGGGGTAGAAAAGCCCACTCTGCCCCCATCATTTCCCACTTCAGTCTGGGGCCAAGTGCTCAGAGCCAAAGTTACCTCTCTGGGGCCAGTGGACTGGGAGAAGCTGTTCTGCATTTGTGTCTGTTTACTTTTCTCTGAATTGCTCCTTTTGTTGAGTCTCATTCCTAAGGAAGGTTTTTGAGCCTGGATCGGTTTGGGAGAATTAAAAGCATGCATTTTCCTTCATAAAAAAATAAATTTCCCAAACTATGGCCCCCTGCCACCTCTGGACCATGGCTTCCACCTCCTGATACTATCGCTTGGCTCCAAATTTGCTGAATTGTGTTAAAGGAATTTAAAAGCCTATAAAAACAATCATTTTGTCTAGAAGTAAGAAGTTCTGTCTGCCAGCACTGGGGTGGAGATGCTGGGCTCTTGCCTCAGATTTTAAAGAAGTTTATCCTGCTGTCGCCGGCTGGAATTCCAGGCCCTTGTATGATTTCATCTTCATAAATATAATTCTGGGACACGGCTTTATCTTTCTCTTGGTTTTACCACTTGAATACCAAAGTTAATTTCTCCAGCGTGTGCAACACCAAGGAGCCCAGCCAAAGGAGTAAATACAGAGTTACTCAAATGCTTACGAGAGTCATGCTGTGGTTCTCGAGGATGTTTTGGGAAGGGCAGTGGCCAGACAGGCAAAACTCTTGAGAACCCAGTTTCTTAGAGAATCTGTTTCCCCACCCTGGCCCAAGCTCCCCTTTCCCCGCAGCCTTGTTACCCCACCCTGTTGTCCACATCCCTGGGCCCTGGGCCCTGGGCCCTGTTAAAGTCACGTGTCTGTGGGCCCAGTGTCCAAAGGCAGCCTTGGGACAGAATTGGGGAGCTGGTTGTTAAGTGGCACTCGGGGAGAAGGTGAGGGCCTCCAAGGCCCACTTCACCCACTCCACGGTGTGGCCTAGGGCTGGCCTGTGCCACCCTCTTGTCTGTTTCTTCCCATCCTGGGAATGGATGAACATGACCCTGCCCACTTCAGGCCTGTGTGAAGAAGGGATACAGCCACTTGTTTTGGTCCTTCTGAGATTGTTTTGAGGACTACAGATGTTAAGGCTTCTGCCAATATTAGTACCAGTCAACTGAAGGCTAGCTGAAGACACCAGGCTGTCCCTGTCACCACATTAGCCGGTGAAATGGCTCTGGTGTTGCCATGAAAACATTATGGGCAAGGCCTGTGGCAGCAGCAGAGAGAACAGGGTTGGGGACAGGGGAAGATGGGGCCAAAACCCAAGACTCTGGAGGCCCTGAGTGGTGAAGAGAAAACCAAGACATGGCCCAGGGAGTCAGACTTCTGGCTCCCACTTTATATGGGCATATAAAGGGTTTCTCTGAAGGGCAAGAGATAGGAGGAAGAGATGAGAGAAGAGGCCCTAGGGGTTTTCTGTCATCATCAAGGTAAGGAGAAATGTCCCAGCAAGACCCATCTCTCTCTTTATCCCTATTCCTTGCCCTGGTCCCAGCCCCACCCCAGGGTTCACAGCTCCTTCCCTGGCACATAGCAGGTTGCATTTAATGCCTGTTGCTGGCAGTATCATGCCCTCAGAGGGGCAGTAGTTACCTGTGCAGGTGCATATGCTGATTGTCTCCTTAGTTTTCAAAATCAGAGGCCAGTCTTAGTGTCATTAGTTTTTAATCGGTAGCATGGCATATCTGCTCCCCTGGGTCTTGCCAGGCAGTGTAAACTTAAACTTGCTGCTGTACAATTCTTATCAGGGCCCTGGTAGTAAGAAATAACATTCCATGGAAGAGTGCCCAAAGGATATGCTGATTATCTATTTATCTAAAAAGTTTTCATCAAACCAGAATCTCAGAATGTTGTATACTTCAGCCACCATGTGCTGGTTTCTGCTGGAACTACCTTTGTTAAATTGCAATTAGGTATTTTTCTTTGGCTTACTTTGAAGCTGTGGCTAAAAATAGTTGCAAATTACAAAGCTCATGCAGGATCTACTCTGGGGCTCTCGTTGAGGGTATTGCCCACTAAATCACACAGTGCCTCTTTAGGAGAACCCATAGAAGAGATTTTACTCTGGTCTTAGTACCAAGAGATGCCATTCTTAGGAGAAAGTAGTTTGTTTTTGTCTTTTGGACATAATTGCAAATTTTTGTTATTGGTTCTATTTCCTCTTTGCTTATGCTAGGAAACTCAGAGCCATATGTGAAAGCATTTTTATTTACTAAACCCCCTGGTTTTATTTCGTTTTCTTTGCCTTCCTTTTCCTCCCCTCCTCATTCTTTCCTCCAGATGCATAAGATGCCTGACCTATTTATCATTGGCAGCGGTGAGGCCATGTTGCAGCTCATCCCTCCCTTCCAGTGCCGAAGACATTGTCAGTCTGTGGCCATGCCAATAGAGCCAGGGGATATCGGTATGTAGGGCCCCAGGAGGGCAGGGTCAATGGATCTTTTTAGTTTTTAACTCAAAAGCTATTTTAAGAATCACATACTGCCTTCACAAAAGTTTTATTTAGTAGAATCAAAAATAACATTCTCCTGTTAACAGGCTCAATATTTATGCTTAGAAATGAAACAACTTAATGAGAAAACATAGCAGAAAGAAATGGCTTGTACATACAACATATAGAATGCGTGTGTCTATTGATCATAGAAACTTCAAGTTAGGAAGGATTCTGGAAAATATTTAGACCAATCCCTCGTTTTATAGATGAAAAGGTTGAGACCCAGAGAGGAGAGGTGACCACCCCAAGGCCCCACTGTCAGTCGAGCAGAGCGTCAGGTCTTAAGTGCCTGCTTGAACACAGTCAAGCCAGGAGAGGGACAATCAAGGACTACAGGAATATATACCCATTTTGCAAATAAAACAATACCAAGCAGTATATAAGGGCAATGGTCACACAAGGAAATGTTACCTTCTGTGTGGCTGCCACAGCCAAGTCACAGCCTCACATTGATGACTCACCCTTGACCCTGGCTCAGTGTTTGCCCAAATGTGACTTGTCCTGTGCCTTATATCCTAATTAAAAATCTGTTCCAAAGAAACAGGTTTGAATCCACTGCTGTCAGTAGCAATCTGTTTGACAGCCGAGTTTTCTTGGAAGAAGCAAATAAATCAGCGAGTGTCACCATTGACCTCCTTGCTTTTCCTGCCTCACAAAACCTAGGCAAGACCTGGAGTCTCTGGCAGAGCCCAGACTGGTTTTCCAATTGATTTCTTTTAATTTTACCCATTCAGAAGACCCCCAAGCCCCTAGAAACCTTGCATCTCATATGAGGGTAGGAATTGGACTGCAAGCTATGCCAAGTCTTAATTTAGGTTACATAACTTTTATTTCAATTCAGAAATGAAAAATAAAAATAAGGTACAAATCAAGCATTAACTAATAATGGAGCACAGCTGGCCTGGCTCTTGGGAAACTTCCTACAAAAACGAGGATTCTTGTATGGAAATCGTTCTGAATCTTTTTCCTGTAATGGAGTGACTCTTAACACAAGAGATGACTATTGCGAAAATCTCTCTGGCATATTTAGGTTTGGAGCATGTGGTTGTGCTTGAACAAGTTTCTGTTTTATATTTTACAAATGCCTAACAATTCAGACAACTACAGAAACACCTTAGTTATCTGAATTCCAGACTTCCGGCTCCCACGAGCAACCGGAATACCAATTACAGAATTAGGGAAAAATTAAAAAAAAAAAAGTCTGGCAGTGATCAAGAAAGCTTGAGCATCAAATGCTGGTACAGATAGTCCAGATTAGCCTAACATCCGGTGCATGATACCTGCTGTGCTGTGCCTGGCTGGTTTGTTGACTAGAAAGAAAGGACCCCTATAGTTGGCAGTGTCTATAAAAGGCCAGTCACATGACAGAACACAGAGATGGATGGGGACTGAAGAGAAGAAGAAGAGGAGAGCAAGTCTGGGAGAAGAATGGGGGCAGGGAGGGGTGGGGAAGCCAGCGAGCACCTGAAGCAGTGACAGAAATAGACATGATGGCTGTCACTGCCACGGTTAACAATGAGGACAGGAAAGCAGACCCTGACCAAGAAGAATCATTCAGTGTTACAGGACAGATGGCGGTTCCTCTACCTTAGGGACCCTTAAGAATGGCACCATGACATGCAAGTTCTATGATTTTTGACAAAATGTACATTTTCCTGTGGAGATGGAGGGGAGAGGGGTTCCAGATCACCAGAAAACCTTTTGGGGGTCAGGTACAACATCTGCAGTCACTGTACAGGATAGTCATTGCCCATCATGACCAAGTCACCAAGTAAAAGTTGAATTCTACTCAGTGCTCTTCATTTAAAGATGAGCAGGGCCCATAGTACGCTAGAATAAATTTCCCATCAAGAGATTTTTTTTGTTTAAAATTTTATTTTCTTATGGTAAAAACACTTAACATGAGATCTACCCTCTCAACGAATTTTTAAGTGTACAAGACAGCATTGTTAGGGGCTGAGCAGGGTAGCTCACACCTATAATCCCAGCACTTTGGGAGGCCAAGGCAGGAGGATTGCTTGAGCCCAGGAGTTCAAGACCAGTCTGGGCAAGATGGTAGGACCTTGTATCTACCCAAAATTACAAAATTAGCCAGGCGTGGTGGCACACGCCTGTAGTTCCAGCTACTCAGGAAGCTGAGTTGGGAGGATCTCTTGAGCCCAGGAATTTGAGGCTGCAGTGAGCTATGACTGCACCGCTGCACTCCAGCCTGGGCAATGAAGCGAGACCCTGTCTCTAAAATCACTGAATTAAAAATTTTTAAAGCCATGCGCGATGGCTCACGCCTGTAATCCCAGCACTTGGGGAGGTCAAGGCGGGCAGATCACCTGAGGTCAGGAGTTCGAGACCAGCCTGGCCAAGAGATGATGAAACCCCGTCTCTACTAAAAATAGAAAAAATTAGCCAGGCATGGTGGTGTGCACCTGTAATCCCAGCTACTCGGGAGGCTGAGGCAGGAGAATTGCTTGAACCTGGGAGGTGGAGGTTGCAGTGAGCCGAGATTGCGCCATTGCACTCCAGCTTGGGCAACAAGAGTGAAACTCCGTCTCAAAAAAAAAAAGAAAGAAAAAAAGAATTTTTAAAAGTATTGTAAACTATAGGCACAATGATGTTCAGCATCACTGGGGATTATTGAAAGGTTGAAGTTTTTAGGTTTACCTTCATAGCCCACTCAAATGATAGGTCAGTGTTTCCTAAACGATTCTTCAGATTACTCATGACCCCACAGGTGGGACCAGAAGGCCTTTGAAAAGACCCTTGGCAAGTAGGGTCTCGAGTCAGTCGACTTTGGGAAATGCCTGTCTTGTTGATGCATAGTACATTATTAGTGTATCAAAGATGTTGAAAAGCCTTGGGGAAACCTAGTGTTTCTCAGGCTTACTTGGCCATGGAACCTATTTTCTTTGGAATATCTTACAGGACACTACTGTTTGCCAAACCCAATTTGGGCAATGCTGGTTTAGGTTTAGGTTAATCTGGATGTTCTGTAATGAAACCACATTATAGATAGACACAGGAAAATTGGCTAGTAGGTCTTGTGTCCCCTCGGAATCCATTCTGTCTTCTTGCTGTAAAAGCTGAGACTTGATGCCCAACAGCAGCCTCATCTAGAGCATCCTGCCTTTGTAAGCCTGCTGAATTGTGATTCACAGTTCCCTGGGTGAGGGGTGGTGATAAAGCATTTAAAGAGGACTGATAATAACTAGGAATACTTATGCTAGGAAGTGCCAGAAGACTTTCAGAGCAATTTGTCTTTAAGCCAGGTGTAGTGGCCCACACCTGTAATCTCAGCACTCTGGGAGGCTGAGGCAGGAGAATCACTTGAGCCCAGGAGTTCAAGACCAGCCTGGGCAATATAGTGAGACCCCTATCTCTTAAAAAATAAAAAAGGAAAGAAAAAGAAAAAAAAGGAAACTAAATTAAATAGAAAAAGATTTGTCTTTGACTCTGCAGTGCACCCTGAGGGCCAGCTCTGGCAGACCTGCCTTGCTCGTGCCCACAGGTGTGCCCACCCTCTGACATTTACATGCCTTCCTCTTGCTATTTCCCCTCAAGGCTATGTCGACACCACCCACTGGAAGGTCTACGTTATAGCCAGAGGGGTCCAGCCTTTGGTCATCTGCGATGGAACCGCTTTCTCAGAACTGTAGGAAATAGAACTGTGCACAGGAACAGCTTCCAGAGCCGAAAACCAGGTTGAAAGGGGAAAAATAAAAACAAAAACGATGAAACTGCTTTCTGGGGGTTGGTTACTTAGTTACCTGCCCTTTGCATGCATGTGTGAACCAGCTGTGAGCTGCAAGGCAGTGGCCAGAGCCTCGCCCTCCTGACTCTTCCTGCAGGTGGCTCAGGAAGGATTCAGCCTGGCCACTTGGCTAGGACTCTGCCAGCACCCATCTGAGACTGACCTCTTCCGGGCCTTTGGACACTATGACCTTGATGCTGCCCTTCAGGCAGGAAACAGGGCTGGTGCCTTTCTTCACCTGCATGGCCAGCTTCCTTCCCTGGCAGTGGAGAGGGCAGCCAACAGGTTCTAATGTCAGAGCCATCCTTTACCAGGTGGGCCTGCTTGTCCCTGTCTTGCCTGCCACATCACTCTACTTTTTGGAAGGCCATGGCTGATTAAAGAAGTTCTTGTAGTTTCCCAAGCAAAGTGGAATCTAGAAACAGTGAAAAAAGTTCAGATAACTTTGAATTGCATTCAAGAAGTACACTTCTTTCCCATTGTCCGTGGCTCTTGGAGTCTCCGTGATGCCAGGCTAGAGTCTGATTATATAATAATTCAAAATGGTAACTCCCAAGGTAATGCTTTCTTCCATTTCATCAGGTTCTTTTATCCCCACTGCACCCCCTCCCCTTCTCCCTTGCCTATCTGGATGGCTTCTCAGAAGCTCGGCCCTAGTCCTCCCTGCCTTGGCGGGGCCAGAGCCCACTACTGCTGAGGCAGCACTGCTCTCGTCAGCTGTGTTGCCTTTACCAAGTGTCTTCAGAGGGTTATGAGTTAGAGTAGCTGGCCTGGGGAGAGGGTGCCTCCCTGGGTTTGATCTTTAGGGTCTGACTTTCTGCAGAGAAGATGTTTTACAGATGTGTCAAAGCTGATGTAATGTGGTTGGGGGAGGAAATCCAGACCCAAAGTGTTTGTCAGCTGGGTGTACAACTGCCTATGTGATCCTCTGTCTTAAAATGATTTCTGTCTGTGCTGCGAAACAAAGACAAGGTGAGGTGTTTTTCTTTTTTGTAATAATATAAAGCTGTGTGTTTCTGATTGGATGATTCACTATGTGCATTGTTTTCTCCTAAGTGCTTTTAGTAGGTAGCAATCAAATGGTGTAAATAAGGATGTTCTTTTCCTGTTCCTTTTATTTTTTTCTCTCTTTATTATTCTTTTATTGACACCACTAGATAGCTGGCCACTGGTCATGCCATTGCCAAGATGAAGAAAAAGCAAACTACACTTTGGCCTCTGGTTCTGAATTGCAGAAATCAAAGGATGCAGTAGGTGTCTATGTCAGAATTATGGATCAGAGGCAGACAATGACGAGTGAAGATGGTTGTGAAGCCCTCTTCATTCCTGGAGGAGCCTGCATCTCATCTCTCAGGCCCTCTTTCTCTGTGGGTCTCATGAACAGCAGTGGGGACCATTGAGCACTTGAATGGCCTGTTTGTCTATGGGCTTGCAAAGGACAAGCAGAGTTCACAGAGCTCAGGATAGAAACATCAGAGCCTCCTCCACGGGCTTCAGTGAAACTCCGATGAACTGTACCTGAGGGAATTTTTTCTTAATCAACCCCTTGTGTGGATGAATACAGGAACAACAAAACTTGTGTACGTATGAAAGTCATGTTGTTAAGCAGTTATGATTTAAGAGGTTTTAAGTCAGAGGGATCATCTGGAGGCCGGCTTTGTGCAAGCTTTTACAGCCTTCTGCAGTGTCCTTACCCTGGCTGTACATGGGGAAGGGCTATGTGTAAACAAGTGCTTTAGAGGCCTCTGAGAGTTTTTAAAAATCAGACCCATTAACAAAAGAGAGGGTTTCTTAGGAACAAAGCAACTATTTTGATTACTGAGATCTCTGTTTTGTTTCTGTGAGTTACTCTGTATTCCTTTCCCCATTTCACTCTTGCCCTTCACATCTTAAATGTCCATAAGAAACCCTTGCATGTGTTGGTATTCTGAGGCATCCCGTGGGAAAGTCCCCTAAGTCCCATTTTGTACTTCAACAAAAAATGACTGTAGCAGAAGATAAGTGGAGACTTTTATGGATATACTACTCATTTTACTTAAAATCTACCCAGTTCAGACTTGAATGTAAACTTGTATTAGGGGAAAATTCTCCAAAGAGGGTTTTCTACATACACAGAAGCAGTTCAACTTCTCAAGTTAATTTTGATAAGCAGAATCTACTACTGGCCAGAGCGACAGGAGTGGCTAGGGGTTGCCAGCCAGTCCCTTTCTGATGATCAAGGCCCTGCACAGCAGGATGCCACAGGATGCCCCTGCCATCTAGCTGGAAGCATCAAAAGTCCCTCTGTATGACCCGGTGTGGGAAAGAGGGTTGTCAGGATGAGAAAGTGGGGCTGCAGGGTGACGATAAGACCACCTAACCAACTCCCCACCTCCACCACCACAATAAGAACAAAACTGTAGGGCTCTAAAGAGAGGGGGTGGTTTACAAGTTTATTGAGCATTTACTAGGAAGTGACATGGCGATGACCTCTGTACATGAGTTAGGTTCACTTTCATGTGGCCTCCCACTACAGAGATGCGTATGCCCAGAAGTCAGCTCTCTGAGGAGACAGGCTACTTTGGCCCCAGTTTGAAGCATTCTGTCCAAATGTCCTGAGCTCTCCAGCAGTCAAGTAGTGAATGGATACCATACTTATTATGGTTGATGAAAAAAGGCAGAGCTTATCCTCAATTTTTTTTAGGGAAGAGAAGGAATAAAATAAAAGTGGTTCAAGCTGGGCATGGTGGCTCACACCTGTAATTGCAGCACTTTGGGAGGCTGAGGCAGGCAGATCACTTGAGGTCAGGAGTTCAAGACCAGCCTGGCCAACAGGGTGAAACCCCATCTCTACTAAAAATACAAAAATTACCCAGGCGTGATGGTGGGCGCCTGTAATCCCAGCTACACAGGAAGCTGAGGCAGGAAAATTGCTTGAACCGGGGAGGCGGAGATTGCAGTGAGCCAAGATTGTGCCACTTCATTCCAGCCTGGGCGACAGAGCGAAACTCTGTCAAAGGAAAGGAAAGAAAAGAAAAAAAAAAAGAGAGAGAGAAAAGAAGAGGGGAGGGGAGGGAAAGGGAAGGGAGGGGAGGGGAGGAGAGGAGAGCAGATTGGGGGGGCTCATGTTCTGAGAGAAAGGAATAATAGCATTTGTCTAGTACATTCCAGTTTACAAAGTGCCTGATATACATGATCTCCTTTAATCTTCACCCAATCCTGTAAAGTAGGTGTTAGATCCCCATTTTGCAAGTAAATAAGTGGAGGCTTAGAGCAGTTAACCGCTGGCAGGTAGGTAGCTGGTTCCATAGCACATCATTTTCCTGCGGCATCACGGCATGGTGCCGAAGAAGACAGCTGTGGATGTCGTTGACTCAGATGTGCCTCCGTTGGGGTGGGAGAACCCAGGGATGGGGGTCAGCAAGCCAGGAACTCCGCAGGGTTTGTTTTTAAAACTCTGCTGGACAGAAGTGGAGGAGGAAAGAATCTAACCATATGACTTTTATAAAAATCCTTTCACTTTTCCCCTCCCCATTTGAAAACTCTTTTTAAGAGTGAATGTAGCTGAAACACAACTGTGTCCAGCCATTTTCCTGTCTCCACATTCTTCCAGATGTGTGACAGAGGAGGGACTCTGCTCAATTCCAGTTGTGGGTCCCCTTGGAGTTTACATCACTTGTTTTTCAATTCTTGGTTTTCTGTTCCCTTCTACCAAAACCCAGCATAGGACTCAGTGTACACTTACTTTAAAACAAAAACTCACATTTCTTAGCTGCAGGTGATGGCCTCAGTCATTTTAATACAGCCTGGAATGAGTTTGCTTATTACCCAGTCACTTTCGTAGTGAATGTTCAAACCCCAAAGCAAATGTTTGCATCTCCTTGTCCATAAAGGAGAAAGCCAGGTTATAGGAGAAAGAGAGAGAAAGGCGCATGTCTGTTTGCACAGAGAGAGGCAATTTTGTCTACCTTTCGAGAATCAGTTATAAACAGAAGGGCCTCTTAGGATTTTGAGCTCTCCTGACAATGAAGGAAAAGCTCTCTTGAGTATACAAGTTCCACACTCATTACCTTTCAGTGGTGACCCATCACCCACTACAATTTGTTGAAGGAAGGGAGTGTCAGAGATATGCTTTAAAGTTGTACTTTAGGCTGAAATTCTCTCTGTATTTGGACCTGCAGATGTTGTGTACAGAACCGATGCATGGCAGGGTCAGGAAGCTAGGAGAGTGAAGGCGCTTGTGGAGACAGCTCTGTAGCAAATGAAACACGGAAGCCTCCGGGAATGTGTTTGTGTCACCAGCAGCAGGCATTTCCCTGTCCTCCCCACCCCCAGTCTCCACATCCCCAGCAGCCTCTTCCAGAAGCATGTCAGGGAGACGGACAGGTGCTCTCCTTCTCGTGCACCACATCCAAGTCCACCCACCGTGGACGCAGTGTGACTAAATGCTGGCCTTGAAGAGAAACCCTCAGCCAGCTTGTCTGTTGTCCAGGTCCCTCAGTGTCTCTGGTTTCCCTGCCCTGCATAATTTAAGCATTAGTGCCAAATACATCTGTCATATTCCTCTCCCTGGAGACTGCGAAATGTCCAGACTTTTTCAGACTAGTGGAGGGAAGGAATGTTACATAACTAAGTGGAGGCCTGGAACTGTCAGGATTTGACAGGGCTGGACCAGAGACCCTTCCGCCTCTGCCTAGTGTGTCTGTCAGGCAGGCAGCAGCCATCAATCCAAGAATGAGCCATGGCGGCAAGCACTGTGTGGAGAAAGGAACCCAGCCGAGGTCTGAGTTTCAGACAGAAACTGGGGAGTTGGGACATCTTCTCTGTGCCAGGCTTCATTGACACCATCGCTCCCCACAGCAGCTCCTTGGGGCAGGGGGCTCACCTGTGCAGCCACCCTTACTCACAGTAGCATCCCATTCTTCACACTGCAACCCCCCAGCACTGTGGACCCTTCCAGGGAGGTGACAGGAGCCAGCAGACACATGACATTCCCAGAAAGCCCCATCTTATCCAGACAGGCTTCCCTCCATACTTCTTTCCACAGTTTTACCCTCAGAAAAATGTTGGCTGCAGTCTTCCCTTCCT
This sequence comes from Homo sapiens, assembly GCF_000001405.40. Taxonomy (NCBI): domain Eukaryota; kingdom Metazoa; phylum Chordata; class Mammalia; order Primates; family Hominidae; genus Homo; species Homo sapiens. Next base: position 36,928,604 of record NC_000006.12, read on the forward strand.
TCACCTCCACCCTGGGGAAGGGTCAGTAACCAATGCCGAGGGTCGGGGAAGGAGGAGTCACAGGCAAGACAGGGACTCAGCGCAGTGCTCCCGCCATCATCGGGGACAGGTGCCAGGGTCAGCTGCAGCTCTCCTTCCGGGAGCAGGGTGTGGTGGCCCTGGATGGTCCCAGGGAGCAGAGGGAGGCAGGCAGCTGTCACAGCCACAGCGGCTCTGAATGGCTTGAGCTTTTAGTATGTGTTCAAGTGCAGGATACTACAAACTGGTAAAGACTTCCACCATGTGAAGAATGTATGTAAATTAAAGTTTATTGTAATGAAGGTTTTTACTTTTTGCAATTAAAAGTGTTGGTTGATAAGAACTTTCCTCTTGTTGGTGTCATTCTTTAATTTCCAGTTTTCTCTTGTTTCCCCTTCTCCCATGACATGAGAGACTTCTAGCCATATCTCGCTCATGAGGCCGGCCTGTGGGGCTCCTCTGTGCCCGCCTGGCTTTGGTCTCTACCATTTGCACCCAGCACTGTCCTTGCATTCACAGCCTCCACTTTCTCCGCACCCCAGACGTTACCCACAGCGGCTTCTCATCTGCTATTCCCATGAATTCTCAAATCTCAGTCCCCCTGTTAATACCCTCCCCTGTCTGTGCACTTCACCCAGAATGCAGGTGAGCCCCTGGACGCCTTTTTTTTTCTCACCAGCTTGCTGCACACAGCCCAGATGCCCTCCCAGTGATGCCTCACCCACGGCGTCCTTGGTTCTCGCAGGACGGCCAGGCATGTGTGCGGGACTCCAGGCCCCTTGCTGGCTCACCCCAGCTGCCCCCAGATGACAGGCTGCTCTCAGCACTTAGTTAACTCGGTGGATTTCAGTCAGACATTTTTGTGTGTGTTCATTTTTTAGCCATTATATATATATATACTTTCATATAAATGCATAAATATGACCATTTTTTATATGCTGTTAAGTGTCCTCCTGTTTAATTTTTCTCTGTTACTTGCTGCCCCTTCCTCTTCCCCATGTTACCCCACCCCTTTTCCTAGTCAGGTAACTGTGATATATACACAGCCATACTCTGCCGTGTATTTTTCCATAATTTCCTCCATGCTCTCTAATCATAAACAAGGTTTTGTTACTGCTTTACCGAAAATGGGATCATATTACAGGCCCTTTCTTTGTCCTGCTTTTCTTACTCAACTCCTCACAGAGTTCTCTTCAGGTCAGCTGGTAGGGCTCCAGTCCCTTCTTCTTGATGGTTAATACTCCGTGGCGTGGGTGTGCTGTCATTTATTCTGCTGTTGTCTTATTGATGGTAAGTCACATCCTGTTAAATGATTAGTCGGGCTATAAGTCAAGAAGTCTGGAGTCCACTTTAAAATACTTGTTTTTACAAAATGTCCATTCTTGTTTGTTCCAACCCTAATATATTTTATTCAGGAATAAGATATATTATTCCTTTCCACAATTCTGTTCATTTACCTGCTTGAAAACTGGAATTCAGCCCTCCCCAAAAACGGGGCGGGGGGTAAGGGCTTGATTCCCTGTTAAAACATGATGAGATAGCCTGTTTTCAGTCCCCTTCTTTCTCCACCCCACTATAGCATTTGATACTGACTTGTGGAGAACCCGTCCCTCCCTCCCTTGGCCTCTGTGGTACTCACTACCCCTTCCTGGACCTCTTCTTCCTACTCTGTCTCCTTTGTAGGATCGTCCTCTTCTGCCTGTCTCTGAAATTTTGGTCTCTCCTATGGTTCTGCCTGCAGTTTCTCCCTGGGATATCTCAACTCCATGCTTCACCCTCCAGCCATGGGCAGATCACCTCCAGTCTATGCTCAGCCCACACCTCTCACTTGAGCAGTAGCCCTGTGCATCCACGTGATGGGAGGTCATCTCTGCCAACTCCAAAGCACCTCTACATCACCATGTCCAAAAAGTCTATGGCAGCCGCAAGGGGTTCCTCTCCTTTTTCTTAGCCTCTACTTCTGACCAGGACCAAGCTCAGGACAATCCTGCCTCCTTATCACATATCGAGCTCCACTGCTGCTGTCTCTGTCTAAGAGCTTGCTTCACTCTTAGACTCTGCCAGTAATTACCTCACTGGTTTCTCGCCGCACATTCCCCATCCCAATTCACCATCCATGTAGCTGCCCTGATGTCTGGTCACCTCCCTTCCTTGCTCCTCAGTGACTCTCCATTGCCCACAGGAGAAGTCCTGGCCACCACTCCAGCCTCATCTCCTTTGCTTCCCCTTCTCATCTCCTGTGCCCCTCCTCTACTGGACCATCCTAATTCCTGGAAACGTCCAGGCTGGGGTTTTTGTTGTTTGTTAATTTTTGGAGCAGTTCTAGGTTCACAGCAAAATTGAATGGAAAGTACGGCGAGTTCCCATATATCCCCTGTTCCCGCATGTGCACAGCCTCCCCCACTATCAGCATCCCTACCAGAGTGGTGCATTTGTTACAGTCAATGAACCTACGTTGACAGGTCATTATCGCCTGAAGTCTATAGTTTATATTAGGTTCACTTCACTGTTGGTGTTTTACATCCTATATGGGTTTGGACAAATGTATGTTGTCCTGTGTTATATGTCTGCCATTATAGTATCATACAGAGTAGTTTCACTGCCCTAAAAATCCTCTATGCTCTATCTGATCATCCCTCTCTCCCCACTAACCCCTGGCAACCACAGATCTTTTACTGTCTCCATAGTTTTGCCTTTTCCAGAATGTTCAAATAGTTGGAATCATACAGCCTGTAGCCTTTTTAGACTGGCTTCTTCCACTTAGTAATAGGCACATAAGTTTCCTCAACATCTTTTCATGGCTCAATAGTTCATTTCTTTTTAGTGCCAAATAATAGTCCATGGTCTGGATATACCAGAATTTATGTATCCATCTACTGAAGGACATATTGTTTGCTTCCCAAGTTTTGGCAATTGTAAATAAAGCTACTAAAACCATTCATGCGCAGGTTTTTGTGTGGACAGAAGTTTTCAGTTCATATAACTAAATACAAAGGAGTACAATAATTGGATCATATGGTAAGAGTATGTTTAGCTTTTTTTTTTTTTTTTTTTTTTTTTTTTTTGAGATGGAATCTTGCTCTGCCACCCAGGCTGGAGTGCAGTGGTGCAATCTCAGTTCACTGCAAGCTCCACCTCCTGGGTTCACACCATTCTCCTGCCTCAGCCTTCTGAGTAGCTGGGACTACAGGCACCCGCCACCACGCCCGGCTCATTTTTTGTATTTTCAGTAGAGACGGGGTTTCACCGTGTTAGCCAGGATGGTCTCGCTCTCCTGACCTCATGATCTGCCCGCCTCGGCCTCCCAAAGTGCTGGGATTACAGGTGTGAGCCACCGCACCCGGCCTAAGTATGTTTAGCTTTTTATGAAACCATTGAATTGTCTTCCATAGTGGCTGTACCATTTTACAGTCCTACCAGCAATGAGAGTTCCTGTTGCTCCACAGCCTCACCAGCATGTGTCAGTGTTTTGGATTTGGGCCATTCTAATAGGTTTGTAACACCTTACTGCTTTAATTTGCAATTCCCTAATGACATACGATGTTGAACATGTTTTCTTATTTACCATCTATATATCATTTTTGGTGAGGATTCCAGATCTTTTGCTCATTTTTTTTTTATTATAGTCTGGTTGGTTGTTTTCTTACTATTGAGTTTTAAGAGTTCTGTGGCTTGTCTTCTCATTTCTTGACATTGTCTTTTCCAGAGCAGAAGTTTTTAATTTCAGCAAAGTCCAGCTTATCATTGGTTTCTTCATGGATGATGCCTTTGGTGTTGTATCTAAAAGGTCACCTCTATAACCAAGGTCATCTAGGGCCTTCTCCTGTGTTAACTTCTAAGAGTTTTATACTTTTACATTTTATACTCACATTTAGATTCATTCTGAGCGAATTTTTATGGAAGGTATAAGGTCTATGTCTAGATTCATTTTTTGCATGTTAATGTCCAGTTGTTCTAGCATATTGCCTTTGCTCCTCTGTCAAAAATCAACACTTTGGCTGGGTGCGGTGGCTCACACCTGTAACCCCAGCACTTTGGGAGGCCAAGGCGGGCAGATCACGAAGTCAGGAGTTTGAGACCAGCCTGGCCAACATGGTGAAACCCCATCTCTACTAAAAATACAAAAATTAGCTGGGCATGGTGGCGGGCACCTGGAATCCCAGCTACCCGGGAGGCTGCAGCAGGAGAGGCATTTGAACTTGGGAGGTGGAGGTTGCAGTGAGCTGAGATCGAGCCATTGCACTCCAGCCTGGGCAACATGGCGAGACTCCATCTCAAAAAACAAAAAAAAAAAATCAGTATCTTTATGTGGATCTGTTTCTAGGCTCTCTCTCTCGTGGTCTTTTGATATATTTGTCTGTTCTTTTGCTGATAGGACGCTGTCTCGATCACTATAGCTTTATAGTAAATATTGAAGTCAGAGTGGTGTCAGTCTTCTACCTTGTTCTTCTTCAGTATTAAGTTGGATATTCTGAGTCTTTTGCTTCTTCATTTAAACATTAGAATCCGTTTATTGATATCCACAAAATAGCTTGTGTTTGATTTTGATTGGGATTGCATTGAATCCATAGATCAAATTGCATCCAGGCGGTTTTAATTAGAAGTTATAATTCCTAGCCCATGATGTTTTTGAAATTCAGTATGAATTTTTGCTTAGTTTGAATTCCATCTTATTACTGCACATTCCTGTGACATGACACATGTCCTTTAGGCTTTCTTACTAAATCAAACTGACAAGCCTCTAGACACCATGCTGAAGACAGACATTTCACCAATCTTATTTTTTCAGAATAATGACTCTATTATTTTTTTTAAAATAATACATTCTTATTATAAAGAACTGAAGACAGTTTGGGTGATCTTATGGAAACCTCCACTCAGTGCCAGGTGCGGTAGCTTACAGCTGTAATCCCAGTGCTTTGGGAGGCCAAGGGGAGAGACCGAGAGTTTGAGACCTACCTGGGCAACATAGTAAGACCCTGTCTGTACAAAAAAAAAAAAAAAAAAAAAGAAAAATTTAATTAGCTGGGTGTGGTGACGCACACCTGTAGTCCCAGCCTCAGCCTCATCGCTTGAACCCAGGAGGTTGAGACTGCAGTGAGCCATGATTGCAACACTGCACTCCAGCCCAGGCAACAGAGCGAGACCTTGTCTCTTAAAAACAAAAAACCAAAAACCACCCAGAGATAACTACTAACATTAGGTGAACAGCATTCTAGGTATGTCTAAGGTATTTCTAGGTAGAATGCTAAATAGAAATGCTTATATTAAAATGCTATTTTAAAAAGAAAAGTTCTGAATCTAATTTTATGTGAATCTAACAGGAGAAAAAGAAACTGAAGTAGATGTTTCTTCCCCACAAAAATTAGTAGTTCCCAAAAGATCTCCCTGAAGTTAATATTATGAGAAACATTAAGAAACTAGAATTGTTCTTAATAAGGTTTCCTTTTTAGATGGCATAATCCAAGGCTCTAAAGATAAGGAAATAGCTTGCTCTTTCTCCTCAATTTGTTTATTCCTATATTGATTTTGTTTTTAAAGTCTATGCATTTCCTTCTGCTCTGAAACCTTAATTCTCACCACAGTCTTTTTTTCTTTCTTTTTGAAACAAAGTCTCACTATGTTGTTCTCACCAGCCTCAAAGAATCCTCCAGCCTTAGTTTCTCAAGTAGCTGGGACTTCATTTTATTTTATTTTTATTTATTTTTTTGAGGTAGAATCTCACTTTGTCACCTAGGCTGGAGTGCAATGGCACAATCTCAGCTCACTGCAGCTCTGCCTCCCGGGTTTGAGCGATTCTCCTGCCTCAGTCTCCTGAGTAGCTGGGATTACAGGCAAACACCATCGCACCTGGCTAATTTTTGTATTTTTAGTAGAGACGGGGTTTCACCCTGTTGGCCAGGCTGGTCTTGAACTCCTGAGCTCAGGTGATCTGCCCACCTCAGCCTCCCAAAGTGCTGGGATTACAGATGTGAGCCACCCCGCCCGGCCTTCATTTTATATTTAAACTGATTTTGTGGCTCACCACCAGTATTTTTGCCATTGCTTCTTCATTTCTGAGTTGTTATTTTTAAACTCTTGATTGAAGTCCAGCCACAGTGGCTCATGCCTGTAATCCCAGCACTTTGGGAGGTCTGGGCGGGCAGATCATTTAAGTTCAGGAGTTCGAGACCAACCTGGCCAACATGGCAAAACCCCATCTCTATAAAAAATACAAAAATTAGCTGGGCGTGGAGGCAGGCGCCTGTAATCCCAGCTATTTGGGAGACTGAGGCAGGAGAATAGCTTGAACCCAGGAGGCGGAGGTTGCAAAGAGCAGAGATCACACCACTGCACTCCAGCCTGGGCAACAGAGCGAGATTCCGTCTCAATAAACAAACAAACAAACAAACAAACTCTTGATTGGCTGAATTGCACCGTTAGGAATGACTCAGGAATGGCTCATGAGTTCTGTATTTTCTGCGTTAGGGAATGTTTCTGTGGTCTTTATAGTTGTGCACACCTTGGCTGAATAAAATATTCTTGCATCACACCTTCTTTTGCTCAGAATTTGGATATATTTCTCCATTGTCATCTGGTGTTGACTGTTGGTAGGGACAACACTGAGGCCAGCCGAAGAGTCCCATCTAAGAGGATACCCTCTAACGAGATATTCCCTTGGCTTTTTCTTTCTTTTTTTTCTTTCTTTTCTTCCTTTCTCTTTCTCTTTTTAAATCTATATGTCTGAATAGTTCTTTCTTGTTCTTTATCAGTTTTTCCTGGAACAAAGTGTGCTTTTTAGAGGTGCAATTCTATTCTTCATTCTAGGGAAGATGTCTTGTATTTTCTTGATGAATACTTTTTCTTTTTCATGTGTTAGGTTTTCTGTTTTAAATTCTATTTTTATTCTTTTTTTCATTGTCTTGATATTTTTTATACCTTTCATAGCTATCTCTCTTTTTAATGCATGTCTCTTTTCTCTTCATTCACCATGATTATCTCAGGCCTTTCCTTGATATCAGATTGATTTTTAGCCATATCTGTTCATTTTCTTGCTATTTCTCATGTATGAGTTTTGAAGAAGTGCCGTCAGTTTCTTTCCTTGTTATTTCATCTGTTTCAGCTTTGAGTGCCTACTTTCTTGAATTCATGTTTTTTTTACATTTTTCTATAGCTGAGACTACTACTGGGAATTTTTTTTCCTGTTCCTTGGATTACATTTTCTTCTGGACTTGGCTCTCATCAATCACATGCATGTTCCTTCCTTTCACTGTTTTCCTTTCATATGTTTGTGTATCTGCCATGTCATTTCTTTTATATGTTTTGTACTTCTGCCTCTGGCCAGACGTTTTGTTTGCTTCTGTAAAATATGAGTACATTATTAATTCCAAAAGTATCTGTAGCCACTACTTAGATTTAACAAATGTTAACATTTTACTGTATTTTAAAAGCATTGCTTCATGCAACCCATTTAGTACTTGCCATGAAACGCCCCCATCTTTACTCTGTTGTAACTGAGGTATCTCCTCAACAGGTAAACAACTGAAACTGTACTTCCCTTCCTGACCTCCAGTTGACTTTCCCTTTCTTCACTCTGTGCTAATCAGGAGCTAAGATTTTCTTAACCACCTACCATTTTCTATCTTCACTTTTTTTTTTTTAATCCTTATTTTTCACCCCCACTAAGGAAAATTACTGAGAACCAAGTTAGCAAAAACCTAGCAAATGGGCTGGGCTTGGTGGCTCATGCCTGTAATCCCAGCACTTTGGGAGGCTGAGGTGGGTGGATCACCTGAGGTTGGGAGTTCAAGACCAGCCTGACTAACATGGAGAAACCCCATCTCTACTAAAAATACAAAAGTAGCCGGGTGTGGTGGAGCATGCCTGTAATCCCAGCTACTCGGGAGGCTGAGGCAGGAGAATTGTGTGAACCCGGGAGGTGGAGGTTGTGAAGAGCCGAGATCGCTCCATTGCACTCCAGCGTGGGTAACGAGCGAAACTCCATCTCAAAAAAAAACAAAAAAAAACAAAAAAAAAAACCTAGCAAATATAAGAAACACAGCACTAATCTAAAAACCAACTTGATAACCCCTTCCTTTTCAGCCACTCAGGCACATACCCAGACACAGAGCCACTTGCTCTTCAGGAGCCCACCCACCAACGTGGAGGCCTGGGGACTTGGGAACCCGAAGCCTCATTACAAATCCCAGCTCTGGCATACCAGGAGAGTGACTTTGGAGGGTTCTGCCAATCCCTCTGCTCCTTGGTTTCCTCACCCCTAAATCAATGCAGCAAATAAATGCCATCTTCAAGGGGTCAGCGTAAAGATACGTGAGACGGTGTGGACGAAGTGCCCAGCTCTGTCCCAGCACAGAGCAGATACTTGACGCTGGGCTGCTGTCCCCTTTCCCTCTTATCATCAGCCTCCATCCCCCAGTGTTTGCTTCTGCCCTCCTCTGTGGACAGCCCTCCTCCAAGCCACCAATGGCAGAGCTGGACTAGACCCAGAAGATTCTCTGACCACCCCCTTCTTCCTTATGAATAGGGAAGAAGCTGAGGCCCATAGCTGGTGGCTGAATGAGGAGAACTCACCCAGTTTTCTCTTCAGTGTGTGGAAACACCATCCGCGTCTGCTGCCTGACCCCCTCATAGTCCTCTCCTTACCCCATTCCATCCTGAACCCTCTGTAAAAATCACCCAGAGGATATCCACACAGCCCCAAGCTTAACCCTTATCCTCTTTGCTGACAACTCCCAGCATTCAATGCTTTTCTTCACCTGTTTGGCCTAGGTTTGAGGGATGAGGACACAGCTCATTCATTTGGTTGCACCCATGCCTAGTTCCTTCTAGAGGCTGGGCCCTGAGGTGCTCTCTGGAGGTGCTCTGTTTCCCTCCTGCCATCTGGTTCCCTCAGGCAGCTCACAGGAGTGGAGGCAGCCACATTCTCCTTCCACTAACACAGATCCCTTTTTGGCTGAGGACAAAACTGAGGCTGTACAGCCCTAACTGCATGCTCAGGAGGCCTCGGAGAGAACTGTCCTGGCCCAGAAGATACTGCTCAGCTCCCAGCCACCCCACACCCTCTGTGCCTGCCAGTCTCCAGGCATCCCAAGTCCAGAGCAGAGCAAAGCATCAAGGGCTGTGCGTGATGGGCTTTTGTCCAGATGTCCAACTTTGGGCCAGAAAGGAAGATGGTCCCGGCCCCCTAAGGTTTTATAATCTTGTTGAGACACAGGGGCAAGTGTAAGGTGCATTGTAAGAGCTACATATTGGGAAGTAAGATGCTAAGAATTAAACCAAAAAATGATACAAAATGATTCCGAACAGAGATATAGAAAGTCACCTTAAGAAATGATTCCAAGATTCAGTGGTCAGAATGGAGCTACAGCACAGAGGAATGTTAAAGACAGTGCCCATCAGAAGACGGGGACGGTGGCCACCAATGGAAGCCCAGAAAGGGGAAACCTCATGGGCAGAGGCTGGCAGTGGCCATCTGATTGGGAGACAGTACCCCGGGGTGGTTGGCTTCAGTGTCCTGGCCCTGGCCAGGCCTACTCTTGTTGGACGGATGGTGCCACAGGCAGCGATGCCTCAGATTCTATAGCAAGCCTCAGATTCAACAAGCCTCAGATTCTATAGCAAGCAGAACTTTCCTCTGCCTTCCTGCTCACCAGGCAACCTTCTAATAAGTTGGTATCTTGTCTGTTTGGGCTGCTATAACAAAATTCCATAAACTAATTACTTATAAACAACATAAATTTATTTCTCACAGTTCTGGAGGCCAGAGATCCAGGCACCAGCAGATGCGATGTCTGGTGAGGGCCTGCGTTCTGGTTGATAGATGGCAATCTCCTCACCGTGTCCTCACATTGCAGAAGGGGAGTGGCAGCTCTCTGGGGTCTCTTTTATAAGGGCACAAATCCCATCTATGGGGGCTCTGCCCTCATGACCTAATCACCTCCCAAGGGCCCCTCCTGTTAGTACCATCACCTTGGAGATGGGGTTTCAACATATGAATTATGGAGGGATGCAAACATTTAGACTAAACAGTTGGCTTCCCACACAGTGTGCCTCTGGGAGAGAAGTGTAATCTGCACCCCGACATTCCTGCGGATGGAGTCATCAGTCTCTTGCATGGTGGTGCTGACAGGATCGCTCACCTCCAGGCTCTCAGCAGTGATCCTGTGACGCAAGGGCTGGCCCTGCACTGGGGTTGATCTTCCCACTTCCAGGCCCCCTTTTCAGGCCTCCTGGGAACCAGCCACCCCCAGCCCCCCACTCCTGTTGAACCCCAGCCATAATCCCAACCCTGATCTTCCTCTCTGGATTTCAAAGCTTCATCCATGCTGAGCTGCAAGGGGAATGGACAGAACTGGAAACTGGGGCAGACTGGAGTTGCCAGCCTAGGCTGGGCTGTGAGCTCCATAGAGCAGATGCCGGGCCATCCTGCCCCGGCTCTAAGCCCAGCCCCAGGCCAGGGCCGGCACCTGGTAGGCTCTTCATGAGTGCTTCCTGAATGAATGCTGCAGAATGAAAATCCACCCAGAGGAGGCCAGGCCTGAACTGGGCCCGGAAGGATCTGAGTGGATTGAAGTATGTGGAGGAGGGTCAGGAAGCAAAAACATTCCAGAATGAGGGCATGGGGGCTTCCCATCAAAAATGAAGGCACAGAGGTAGGAAGAGTGGGATGTGTGCAGAGGACCAGAAGGAGGTTGGCTCAGTGGAGGCTGAGAGAGGATGCTGGGAAACACAGGCAGTCATAAGGTAGGGCCCGATGGTGGGGGCCTGAGGCCCAGCAAGGGGCTGAGCTCTGATGCTCCGGGCAATGGGAGCCATGCTGGGTTCCTGAGTGGGAAAGACACAGGATGAAAGTGATATTCCAGAGTCATCAGCCCAGCTGGCTGGGCTGACAGGTGCCAGGGGAGGAGTGGGTGTGGGGTCAGGGGTGGTGGCACAAGAAACTTGGGCTGGGTAGGCACCTAGGAGGCTACCGAGTCACCTGGGCATGGGGTCATGGGACCGTCCACCATGGTGGGAAATGAAGACATTAGGAGAGGCGTGTGGAGATATATACAAAAAGATTGCTGCAGCATCATTTGTATCAGCAAAAAAACAGAAACAAGGAAAAGGAAGAGCCCCTATGTCCAACAGTAGGAAAATGGATAAACAGGCAGCCGCATATTGATACGACGGAACACAGCAGGGAGAATGAGTGGCGTACATCTGCATGCCTCGACATCAACAAATCTCAAAAACGAAGAAAGGAAAAAAACAAGGTTTAGCAGGGTCTAGGCTGCGCTGTTCAATGTGGTAGCCACTAGCTACACACGGCTATTTAAACTTCAACTAAAATTCAAAATGCAATTCTTCAGTCACACTAGCTGCATTTCAAGTGCTCAAAAGCCATGTGCCGTCTGTGGCTGCTGTATTGGACGGCAGACAGAGAACATTTCCAGCATCACAGAGAGTTCTGTTGGACAACACTGATGTTTTGAAACACGTAAAACAACATTACCTATTGTGTATGGATACAGAAGAGGCTCACAGGGTTTCCATGAACAGGTGTCGCCTCAGTTGGCGGCGGAGCTGACAGCGGGATGGTGTTGAGGGGTGGTCAGGGTGGTGGGAACAGGGGAGGCAAGGCTGTAGCTCCGAATACAAAAGGGCAGAGGCAGGGAGCCGCTCGACAATCCAGGAAGTGCCAGGGACTGCGATGGGGATGGGAGACACTTCTAGTCTCTGTGAGGATCCCAGACATAAGCCCTGTAATGACAGCAAAGACTAGCCTTTAGGTGGGGCCATTCCCAAATTGTCCACCTCATGATGACTTCCCAACAAGGCTGGGCAAAAGGAGTCTTGGAAAGGGTCAGACCTGCCCAGGTGGTTGGTCCATGACAAGCTGCAGACCTCACATCTAGGACTTGCCTCAAACAAAGTGAGGGCTAAGGAGAAGGGCAGAGAAGCAGAAGCAGAGAAACCAGAGGAGGAGCAATACCACAATTCAGGTCGAGACCACAGAAGCAATTCAGGAGAGAGGGAGAAGAAAAGGAGGCGGGGTGGGCGCAGCTGTCTCAGAAATACAGGTGTGAGGCCGGGCATGGTGGCTCACATCTGTAATCCCAGCACCCTTGGGAGCCCAAGGCAGGAGAATCACTTGAGCCCAGGAGTTCCAGATCAGCCTGCAAAACCCCATCTCTTCAAAAAATACAAAAATTAGTTGGGTGTGGTACACACCTGTAGTCCCAGCCATTTGGGAAGCTCAGGCAGGAGAATTGCTTGAGCTGGGGAGGACAAGGCTGCAGTGAGCTGAGACTGCACGGAAGCACTCCAGCCCAGGTGACAGAGCAAAACCCTGCCAAAAGAGCAAAGAAAGAAAGAACAAACCACTCTCACTCTCACTCTCACTCTGCCTCTCCCTCTCCCCACGGTCTCCCTCTCCCTCTCTTTCCACGGTCTCCCTCTGATGCCGAGCCGAAGCTGGACTGTACTGCCGCCATCTCTGCTCACTGCAACCTCCCTGCCTGATTCTCCTGCCTCAGCCTGCCGAGTGCCTGCAATTGCAGGCGCGCGCCGCCACGCCTGACTGGTTTTAGTATTTCTTTGGTGGAGACGGGGTTTCACTGTGTTGGCCGGGCTAGTCTCCAGCTCCTAACCGCGAGTGATCTGCCAGCCTCGGCCTCCCGAGGTGCCGGGATTGCAGATGGAGTCTCATTCACTCAGTGCTCAATGTTGCCCAGGCTGGAGTGCAGTGGCGTGATCTCAGCTCGCTACAACCTCCACTTCCCAGCTGCCTGCCTTGGCCCCCCAAAGTGCCGAGATTGCAGCCTCTGCCCGGCTGCCACCCCGTCTGGGAAGTGAGGAGCATCTCTGCCTGGCCACCCATCGTCTGGGATGTGAGGAGCCCCTCTGCCTGGCTGCCCAGTCTGGGAAGTGAGGAGCGCCTCTTCCCAGCCGCCATCCCGTCTAGGAAGTGAGGAGCGTCTCTGCCCGGCCGCCCATTGTCTGAGATGTGGGGAGCGCCTCTGCCCCGCCGCCCAGTCTGGGATGTGAGGAGCGCCTCTGCCCAGCCACGACCCCGTCTGGGAGGTGAGGAGCGTCTCTGCCCGGCAGCCGCCCCGTCTGAGAAGTGAGGAGCCCCTCCGCCCGGCAGCCGCCCCGTCTGGGAAGTGAGGAGCGTCTCCGCCCGGCCAGCCGCCCCGTCCGGGAGGGAGGTGGGGGGCAGCCACCGCCCGGCCAGCCGCCCCGTCCGGGAGGTGGGGGGCGCCTCCGCCCGGCCGCCGCCCCATCCGGGAGGTGGGGGGCGCCTCTGCCCGGCCGCCCCTTCTGGGAAGTGAGGAGCCCCTCTGCCCCGCCGCCACCCCTTCTGGGAGGTGTACCCAACAGCTCATTGAGAACGGGCCATGATGACAATGGTGGTTTTGTCGAATAGAAAAGGGGGAAATGTGGGGAAAAGAAAGAGAGATCAGGTTGTTACTGTGTCTGTGTAGAAAGAAGTAGACATGGGAGACTCCATTTTGTTCTGTACTAAGAAAAATTCTTCTGCCTTGGGATGCTGTTGATCTATGACCTTACCCCCAACCCGGTGCTCTCTGAAACATGTGCTGTGTCCACTCAGGGTTAAATGGATTAAGGGCGGTGCAAGATGTGCTTTGTTAAACAGATGCTTGAAGGCAGCATGCTCGTTAAGAGTCATCACCACTCCCTAATCTCAAGTACCCAGGGACACAAACACTGCGGAAGACCCCAGGGTCCTCTGCCTAGGAAAACCAGAGACCTTTGTTCACTTGTTTATCTGCTGACCTTCCCTCCACTATTGTCCTATGACCCTGCCAAATCCCCCTCTGCGAGAAACACCCAAGAATGATCAATTAAAAAAAGAAAAAAAAGAAAAAGAAAAAACACCCTAGAGAAAGAACATAGCACTAGTCCCAGCATGGTGACTCATGCCTGTAATCCCACACTTTGGGAGGCTGAGGCAGGAGGGTAACTTGAGCCCAGAAGTTCAAGACCAGCCTGGGCAACATAGCAAAACCCCATCTCTATAATTTTTTTTTAAAAAATTAGCTGGGCATAATGATGAATGTCTCTAATCCTGCCTAACTGGGAGGCTGAGCCCAGGAGTTGAAGGCTGCAGTGAGCCATGATCACACCCCTGTACTCTAGCCTGGGTAACAGAGTGAAATCTCGTCTCAAAAACAAAATGAAACACAAACCACATAGCACCTTTGGCTACAGAGGATTCTATCAGATACAATACCACCGAAATAAGCAGGCAATAAAAAATTATAAAACACAAAAGGATATCCTCTAGTATGAGAATTAATAGACACAATAGGATGGCTAAAACCAAGAATTTCAGATAAAACAAAATCTAAAAAAACAATATAAAAGTAAGCCTAGGACAATTTAAAAATAAAGAGAACTGTTTAAAACTAGAGAGAAAGACTTTGAAAAAAATATTTAAAGTTACTAAAGGTATGCCTAGAAACAAATCACTGAAATTTACAATTCAATCATTTTGTAACCACCAGGTCATCAGAAGTTAGAAAAAATGGCAATAACAAGTGTTGCTAAGGATATGGAGCAATGAGAACTCACTTCACACACTCCTGGCTAGGGGTGCGATTTGGAAAAACACGCATCACCTAGTAAGTTGAAGGTGCCCATAACCTCTTATCCCCGCACAATTCTGCTTTTGTGCATTTAGATAAATACCCTAGAGACTCTTGCCCTTGTGTAGTAAGAGCTGCACAAGAATTTTTATAAAAGTGTAATCATTCAGAACTGGCTTCAGCACTAAAGAAGAAAGGTATAATCAACAAGAAATTTTAAAGAATGTAGTATAGTCACACAATGCAATACTGTATAGCAAGGGAAAAGAATAAAGATACCAATTTGGATGCATCTCAGGAATAAAAAAAAAAAAAAAGAACAAACCAAAGAAAGAGAGAGAAAGAAAAAAGAGAGAAAAAGAAAACAGAAAGAAGGAAACAGTGAGAGAGAGAAAGAGGAGAAAAAGAAGGAAAGAATGAAAGGAAGGAAGGAAAAGAAGAAAGAGAAAGAGAGAAAGAAGGAAGGAAGGGCCGGGAGCGGTGGCTCACGCCTGTAATCCCAGCACTTTGGGAGGCTGAGGCAGGCAGATCACAAGGTCAGGAGATTGAGACCACAGTGAAACCCCGTCTCTACTAAAAATACAAAAAATTAGCCGGGTGTGGTGGCTGGCGCCTGTAGTCCCAGCTACTCGGAGAGGCTGAGGCAGGAGAATGGCGTGAACCCAGGAGGTGGAGGTTGCAGGAGCCAAGATCGCGCCCCTGCACTCCGGCCTGGGCGACAGAGCGAGACTCTGTCTCAAAAAAAAAAAAGAAAAAGAAAGAAAGAAAGAAAAGAGGAAGGAAGGAAGGAAGGAAAAGAAAAGAAAGAGAAGAGCCAGGCGCAGTGGCTCACGCCTGTAATCCCAGCACTTTGGGAGGCCGAGGCGTGCGGATCACGAGGTCAAGAGATAGAGGCCATCCTGGCCAACATGGTGAAATCCTGTCTGTCACTAAAAATACAAAAATTAGCTGGACATGGTCATGTGCGCCTGTAGTCCTAGCTACTCGGGAGGCTGAGGCAGGAGAATCGCTTGAACCCGGGAGGTGGAGGTTGCAGTGGGCCAAGATCACACCACTGCACTGCAGCCTGGTGACAGAGTGAGACTCCATCTCAAAAAAAAAAAAAAAAAAAAAAGGAAAGAAAGAAAGAGAAAGAAAATAAAGAAAGAAAAAGGGAAGGAGGGAGGGAGAAGGGGAAGTCCAAGACAGGTGTGAAAACCCGAGAAGGGGTCAGTTTCCAGGTGAGGGGTCAGCCTGGGTGCAGGGGAAGAGGCACCTGCCTAGTGGGCGTAAGGAATGGAGGGCTGGTACTTTCTTCTCCATGACCCCCTTGCTCAGAACGACCTATTTTCAGCATTTTGTGCAGACTGGCTTCCATCCATGCACCTTAGGCATTGTTCTCTGATGCTATCTGAGGCACTTGTCTGTCCTTTAAAATAGTCTCTGCATTTTTCAGATGACTGCTACCCCTGGTTTGGAGTTTGCTGTGATAGAACTAAAGTAAAATTTCTTAGTGACTCCACTGTTGCCGTGCCATCAAGCATCTGGGACTGGAAAAGCCGGGTTGCTCGGGTGGTTTGGATTCAGTGCCGCTGATCTTTTGTTTCCATGAGAACACAGAATGTGGCCAACCAGCAATCTGGTCTGACCTTGATGCCTAAATTCTAATGAAAGAGCAAGTTGAACTATAATGGTGAGAATGGAAACTAAGAACATTCTATCCAAAATGTTTGAGAAAGCCTTGTGACCAAAGGTGAGTGACTCAGAGTTTCTCTAAGACCCTGAAATGGGTGATAACGTCATGTCTAACCTTGGGAATTGGCTGAGTAAATCTCAGTACAGCTGCTCTATGGAAGGTGTGCAAACCTTGTAAGTGGTGGTTATAAAGATATGGAGCAAGTTGGAGAAATTATTTATAATAAATTATCTGGGGAAAAAAGTCAGGACTCAATATGGTGCAGGTGCGGTTGTTTCATTAAGGCAAGAAGATGCTAAGATTGCTTCTCAAACTGTCAGTGGTGATTGACCAGTTTGATTTTATAAAATTTCCAATCCATCCCAAATGTAAAGTTTTGTAAAATATCGTAAAAATAAATGATTAAATGTATATCCATCAAAGGACTTGTATCTAAAATACATAAAGAACTCTCAAAACTCAACAGAAAAAAAATCCAAATAGAACTAGAAGACACGAACAGACAGTCCACCAAAGAGGATATGTGGGTTGCAGAAAACACAGGAAAAGATGTTCAAAATCATTACCTATTAGGAAAATGAATGTCCATTTCCTGGTTTGGGTATTGTATTATTGTTATATAAGATGTCATCATTGGAAGAATCTGGGTAAACAGCTCATGGGATTTTACGTACTTTTTTCGTGATTTCCTGTGAGTCTATTATTATTTCAAAATAAAAAGTTATCAGGCCAGGCTTGGTGGCTCATGCCTGTAATCCCAGCTCTTTGGGAGGCTAAGACGGTGCAGGTGCAGATCACCTGAGGTCAGGAGTTCGAGAACAGACTAGCCAACATGGTGAAACCCCGTCTCTACTAAAAATACAAAAATTAGCTGGGCGTGGTGTTACACCCCTGTAATCCTAGCTACTCGGGAGGCTGAGGCAGGAGAATTGCTTGAACCGGGGAGGCAGAGGTTGCAGTGAGCAGAGATTGTGACACTGCACTCTAGCCTGGGTGACAGAGCGAGACTTGGTCTCAAAAAAAAATAATAAAATAAATAAATAATAAAAATGAAATGAAAAGCAGATACATGAAATACAAGCCCAACTTTTAAATCATAGATTCAACAGGCAGAAAACAACCATGTCCAATTGCTGTAAGAGTTTCTAAACATTTACTCTCATTTTCTGGGCCTGTTGTGCTGAAAAACAGTGGCGAATCTCTGGCAGACCAGCACCGGGCCGTGGACCACACTTTGAGTGGCTGTGGACCACCTGCTCAGACGAGAAGCAAATGCCAGAGATGGAATTATTTTTTTTTCCTTTTTGGCTTATTTTTTTGTTATGGAGTTATACTGCTGTTCAAAATAAAACTTGATTTAAAATATACAGAAATAATAATACAGAAGAAAATCTATTTTCCCCAAGTCTGGGTTTATGGATAAAACACACCGTCTACTCTGATGCTGCCTTCTCTTTCTCCCTCTCACCCTCCCCTAACTTCACCTCTTCCATTCCTCTCTCTCCTCCATGTGCTTGCCTTAACTGCCCTCTTTTCCTAGTGGCAGGTCCCTGGCTCTGGTCCCACCACTTTGTCACTATTCCAGACCCTCCCCGACCTATACTGGGGAAATCACTTACCTTTCTGAGCATCAGTCTCCTTATGCGGGGTGACAGTGAGACTCACCTTGGAGAGCTATCCTGTGAGGAGTGGGTGAGGTCACTCAAATGGGAGAAGCTCTGTGAACCACGTATAAGTGTGCACACGCAGAGTGGACTCTGTCTGCACACCTGGGTCCCCACATGCGCTGGCTGGCTCTGGTCAGCCTCCCAGTCTTCATTCCCATCTCACCCAACCCTCTCAGGCAAGCCAGGTGTCTCTGCTTCCAACCAAATGCCCTTCCCAGGAGGCCTCCCCAGCCCACATCCTGGCAACACTCAACCAGTGCCCCTGTCCCTCAGAGAGGGGTGTGTCCTCCCTTTCTACCTAGGAGCTCTCCCAGGCCAAGGCAGTCCTCCCCAGGGTAAAAGCCAAGTCAGGTTGCTGTATTTTTTTTCTTTGCTATAGCCTCAGGCTATGCAAACTTTTCCACCTGTTATATATAACAGGTGGAAGATATATAATAACAAATACAGTAAGTTCTCACTTAAGTTGCTGATAGACTCTTGGAAACTGCAACTTTAAGGGAAACAAAACCAATTTTACCATAGGCTAATTGATATAAATGAATAGAATTCCTGTGACATATTTCTGGTGACAAAAACATCACCAAACTTCTAAAGATCAAAACACTTCTAATATTAAACACTGAAATGAATGTAAGCTATACATACATTTAAGAAAAATTAAGAAAAACAAGATAATTAGGCCAGGTGCACTGGCTTACGCCTGTAATCCCAGCACTTTGCAAGGCCCAGGTGGGTGGATCACCTGAGGTCAGGAGTTCGAGACCGGCCTGGCCATCTTGGTGAAACCTCATCTCTACTAAAAATACAAAAGTTAGCTGACTGTGGTGGTGGGCACCTGTAATCCAGCTACTCAGGAGGCTGAGGCACAAGAATCACTTGAACCCAGGAGGTGGCGGTTGCAGTGAGCTGAGATTGTGCCACTGCACTCCAGCCTGGGTGACAGAGCGAGACACTCTCTCGAAAGAAAGAAAGAAAGAGAGAGAGAGAGAGAGAGAAAGAAAAAAGAAAGAAAGAGAAAGAAAGAAGAAAGAAAGAAAAACAAGATAATTATTTACCCAATTATTCCAGTTCAGGGTCGTGGGTGGCTGGAGCCCATCCTGGCAGCTCAGGATGCCAGGTGGGAACCTACCCTGGACAGGACATGGTGCTCACACACCCACACTCACTCGTGCTGGGACCATGCAGACTCACCAATGAGCCTAGCGTGCACAGCTTTGGGACATGGGAGAAAACCCACGCAGACGTGGGGAGAATGCAAACACCACGCAGACAGTGGCCCCTGCAGGAATCGAATTTTTCTCTTACCAATGTCATGACAAAAAGACATGGAATGAAATGACGTTATTCAAGGACCTGCTGTATGTGAATACTGGCTAACTCAATGAGCACTTACTATGTTCCAGGGATGATCACAGGCCCTACCCATGTACTAACTCATTTAATGCTCACAACCATCCTAGGAGGTAGGTTCTGTTCTAAGCCCCAGTGTACAGATGTGGAAACAGGCCAGTGAGCAGAGAAATCACCTGCCCCAGGCCACCCAGCCGGTAAGCCCCACACTCTCATCCACAACACTGCCTGTGGTTGCTGGTTGGTTTCCTGCTGTTGTTCACCCAGCTCAGCGCCTGGCACAATGAGAGGCTCTGTAAGCCTTTGTTGAGTGAATGAATGCTGCCCATTGTCCTGCATCTACGGAGCTGTTTTCCTTGCTATTGAAGGGGCATGACTGGAGGCAGAGGCCACAGAGATGACCACACCAGGGCAACCTGTAGTGCCAGTGCCTGGTTCCACCCGGGGGGCATCTGAGAACTGTGTCCTTCCATTCCTGAGTCCAGCACTTCCCAGGCCAGGTCAGCACTTTAATTCCTTGGGAAGTCTGTTTTTATTTTATTTTATTCATTTTAATGTTTTAAAAGTTTTTAGAAATAGAGAAAGGGTCTCACTTTGTTGCCTAGGCTGGTCTCAAAGTTCTGGGCTCAAGCAATCGCCCACCTCCACCTTCCAAAGTGCTGGGATTACAAGCCTGAGCCACCACGCCCAGCTCTGTGTTTCTTTCTTTTTTTTTTTCCTTCCTTCCTCCTTCCCTCCTTCCTCCCTCCCTCCTTCCCTCCTTCCTCCCTCCCTCCTTCCTCCCTCCTTTCCTTACTGTCTCCCTTTCTCTCTCGCTCTCTCTCTCTCCCCTTCCTTCCCTTCCTTCTCTCCCTTCCCACCCTCCCTTCCCTTTCTTTCTTTCCTTTTTTGTTTTTGTTTTTGTTTTTGAAACAGAGTCTCACTCTGTCACCCGGGCTGGAGTGCAGTGGCGCGATCTCGGCTCACTGCAACCTCCGCCTCCTGGGTTCAAGCGATTATTCTGCCTCAGCCTCCCAAGTAGCTGGGACTACAGGCGTGTGCCACTACGCCCAGCTAATTTTTGGATTTTTAGTAGAGACAGGGTTTCACCATGTTGGTTGGCCAGGATGGTCTCAATCTCTTGACCTCGTGATCCACCCCCAAAGTACTGGGATTACAGGTGTGAGCCACCGCACCCAGCCTTATTTTCTTTTTCTCTCTCTCCTCTCTTCTCTCTCTCTCTCTTCCTCTCTTTCTTTCTTCTCACTGGAGTCTTGCTCTGTCGCCCAGGCTGGAATGCAGTGGCGTGATCTCTGCAACCTCCGCCTCCCGGGTTCAAGTGATTCTCCTGCCTCAGCCTGCCAAGTAACTGGGCCTACAGGCACACACCACCACACCTGGCTAATTTTTGTATTTTTTGTGAAGATGGGGTTTCGTCATGTTGGCCAGGCTGGTTTCCAATTCCTGACCTCAGGTGATCCGCCCACCTTGGCCTCCTAAAGTGCTAGGATTACAGGCTTGAGCCACCGCGCCCGGTCACTAAGTCCCCTTATTTCTATCTCAAGCCTAAGTTGTCAGGAACTCACTGAGTTCTCCCGTCTATGGAGGAAAGAGATCCATCTCACAGCTTTGCCACCTGAACACCCTGGGACAGCTGCCCAGGGGTCTGGGCTGTAGTCTAATCTGGTCAGTCTTCTTTCCTCCACTTGGATTTTTCTCAAATAGCGTCCCTTTCTCCCCAGACTAACCCATTTTCCTGAATTCTTCCGATTCTTTTCCACATCTTGTTCCCCTCTACCCCCTAAGTCTTCCTTCTCCCCTTTTCAGCTACCCATTTATTTGCATATTCATTGTAAATACAGTTATTTGAAGTCTTTTTCAGATTGTTCTATTATCTCAAGTTTCAGGGTCAGAAATTCTCCTATTGTGATGTATGCTGTCTGTCTGTTGCTCATGGTGACTCAGTTCCTGATGCATTTGATACTTTCTGATTGTGAGCTAAAGTTGGATATTTTTTTTTTTTCTCATGGTGGCTCAAGTGGCCTGGGTTGTAAAGGCTCCCTCCAGACACGATTTTTCCTTTGTCACCGTACTCCTGGCCAATGTAAGAATTCCTGTTTTTGTGGTGGTGGTTGTTACTGTGGTAAAATATAGAACATAAAATTTACCATCTTACCCATGTTTATGTGTCCAGTTCAGTGGCATTAAGTATGGACTTTCACAGCATTGTCACCATCACCACCGTCCATCAACAGAACTTGTTCCTCTTCCCAAACCAAACCTCTACACCACTAAACACTAACTCCCCATTCTCTCCTTCCTCCAGCCCCCGGCAATCACCATTCTATTTTCTGTCTCTATAAATTTGCCTACTCTAGCTAGGTACTGCATATAAGTGGGATCATGTAAGATTTGTTCTTTTGTGTCTGGCTTAGTTCACTTAGCCTAATGTCTTCAAAGTTCATCCATGTTGTAATATGTGTCAGAATTTCCTTCCTTTTTAAGGCAAAATAATAGTCCATTGTATATGTGATCGTACATTTTGTGTATACTACACTATTAGTTCATTCATTGATGAACATTTGGGTTGTTTCCACCTTTTAGCTATTGTGACTAATGCTACTATCAACACCGGTGTACAAATATATTTGTTTGAGTCCCTGCTTTTTTTTTTTTTAAGATGGAGTTTCGCTCTTGTCGCCCAGGCTGGAGAGCAATGGCACGATCTCGGCTCACCGCAACCTCCACTTCCTGGGTTCAAGCGATTCTCCTGCCTCAGCCTCCTGAGTAGCTGGGATTACAGGCATGTGCCACCACACCCGGCTAATTTTGCGCTTTTGGCAAAGACAGGGTTTCTCCATGTTGGTCAGGCTGGTCTCGAACTCCTGACCTCAGGTGATCCGCCCGCCTCGGCCTCCCAAAATGCTGTGATTACAGGCTTGAGCCACCGTGCCCGGCCAAGTCCCTGCTTTTAACTCTTTCGCGTATATACCCAGAAGTGAAATTTCTGGCTCATATGGTAATTCTGTGTTTAATTTTTTGAGGCACCGTCACACTGTCTTCCACAGTGGCTGCACCTTTTACATTCCCAGAAGCAATGTACAAGGGTTTCAATTTCTCCATATCCTTGTCAACACTTGCTATTTTCTGTTTTGTTTTGTTTCTTAATAATAGCCATCCTAATGAGTGTGAAGTGGTATTTCACTGTATTTCCCTAATGGTAAGTGATGTCGATCATCTTTTCATGTGCTAATTGGCCACTTGTATATCTTCTCTGGAGAAATGTCTTTTCGACAATGAATAATTGCATGAATAATTGCATAAATGAACAATGAATTTTCAAGTCCTTTGCCTATTTAATCAAATTTTTTTTTCTTGAGACAGGCTCTCCCTCTGTTGCCCAGGCTGGAGTCTGGAGTGCAGTGGTGTGATCTCGGCTCTCTGCAGCCTTGACCTCCCAGGCCCAAGCAATTTTCCCACCTCAGCCTTCCTAGTAGCTGGGACTACAGGTGCATGCCACCATGCCCAGCTGATTTTTGTATTTTTTGTAGAGATGAGGTTTCACCTTGTTGCCCAGGCTGATCTTGAACTTGTGGTCTCAAGCGATCGGCCCGCCTTAGCCTCCCAAACTGCTGGGATTACAAAGTGCTGAGCCACTGAATCGACTTCAAATTGTTTTGTTGTTGTTGTTGTTGTTGAGTTGTAGGAGTTTTAAAAATATATCCTAGATATTGGCCAGGTGTGGTGGTTCATGCCTGTAATCTCAGCACTTTAGGAGGCCAAGGCGGGCAGATTACTTGAGGTCAGGAGTTTGAGACCAGCCTGGCCAACATGGCGAAATCTTGTCTCTACTAAAAATACAAAACTTAGCCAGGCATGGTGGCGCATGTCTGACGTCCCAGCCTACTTGGGAGGCTGAGGTGGGAGAACCACTTGAACCCGGGAGGCGGAGGTTGCAGTAGCCAAGATTGCGCGAGTGCACTCCAGCCTGGGTGACAGAGCGAGACCCTGTCTCAAAAACAACAACAAAAAACCCACAAAATATATATCCTAGATATTAATCCCTTATCAGATACATGATTTGCAAATATTTTTTCCCAGTTCATGGGAAATTGTGTCTTTTTTTTTTTTTTCTTTTGAGACTCCGTCACCCAGGCTGGAATGCGGTGACTGGATCTTGACTCACTGCAACCTCTGCCTCCCAGGTTCAAGCAATTCTCCTGCCTCAGCCTCCTGAGTAGCTGGGACTACAGGCGCCTGCCACCACACCCAGCTAATTTTTGTATTTTTAGTAGAGACGGGGTTTCACCATGTTGGCCAGGCTGGTCTCGAACTCTTGACCTCAAGTGATCCACCCACCTTGGCCTCTCAAAGTGCTGGGATTACAGGCATGAGCCACTACACTCTGCCCCCGAAAGTTCTTAATTTTAATGAAGTCCAATTTATTTTTGTTTTGTTGCCTATGCTTTTGGTGTCATATCCAAGAAATCCTTGCCACATCCAATGCCAAGAAGTCCCCCTTATATTTTCTTCTAAGAGTTTTGTAGTTTTAGCTTTTATGTTTAGGTATTTAATCCATTTTGGAGTTAATTTTTTAATATACTTACGGTAAAGATTCAACTTCATTATTTCGCATGTGGACATTCCAGTTTTCTAAGTCTTCTTTAAAAGACTTGCCTTTCCCTCGTTGAACGGTCTTGGTACCCTTGTCTAAAATCATTTGACCATATGTGTAAGAGTTTATTTCTGGGCTATTCTATTCCATTAGTCTAAATGTCTGTCTTTATACTAATACCACACTATTTTAATTATTGTAGATTTGTGGTTACATATTAAAATCAGAAACTGTAAGACTTCCAATTTTGTTCTTTTTCAAGATTGTTTTGACTATTTGGGGTCCTTTGAGATTCCATATAAATTTTAGGATGGATTTTTCTGTTTCTATAAAAATATTATGATTTGCATTTCAATAGGGATTGCATTGAATCTGTAGATTGCTTCAGGCAACATTGACACCTTAGCAATATCAAGTCTTCTAATCCATGAATATAGGATGACTTTCCATTTATTTGTGTCTTCTTTCACTTTGTTTGTCAACACTTGTGATTTTCAGCGTACAAGTCTTTTGCTTCCTTGGTTAAGTTTATTGCTAAGGGCCAGGCGCAGTGGCTCACACCTGTAATCCCAGCACTTTGGGAGACCGAGGCGGGCGGATCACGAGGTCAAGAGATCAAGACCATTTGGCCAACATGGTGAAACCCCATCTCTACTAAAAATACAAAAATTTGCCGGGCATGGTAGCAGCTATGGTGGGCAGCATGGTGGGCAAGTAGTCCCAGCTACTTGGGAGGCTGAGGCAGGAGAATCACTTGAACCCAGGAGGCAGAGGTTGCAGTGAGCCAAGATCATGCCACTGCACTCCAGCCTGGGTGACAGAGCGAGACTCCATCTCAAAAAAAAAAAAAAAGTTTATTGGTAAGAATTTTATTCTTTTTATTCTTTTTCATTGCTTTTATAAATGAAATTGTTTTCTTAATTTCCTTTTTGGATTTTTCATTATTAGTGTATAGAAACAACTAATTTCTATGTGTTAATTTTGTATCCTGCAACTTTGCTGACTTTATTAATTCTAATAAGTGTGTGTGTGTGTGTATGTGTGTGTAATCCATCTTGGTTTTGTTTTTATTTTTACTTGGAGACTCAGGCAGGGACAGGTTTTCTTGTCATCTTCCAAAGCCTGTGGGTAGACTTTTTCTAGGTCCCTATTCATTGAAGAAGCAGGCTTCAAGGATCCCAGCTGTCCTCAAGAGTACTGGTTCCAGCTTCCTGCTTCATGAACCGGTCATGGCCCCTGCAAGGTCAAGGTCATTATAATGCCAGCACCTGACTGCTAAGGCTATTTCCCTTCCAATACCTTCCCCTCAGAGCTCCTGGTGCATCAGCTCATTCAACCTTCTGCTTTTCTGCTCTCTCTTGATTTAAGAAACAGACACATTATATTTCTACATAGTTAGAGCACAGGGGTCCCAGCATCCCACTTCCAAATGAGCATGTCAAGCACATGCATTCAGAGAGGATACCTGGAAGCCAAAATTTTGCCATAGTGAAAGGCCTTATTCCTGAATACAGCTAGAGTGGGGAAGACCTTGGCCTCTCCCCCCGCAGGCAAGAATGTTGCCTCCACAGGGGGCTGGTAGCCTGCTAAGGCCCAGGCCACATGAGTGGGTTGTCTACTGTTACTGAGGGCCTACTATGTGCCAGACACCATACTAGGTGCTTTACATACATTATATGTCATTGAATCTTCCCTCTAGTCCTGTGAGATAGGTACTATTATTGTCACTGATTCACTTGAGAAAGCTGCCAAAACACAGATAGCAAGGGGCAGAACCAGGATTCTGATTTAGGTTGGCTCAGCCTTTTATCAAATACATCTGGTCTTCCTCTGTCCTTTCAAAAGCCTATAGCTTCCTCATCTTGCCCACTCCTCTGTGGGTAGGGTCTGTGGTTTCCTTTCTCTTATCTATCTTCAACACACAGTGGGTGTGACCTGGGTGCAACCAGTCACAGCTCTGCAGAGGTTACTGTGATTTTGCCCCTGAAGGATCTGTCCACAACTTAGGAACTCACACAGCTTTTGGCCTGAGCCCCCGTTACCAAGAGAAAGGAGGTTTTTGCCAAGGACTCCAAGGGGAGTGCACTTGATGCTGGTCGGGACCCAAAGCGCCCAGCCCTCCCTGAGACATTGTGTGAGTCGGGCTGGGCCTCAAACACGGCCCCCACTGCCCCACCCCAGCCAGGGTGGTGCTTGTGTGGGAAGGACTTTAAATCCAGCTGCCAGACCCCTGGACGGGAGAAGGAGAGACGGCTGGCCACCATGCACGGCTCCTGCAGTTTCCTGATGCTTCTGCTGCCGCTACTGCTACTGCTGGTGGCCACCACAGGCCCCGTTGGAGCCCTCACAGATGAGGAGAAACGTTTGATGGTGGAGCTGCACAACCTCTACCGGGCCCAGGTATCCCCGACGGCCTCAGACATGCTGCACATGGTAAGTGTGGCCACGGCCCTTGCTGGCTGGGATGGAAGGGGTGCTGGCCAGGGTCTGTCACCAGGCTCTCTTACCCTGCTCCTCATGCTGAAGCTATTTCAGAATTCCTCTCCTTTTTCTGGTCAGTGACAGAGTCCCCGAGTCCCTGACATGGTATTACATTACTTTAAATGGCAAAAACCACAATTACTTTTGCACCCGCCTAATAAAATTCACAGGCCCCTATAAGCAGCCTCATAATACAGATAAGGAAAGTGAGGCTCAGAGGGATTTGTTGGGGTCACACAGCTGGTAGAGCCAGACCCAAAGCCCTGGCTTCCCACTCCAATGAGCTTTCCCCAGCACTTCCTCAAATGCATGTGCCCTCAGTGGGGGAACCCGGGAAGTTCTTAACACCTTTGTGAAAACGGTCTTTCACATGCCTGCCAAGGAGAGGACAAGAGGAAGCAGGGCAGCAGGATGGGCGTGGGCACGTGGAGTAGGAGGCAGGTGCTAAGGAGGTGGGTGACAGCAGGATCCAGAAGCAGAGAGGGCTCTGGATCACACAGTCCAAATTCTGTCTCGGTCACCTACAAGACCTATGATTCGAGGCAAGTCCTGTAACCTTGCCGATCCCGTGTCTCATCTGTAAAAGGCGGTCAGAATTAGAGCTACGTATATACCAGTGTGGATTGAATCTCACAGATATCATACTGAATGGGGGAGGAAATAAAATCTCTAAAAAATACACAGTAGGATCTCTTTACATGAAGTCTGAAAACATGTAAAAATACTATTTATGTCCTGGTGAAACACGCAGATGTAGTAAACATTACATGTACATGCACACAGGAGACAGAAGCCAGATTTAGGGTTGGTTACTTCTGTCAGGAAGAGCTATTTATGGTAGGGTGAGAGGCGGGCTGTCTATATGCAGAATTAAAGGAGATAAAGTGAGAAATTCACCCACTTCCTGCCCTCCCTGAGGGCTGAACTAGCTTGTCCCCTCCAGCCACCCTCAGGTGACTGGGGAGGTTGCTGGGCAGTGTTCAGGGACCCCTGGAGCTGGTGCCTGAGAGAACAGATGCACCTTGGGGAACATAACAGTGAGCCTGGGGCCCCAAACCTAAGTTCTAACCTCAGCCTAATGTGATCTGGCTGAAGTAACTCTGGGTGGACCCCTTTCCCTTCAAAGGCCTCTGTTTCCAGATGGAAACATGGGGCTGGCGATCCCTGCCCTGGGCGTCAGACAGGATGACACGTAAGAAAGATCTAGGAAGAGCTCTGCACACACCCAGCACTGCCGTTCACAGCTGTGCCAGCCTGCACATCGAGGAAAGGTGGACAACAAACCAGGCGTCACAGATGCAGCTCTGCCAACAGCTCCCTGATTGAGGCCTGTGACTCATTGTTGGACTTCAGTTTCCCCACCTGTAGATCCCTGATGCCCTACAGTCTTGCTGGCTGAGACTGGGGGCCACACAGGCTGGGAGCTGCTTCTCAGACAGAGGTGCGCCTTGGAGTGGGGCAACATTCTGGGAGGCAGTTGGGATACTGAGGGGATATGCTGCTGCCTAATGGGGAGTGACATGAGGAGGAGGAGATGAGGCTGGGGCTGGGATGCCAGGAAACATTCAGGACAAGACTCAGGTTCAACCTCAGCAGTGGTGAGGGCAGGGACTCTGCAGCCAAATGGCCTGGGTTCAAATCTTAGCTTTGTTACTTATTAGCTTTGTGACCTTGGCCAAATTAAACTCTCTGTGCCTCAGTCTCCTCATCTGTAAAATGGGGATGATAACAGTGGGATAATTCCCTTGTAGCTACAGTGGTTGTAGGGTTAAGTGAGTGAATATGTGTAAAGCACTCAGAAGAATGCCTGGCACACAGTAAGTGCTCAGTAAGTGTCTGATTAACACAAAAGAGGGAATGGATCCAGGGTGAGGCAGGTGGGGGTTATCATGAACTCTTCCTTCTCTCTCAGCCTCCAGAGCTAATCAGCACCAGTTTTGCCACCCCGAAGGTTCAATTGTCCTTGAAATCTAACCCTTACCCCTACCCCCTTCTCTTTTCAGCACAATCCTGGTTCAGGTTTCTTTCATTCTTCCACACAAGGACTCCTAGGATAGCCTCTACCTGTTCCCCAGCTTCTGGCCTCTGCTGTCAGAATGAATAATCCAACACATGGGCCTGACCCTGCTCAAAATCCTTCAGTGGCTCCCATGGCTCCCTACTGCTTCAGGTTAAAGCTCCAGCTCCTGACTGAGAAGGTTCTGTGTGTTCTGGCCCCTGCCTATCTCTCCATCCTCCTCTCCCGCTTGCCCTTTATTCTTCTGTCACCTGAACAGCTTGTCTTTTCCCAGCCAAAATGTTTCCCAGCTTCATGCCTTTGCTGATGTGTACCTTCTGATTAGGATGCCTCTCCCCTCCAGCTGACTAATGCCTCATCTTTTAACACTTAGCTTGGTGTCTCCCTCTCCACCTTTGGCTGGGCTAGATGGCCCTCTTTGGTGCCTCTATAGTACTTGTGGCACATCTGTCATTTACCATGTGGTGGCCCAAATGACTTTTATGTCAATGGAAATTTGGGCTTCTTGGTTCCTGCTGTTGTCCCAGGGCTGACACAATGCCCAGGACTGTTGAATGAATGAATGAATGGACTTGCTTCTAGATGGTGACCATGTGGCCAATGTGGGTGGGTGCTGAGAGTCTTACAAACTCCACAGGGGGCTCTGGATGACTGACTGAGAATCCTTAAGACCAAAGCAATGATGCTAATGGTGGGGCTCCAGATATCTAGTCAGAATGGAAATTACAGCCAGGCTCTGTAGGGGTAGACTGCTTTAAGAAGGGCCCTGTCTCAGTCATCAATAGTTGACAAGTATCTGTTGAGCACCTACTATGTGCCAGCACTGCGCCAGACACTGGGGATCCATCCATGCCCTACCGTGATGGCACTTACAGTCCAGCCCGGCACCTCGCAGGTGATCTCAGACACCCTGACCCTGGCCCCCAGCGCCCTGCCCCTTTCCCACTCCCAGTCTCCCACTGTTGCCAGAGTTGAGAGAATCTCAGGGGCCAGTGATTTGGGACAAAAATGTCCAGAGAGGGAAAGATACTCACCCAAGGTCACAGCTGTGGAGCTATCCCAGCCAGGTGCACCCATCCCCATGCCAGGCAGCGGCTCCTGAAAGCCTTGAGTGGGTGGGGAGTAGGTGTGGCCACACAGCCACCTCCCCTCAGGGTCACCCAAGCTCTTGGCGCTTTATGGGCTGTCTGGCTCCCAGAGCTGGCTGGGCCCTCATAGGGTGGAGCAAGAGCTGCCGCCAGGCCATGGATTTCCAGGAGAAGCCAAGGACAGCGTTTAATGGGATCCAGGTTTCCCCTCCTCAATCCTTTGGGTCGGATGCCTTGTTAATCCCTCTTCCCACCCACACTCG
The DNA here is from genome assembly GCF_000001405.40 of Homo sapiens. Lineage (NCBI taxonomy): Eukaryota > Metazoa > Chordata > Mammalia > Primates > Hominidae > Homo > Homo sapiens. Next base: position 36,958,348 of record NC_000006.12, read on the forward strand.
GCCTGTCCTCTCAGCCAGGGACACAATCGCAAAGGCCCCGAACCTAAAATTCCCCCTCTCACCATCTCACCTGAGGTCCCCACTGGAGAACACTGTCACTGGGGTCTGACAGTGGGTTACCAAGGCTCTGAAAGTAGGCCCCTTGGTGAGAGGCCTGTGACATTCAGTGTCACATAGAGACGCTTAATTTTCTTGGAGAAAGGGGGTTGCCGTTGACAAGGGTTGGGAGCAGTTAGGAACAGCACTGGGGCGGGAGCCTGCAGAGGGTAAAGGCATGGGGGCTGGGTGACCCAAGGGGAGGGTGGGGGCTTAGAGGGAGAGGAAGGTGCCGGCCCTCAAGTCAGGTTCATGGTTGAGGGGTAGGGAAATGGGCTGAATAAACAACCCAGCCCCTCAACATCGATCACACCGTGATCTTGTGCTCTTCAGAGAAGTTCAAGGAGGACTGGGAGGTAGGCAGGGGCATGTATGGCCACCTTTTTCACATGAGGCTTTTAATAATAACACTGTCACCAACACCACCTCATCCACTCTTCCCAGCCCTCTGAGGGTGCGGAAAGTTTAGACAATCCGTGCAGTCACACAGCTGGTGAATGGTCCAGCTCCACGGCCTGGGGTGGCATCCTTCACCGCCCCACAGACGCCCACCCAGAGCAGAGACCTGTTCTAGGCCATGCCCAAGAGTCACCCTGCTAAGGAGGTGCCGGAAGGATTTCCCCACGACCTCCTCGACCTTTTGCTTGGTCCCCACAGCATCTGTGGGCATCCTCACCTCCCTTCTCTCACCTGCCCTGCAGAGATGGGACGAGGAGCTGGCCGCCTTCGCCAAGGCCTACGCACGGCAGTGCGTGTGGGGCCACAACAAGGAGCGCGGGCGCCGCGGCGAGAATCTGTTCGCCATCACAGACGAGGGCATGGACGTGCCGCTGGCCATGGAGGAGTGGCACCACGAGCGTGAGCACTACAACCTCAGCGCCGCCACCTGCAGCCCAGGCCAGATGTGCGGCCACTACACGCAGGTGTGGGCCCGGCGGGCGAGGCGGGGCGGAGCCTCGCGGCGTGGGGGTGGGGCCACGTGCTCCCTGGGCGGGGCCACCTCTGCCTTCACCCCTCCTAAGCGTCCTCGCTGCAAGTAGGCGGGCTTCACTCCAAGCCCCCTCAGACACTTTGCAAATCTTGTCCTCTCACTGCAGCTAATACGCTGTCTAAGACTCTGACGGAGTCGGCTGCTCCTAGTCTGCTAGGCCAGGCGCCGTAGCTCACCCCTGTAATCCCAGCAATTTGGGAGGCCGAGCTGGGAGGATCGCTTAAGGCCAGGAGTTGGAGACCAGCCTGGGCAACATGGCGAGATCCCTGTCCCTACAAAAAAATACAAAAAACTTTGCTGGGCGCGGTGGCGCGCGCCAGCTGCTCTGGAGGCGGAGGTGGAAGGATCACTTCAGCCCAGGAGGTTGAGGCTGCAGTGAGTCGTGATCACACCACTACACTCCAGCCTGGGCGACAGAGGGAGGCCCTGTCTCAAAAAAAAAAAAAAAAAATTAAATAAATAAATAAATAAATAAAAAGGGGTGGGGACGGTGGGACATGTTAGGTGTCACAGAGCCAATTTTATGGACCATGGTTATTGTCCTAGGCCATACTGTACTGGGCTCCAAGTGATCCTGCCTCACTTCCCCCAGATAGTGCAGAGCTGTTTGCCCCAGCAGCAGATAGTCCCTTAACTTCTCTCTGTGGCTCTTTTGCATTTATTATGGTGTCTAATTTGCTACTTCTCATCTGCCAGGGACTAATAAAGCAAATTGACAATTTTGCTTAGTTTTTCTTTTGCATTTAACAATTATGCATAACGATGAAGAACAAATTGTGGCTGAATGAAAGGCTTCAGGGAGATTTCTGATAGAATTTCCTGCTCCCCAGTCACACTTTGCTCCTGTCTGGGTTCTCACTGCATTTTGAAAGTTTGGGCTTGCAGATAAGATGTGTGTGTGTGTGTGTGTGTGTGTGTGTGTGTGTGTGTAGGGGAATTAACATTAGTGTTACTGAATTATTTTTTCTCCTCCCAGTGCTTATGTGTTGTACAAATAATAACATGACAAACAAAAGAAAAGAAACCAACCATCTTCCCACCCACATCCACCAATTCCATTTCTCAGTGTCTCTTTTTCATGGTATTTTTAGTCTTCATCTTTAGGGAGGAAATCCCAGCAGCACCCACCCAGGTCAGAAAGTTGTGAGGGCCCAGCACCCTTCCTGGCCCTTTCCCTCTGGATCCTGCCACCCCTCCCTCTCCCTCCACCCCCCCCCTCCCTCTACCCCCACCCACTTGCTCCTGCAGGGATTGTTATCAGGACCCAGCAGGGAGTGAGTCAGCCCAGCTCCACCCCAGCTTTCTCTGGGGCTGAGGGTGCATGCACTCTGGAGTCGTTTCTGCCCAGAAGGTGCTCAACACGGGGAGACCTTCAGCTGATTTCAGCAGAGATTCCTGGGCAGATTGAACCTAGAACCAGCAAGGCAAGGCTGCTGGTCTCACCCCATGGCAGCACACAAATGTTGTTGGACTTTCTGTTTGATAAAGATAGAAGTCTTTCTAGCAGTTAAGAGACCCACACTGAGAAACAACCAGAACAGGTCCTGCTCACCTGTGATTTGGGGGAAGTTCCACTTCCAAAATGGCTCCTCCTGCTCCCCTCCTTGGACTTTTCTTGTTGCTGAGGTCTAAAATTCTACCATTTGAGATTCTTTCGTTTGGATATATCCTTCACTTAAAATGCAAGGGCCTCTAGGCCTTTTTTTCTAGCCCACAGAAAAAAATTAATGAGGGTATATCACAGTCCTGGAGCTGAGGGAAGGTTTTGAGAGGAAAAGAGACCTGGCAAAGTGGTATGTGTGGTTGGCAGAGGAGAGTAGACTGTTAGGGACAAACTCCCCCATCCCTCCCCCTGGTTAGAGTTTTGTCCTGAACCTGCATGGCCTTGGGGACGTGGATGTCACAGGCTATAGGGTGCCTCTTCTCTCCACTCCTGTAAGGCAGGTGTAGTGGGATGCCAGGAAGGCACCATGCCACCTCGCATGGGGCTGAGCTGCTAGGTTTGCCCTTCATCAGGTGGTATGGGCCAAGACAGAGAGGATCGGCTGTGGTTCCCACTTCTGTGAGAAGCTCCAGGGTGTTGAGGAGACCAACATCGAATTACTGGTGTGCAACTATGAGCCTCCGTGAGTGCCGGGGGGAACCCTGGAGATGGAGAGGGGGAAGGCACAGGCAGAGCCAAGGGGAGGGCAGAGTCGGCCACAGCCTGAGGGAGTGGGAGGAGAGGGGTCAGTCTGGAGCAATACTGTCCAGGGAGCTGTGAAGGCACCAATGGGGGTCTGCTGTCATCTGCCAGAGAGGGCCAGGAGGAGCCCAAGTTCGCCCAGCAAGTCAGTGGCTGGCAGTCAGGAGACCCAAGGGCATTTCCAGAGTAGGTGTGTGTATAGGAGTTGGGGAGAGGGTTGGGAGGGGTCGACCCCCTCCCCGCAGCATCCTCCTGACCTCCTGTAGGGGGAACGTGAAGGGGAAACGGCCCTACCAGGAGGGGACTCCGTGCTCCCAATGTCCCTCTGGCTACCACTGCAAGAACTCCCTCTGTGGTGAGTCCACGGGTGGATGGGTAGGGGCAGGGGGTGTGGAAATGATGCGATGCAGACTGGATGGTCTAAGAGCCTCCCTGGACTGAGCGGGACGTGGGCAGGGAAGGAGCCTGGTGGGATGCGACCACCGGGGGCCCCTGGCGGCTCCCTTAGCCCCCCACGCGCAGCCACTTTGGCGCCCTGTCGTTCCAAGTGGCCGGATTTCAACCCTTCAAAGGGAGGATGTTAGAAAGTCTGGCGGCTTCGGGGGGGCCCGCGCGAGGTGGGTGTCGCCACACTTTAGGGTCTCGAGGAGCGGGCTGGGGCCAGACCGGTGGGCGTGGTCAGAAGGCTTCAAACGGGCGAGGCCAGTCTTGCTGGGGGCGTGTGAGGGACCGCGATCCCGCTGGAGAAGTCCCCTGAAAAAGGGCAAGTACGAATGTAGAGAGACTTGGACCAGGAGGTGGCTAGAGGAGCAACTGTGTCAATCACCAGAAGTAACGTTTCTTTTCTTTTCTTTTTTCTTTTTCTTTTTTTTGACGGAGTTTTGCTCTTGTTGCCCAGGCTAGAGTGCAATGGCTCGATCTCGGCTCACCTGCAACCTCCGCCTCCCGGTTTGAAGCAATTCTCCTGCCTCAGCCTTCCGAGTAGCTGGGACTACAGGCACGCGCCACCACGCCTGGCTAATTTTGTATTTTTAGTAGAGATGGGGTTTCTCCATGTTGGTCAGGTTGGTCTCGAACTCCTGACCTCAGGTGATCCACCTGCCTCAGTCTCCCAAAGTGCTGGGATTACAGACGTGAGCCACCGCGCCCGGCTTGTAACTTTTATTTTCAATGAGGGGCATATCAGCTGGAGAAGTGTATGTGTGTGTTTGTGTGTCCTGGTAGGACATTTGGTCGCGTCACTTGGTTTGCAGTGCCATGAGAGATGTGGGGTCCTGCTTGCAGCACTCATGCCCGTTCTCGTCTGTCTTATCAGAACCCATCGGAAGCCCGGAAGATGCTCAGGATTTGCCTTACCTGGTAACTGAGGCCCCATCCTTCCGGGCGACTGAAGCATCAGACTCTAGGAAAATGGGTACTCCTTCTTCCCTAGCAACGGGGATTCCGGCTTTCTTGGTAACAGAGGTCTCAGGCTCCCTGGCAACCAAGGCTCTGCCTGCTGTGGAAACCCAGGCCCCAACTTCCTTAGCAACGAAAGACCCGCCCTCCATGGCAACAGAGGCTCCACCTTGCGTAACAACTGAGGTCCCTTCCATTTTGGCAGCTCACAGCCTGCCCTCCTTGGATGAGGAGCCAGTTACCTTCCCCAAATCGACCCATGTTCCTATCCCAAAATCAGCAGACAAAGTGACAGACAAAACAAAAGTGCCCTCTAGGAGCCCAGAGAACTCTCTGGACCCCAAGATGTCCCTGACAGGGGCAAGGGAACTCCTACCCCATGCCCAGGAGGAGGCTGAGGCTGAGGCTGAGTTGCCTCCTTCCAGTGAGGTCTTGGCCTCAGTTTTTCCAGCCCAGGACAAGCCAGGTGAGCTGCAGGCCACACTGGACCACACGGGGCACACCTCCTCCAAGTCCCTGCCCAATTTCCCCAATACCTCTGCCACCGCTAATGCCACGGGTGGGCGTGCCCTGGCTCTGCAGTCGTCCTTGCCAGGTAAGGCCCATAGCATCTGTCCCACTTTCCTCCTGGCTCTGGAATGTCAGTATCCTGCCCCAGCATAGGTGGTATGAGCATGGTGGGGCATGCACCCTCTGAGTAGGAGCTTCCTCCCTGGCTGCTGCCCCACCTCCTTGCATGGTGGGGTGGGCGGGACATCAGGCACAGCTGTCTCTAGGCTGAGGCAAAGCCTCTTTCTTCCCACAGGTGCAGAGGGCCCTGACAAGCCTAGCGTCGTGTCAGGGCTGAACTCGGGCCCTGGTCATGTGTGGGGCCCTCTCCTGGGACTACTGCTCCTGCCTCCTCTGGTGTTGGCTGGAATCTTCTGAAGGGGATACCACTCAAAGGCAAGGCCTGGTGAGGGGGGCCCTGGCCTCATACCCACCTGGATTGTCTTCCTCCAAGTGAGAGACCACAGCTTCCTGGGCAGGTCCTGCTCTGTGGCCCAGCAGCCCCCCTTCACCCCAACTTCTGGCCAGATTCCAGGCCAGCACTCTTGTCCTCCTGGGAGGCGTCTACAGGGCCAGCCCCTGGCACTGCCCCAGGAGTGCCTTGGCTCTGGGTAGGCCCATCCTTCAGCTGGCTGCAGACTGTTCTGAGCGGTATTTACATGTGCCCACTCTCAGGTTGTCCTGTGGCCATCAGCTTCTCTCCCAGACAGAGGATCTCAGGCTTCCCAGGAACCCCCGGGCCCCTCCCAGTCCCCTGGCCTCTTCCTTGAGCCATCTGAGTCCAGGACTGTTCCCCAGAAGTGCCTCTTGCCTTCTCAGGGTGAAGAGGTCAGCTGTCCTCCTGTCATCTTCCCCACCCTGTCCCCAGCCCCTAAACAAGATACTTCTTGGTTAAGGCCCTCCGGAAGGGAAAGGCTACGGGGCATGTGCCTCATCACACCATCCATCCTGGAGGCACAAGGCCTGGCTGGCTGCGAGCTCAGGAGGCCGCCTGAGGACTGCACACCGGGCCCACACCTCTCCTGCCCCTCCCTCCTGAGTCCTGGGGGTGGGAGGATTTGAGGGAGCTCACTGCCTACCTGGCCTGGGGCTGTCTGCCCACACAGCATGTGCGCTCTCCCTGAGTGCCTGTGTAGCTGGGGATGGGGATTCCTAGGGGCAGATGAAGGACAAGCCCCACTGGAGTGGGGTTCTTTGAGTGGGGGAGGCAGGGACGAGGGAAGGAAAGTAACTCCTGACTCTCCAATAAAAACCTGTCCAACCTGTGGCAACTATTCCTTCTCTTTCTCATCCCCCTCCTCTAAAACACTCCATTTAGTGTCTCCTCTTTGGGACCCACCCTTCATTTCCTTCCTATAACTCTCGCCTCCCCCTAATCACAGGTGGCAGGCAGGAAGGGGAAGAGCCAAAGGAAGGCCAAGGGTGCTGGGCTGACTCCCCCAGCTTCAGGAGTCACCAGTGGGGCCTAGGTAGGTTTGGAGCCCAGGATCAAAGCATGGCATGCGGCCTCTTCACGGGGGCGCTGCTATCCAGGCCTGTCTGGGACACAAGGTCAGAAATGTACATCAGGCAAGGCTCTGCCAGCCCCAGGTGCTTGGAAGAGTCCTAAGAAAGGGATCTGGAGTCCCAGACCCTCCCCAGGGGAGCAAAGCAGGACTGTCCAGAGGTGCTGAGGATCAGGAAAGCACACATATGCTGGGGTAGCAGTGGTGGATGACTGAGGGTGGCTTGGGTGGTAGGGAGGGGCAGAGCAAGTCTCCAGACCACCGCTGGAAGGTGAGCAGTCAAACAGGACACCACCCAAGTCAGGCCAGGGCTGGGAACCGACCTGTAACCAAGGAGGACACTCCCCTCTTTTACTTTCTTTTTTTTTTTTGAGATAGAGTTTTGCTTTGTCGCCCAGGCTGGAGTGAAGTGATCTCGGCTCACTGCAACCTCCGCCCACCGGGTTCAAGCGATTCTCCTGCCTCAGCCTCCCGAGTAGCTGGGATTATAGGCACCTGCCAACACGCCCAGCTAATTTTTGTATTTTTAGTAGAGACGGGGTTTGGTCAACAGGTGGTCTTGAACTCCTGACCTCAGGTGATCCACCGGCCTCAGCCTCCCAAAGTGCTAGGATTACGGGTGTGAGCCACCACGCCCGGTCTACTCTATGTTTTTTCCAGCTCTATTCAGATATAACTCACAACATAAAATTCACCCATTTAAAATATGCAACTCAACGGTTTTTACTATATTCACAAGGTTGTGTAAAACCGTCACAATTTTAGAACATTTTCATCACCCCAAAAAGAAACCCCATACCCATTAGCAGTCACTCCCTATTTCCCTCCAACCTCCCCAGCCCCAATCAACCACTAATCTATTTTCTATCTATATGGATTTGTCTATTCTTAACATCCATATAAATTCTTGACATATCATATATGTTATGGTCTTTTGTGACTGCTTCTTTCACTTAGCATATAAATATATATAATTTGTTTTAGACAGGATCTTGCTCTGACATCCAGGATTATAGCTCACTGCAGCCTCCAACTCCTGGGCTCAAGTGATTCTCCCATCTCAGCCTCTTGAGCAGCTGGGACTACAGGTGCATGCCACCATGTCCAGCTGATTTTTAAATTTTTTGTAGAGACCAGTTCTTACTATGTTGCCCAGGCTGGTCTTGAACTCCTGGCTTCAAGCTATCCTCCCAAAGGACTGAGATTATAGTTGTGAGTTGCTGCTCTCAGCCAACATACTTTCAAGGTTCATCCATGTCGTAGCATGAATCGGAACTTCATTCATTTTTATTGCCAAGTAATATTCCATTCTATGGAATATTCATTACATTCTATAGAACATTTCCATTTGTCATCGGACACTCAGGCTGTTTCCACTCCTGAGCTACTACGAATACTACTACTAAGCATTCATATACCAGTTTTTGTGTGAACGTTAAGTTTCCAATTATCTTGGGTATATACGTAAGGATATATATAAGGAGGTCCCCAAAGGCCTGTCAGAGGCCCTTTCAGCTTTGCCCATTGGATGAGGTTTCCCAGGACGGGAGGAGGAGGACACTCCTCCTGTCACCCCTCCCTTTGCCAGCAGCTGAGGTCTCCTCCTGCCCAATCCCACCCAATCTCCTTTCTCAGATGAGGACCCAGCATCCTAGTTTCCAGGACTAGTCGACAGGAAACACGCGAACTGCTAGGAGGGCAGATGGACAGGGTCTCACCCCCAAAGATCAAATGGTCTAGGAGCATTTCACACACACAAGAATTTGAATGAACTGAAAACTTCCTGTTTCATTAGATTAAAAACCTGTACTTTGCTCAGCCAATAACTGGGACACAGTATCAAGAGATTTTCATGCCATTTCTGGGTGTGGAAGATGGCCTGGGAAATGAAGTTGAAACCCCCAAATTCAGGAAGTTACTTGGGGGCAGCAGCAGCCCTCCCAGAGGTGACTGGCCAAGGCCACTAAAACCTTGCTCTCTACTCTGGGCAGCCTCTCTGAACTTCTGGGAGGAGCTCTTCAGATCTAGCTTAGCTCAGGCTCCAGAGATACAGGTGCCCCTCAATCTCGGGGGGCCTTAGGAACTAATCAATGCAAAAACAGGATCTGAGGCTGGAGCAACAGGAAGAAAAGATACCCCAGAACAGTGGTCAGTGCTGTGGGAAAGCACGCTGGGCTGGAGAAAGGCCACAGGGCAGACTCCCCTCTGAAGGGCCTGGGAACCCGAGGCCCTCCTTCTCTACAGGCCTGCCCTGCCCACCCCTGCATGTGTTCTTCCCACTACCTTAGCCCTCTTGGGTGTTTCCCTAGGAAAGTTAATATGGGTGACAAAGTTATGAGACCTTAGTGGCCTCAACCAGTGTAGTTACATAATACCCACACAGGCACACTTCTGCGTTCCTGGGAAACAAGGACATGTGAGGTGAAACTGCCTGTGAGTCCACTGTTACTAGGCCACTGGGAACACCCACTTGTGCACAAGCAACACAGGGGCCTTCCCTTTGGCGGGGGTGACTCAGCCCCTACCTGTGGAGGGAAATATGACCAAACCCACCAGACCCCAACTCTCACAAGCCAGGTCACCTCGAGCAAGGGCAGAGAAATACCTGGGGGAACCCAGCTGAGTCTCAAAATATTTGTAAGTTTTGTCTGCTTACAGACTCCAGTGCTGGGCAAAAACCATTTGATGGAAGGGAGGTCTGCCCGTTCTGATGTAACCATGGCCACTACACCAAGTGACTCTTCGTAAAACTTGAAGCTACGTTATCCTCAAATGGTGCTGAGATATGACAGTAAGGGGTGTGAGTGGAACACTTTCTGAAAGGCCTGTCTCCCTGGCAACAGACCTGCACACTGATTGCTGCTGTGGAAACTGACACCCCAGCCTCATCACCCAGTGTCTCCCTGGAGACTGAGCTACACCAAGCTCTGGTACCTACATCTCCAATCTGGCAGCCCCCTGCCCTGCCTCTTTACAGCCCCTTCTCACACCAACAGGAAGGACTTGGAAAGATAGACTCTATAGATAGATTTTTAAACTTACAAAAATAAGAGACGCCCCACAAAAAACTCCAAATCACCAATACATTTATTTGCGGGAGATGAGGTCAAATCTTACCATGAACTTTAAAACTGGGTAGGACTAGAGACACTGATCTGCCCAACCTCTGGGTATTCACAACTGCACAGGTAACCAGATCCTGTACGCGAGGCATCACCATTAAACAGATGAGCATTAGATGAGGAGGACACATTCTGAGTAGTTGCATGATTTCCCATTCAGAGGCAGGTGCTGCCCTCATATCAGAAAAGTAGTGTTGAGAAAAACACAGGCAGAGCCTGGCCATTTGCCTCCTAGCATAGGCCTAGACATGATGGTGGCCACGTGCCAGGGGACCACACCCTATGTACAAAGCAGGAGAATGATGCTCCCAGCTGAGCTGCAGGATGGGCGCTGGGCTGACTGGAGGGGTAGACGGGGTGGGGTCTGACCCCATTAGCCTTTCCCCATCCAACCTGGGCCCCCATAAGCCATTCTCTGGCCCTCTGCACAAGACAGACTCAGCAAATCTGCGAGGTATGGGGATTCTGCCAACTCCCCACCTCGCCTCACCTTCCCTAGGTCTGCCGGGTGACCCAATCCACTGGGTGCAGCCCCACCCCCGCTCAACCCCACATCTGGACAGACACATGGCAAATATGGAACTGAAGCCCGGCTGGGCTGGAGCACATCTGGTTGTTGTTGGGTTGGAGTCGTCTTGCAGGTGTCCCAAGGTGGTCAGGCCTCACCCACGGTGGCCAGGTTGAGACCGTGTTTTTTAGATGATTCAGGTTACTCCAGGGCAAAGCATGATCCTGATGACACCCGGCGGAAAAGCAGGCTGGAGCCTCGGAAGAGCTGGCCCTGGACCAGAAGGAAAAGTAAGGTGAGTGAAAGGGAGGCCACGCTTCCTTGTCCCTCCGAGAGGAAGGCCAGTGTCAGGCAAAGAAGGGTCCAGGAGCTCAAAGACCCAGCTCCGGGGTGGACGGCCTCGGCCTACATCCCTGGAGGGCAGAATCTGCCTGTGTTGAAGCAGAAGGGAGCGGTTCATTTCCTGCCCAGGGGTGTCTTTGGGGCTACTCTGTAGGAGAGCCCTAGAGAGGAGGCTCATTGCCCCTCTTGCTTCAGAGCCCAAGTGGTCTAGGACTCTTTCAGTGCTCATAGGGAGGACGAGACACACTCACGCTGACCAGGGCCACTGGGAAGAACTGCGGCTCTCCTCCCTGCTTCCCTCCCATCTGTCCTCTTCTCAGCCTCGAGGCCACTCAGAGTTCTGGCTCCCTCCGGGCCACTGCCCCATTTCACTGCGAGGCAAATCAAGGCCAGGAAAAGGCAAGGTTCTGCCCTCGGCCAAAGCCTGGACCCCTGACTGCTGGGCCCAAGAGCTCCAGCTACGGAGAGGTAGCTTCGGTACAGAACACGAGAACCCAAGGTTGGTACTGCTGCCAGTTCCCCACGTGGCCCAGCCCCACCCACAGGCTCTCCTGGGCCCAGGAATGTCCTGCAGGAGGGAGGAGTCGGTTTCCAATGCCAGCCGCCCTAACAACCCAGGAACTCAGCTCAACTGGTTACAGACCTCGAATTTTCAGCCCATGTTACTTGAAGGAGAAGCAGTTCTTGGGCTTTACCACCTGCCACCTGGGCCAGAGTTCTCTTATCCTTATCCTAAGAGTCTTTAAGACTCAAAGAAGAAAAGGTCTTGTCTGATGTATAATCTTAAAATAAACCCACACTTAGCCACCTCAAATCCTTTCTGAAATTATGTAAGATGAAAACTTAAATGCCTTATAGATACCAAGTATCTCCTCACAATATTGAATTCCATGAAACCACTTATCTTTGCATGCAATGAAGCATCCACAAAACCATTTCAGCTGAAGGATGTAGCAAAGAACAGGAAAGGCCTCCGCCGTCCAGTGCTTGCTCACCTGCACACTCAGGTACTTCCAGCAGTGAATCCAGGATTTGAACACTGGGGAGTAAGGGGGGAGCCCAGCTTGCAGCCTGCCGGAGAAGGAGAGTGTAGATGCAGAGAACAGTGGAAGACAGCCAGCCACGGGAAAGCCACTTCAAGAAGGAATGCCTTCAGGCTACCACCCATCCACACCCTGACCCCTGACACCACAGTTTACCCCAGGGGGTGCTGGGAAATCCCAGCGGAAGCCAGGGTGCCTGGCAGGCCAAGCCTACACACAGAGCAGGTGGGAGGGGGCAGAGTGCTGGAAGGGCTCGGTGGGTCTCCCCCACCCCACAGCCTTGGTAGGTAGAGTGGCAAGTAGAGGGGCGCACACCTACCCGCAGTTGTTCACAGCCATGAGGTCGCCAACTAGCAGGAAGGGGTAGGTCAGCATGCTCACTGCAATCTGAAACCCAGAGAGGCCTGAGTGCCAGTGACCCACCCCGGCCCAGGGAGCAGGGACACACCACGCCAACACCCTGTACCAAGACCTGCCTCCAGCCATTACCAGGGTTGGCCTCCTAGGCCCCGCTTGGGTCCGCAAGGCAGTGGGAAGGAAGGACAGCTGGCACAACTTACCCCCATCACGAACTTGGTATAGCTCCGGATGGCCAGGGCCTGGCTGAACTGAGGAGACAGAAGGGAAGAGTGGTTTGCCACAGGCACCTCAGGATGCAGACTTCAGCAACACATGCCCTCACCCCACCCTCTGTGCTGAGCTCCTCACAAGCACGCTGCACATGCCTTTCCTGTCAGCCCTCACAGTCACTGCCCAGAGAAGGCCTGGGGGGCAGAAACGGGGTAAGTGGACTGAAGGGAGTCCCGAGAAGGAGACCCGGTAAGAGGGATCAGCTGCCGCTGCCTGTGCAACCCACCGGACTGTGAGCCTCAAGGGCTGAGCCCGTGTCTGCCTGATCAACATCCAGGGCTTGGCACGCAGTCAGTGCTAAGACAGACATGCACCCTGAAACCCAAAGACGAATCCTGGCCTGTGGGGTGAGGTGAGGGCAAGTCCAGGCTTATCGCCACCTCCACCTCAGCAAGCTTTTCCCCCTTCAGACCCCAACTCCTCAAATCCTGCTTTGCTGAAGCAAACAGCTCCTAGTGAGGAAAGGTGACTCCCCCACCCTCAGCTTCCTGTGGAGCGGCCATCCCACCAGATCGATGGCCTGGGTTCTTGGTCAGAGATTTGCTCAGATGTCTGCTTGAGTGGCTTTGACAGCCCGGCAGCCTCACCTCGGCCTTTAAGCCACATACAGAAAAGCACTCGAAAAACACTTTAGACAAATCTGTTGACTGCTGTTGTTGCTGATGTAAGCACGGCAGCCTCTGGTCAGACAGCTGCCCACCTAGATGAGAAACCACTTAGCGGTGCACTCCTGGCCACCCTTGCTCTGTATGTGACAGCAGCAGCTTACCCACCCACAAGGCCCCCCGAGAAGGGGCAGAACTGCAGGAATGTACCACTGTGATTGCAGATGGGGTGGGTCTCTATGGAGCCACTTTAATTTGCTTACATCGAAAGGCCAGTGAAGACTCACCTGCCCAGGTCAAGTGGCCAGTCTCCCTGCAAGCAGAGGCTCCCATCTGGGATGGGGCACTCCTCACCACACAGAACAGACATGTACCACACACACACACATGCTGAACATGACCCCCTTCCCACCCAGGTGATTCTGGCAGACACGTCCCCAGGCCCTCCTAGCCTCCTGGGAGGGAAAGCCACTTCAAGAAGGAATGCCATCCTTCTTGAAGGTGATCCCCACTGTGAGAATGTCTGGACACTGCAATTCCCAGCCATCGCTGCTCCCTACCTCTTATCTTGGTTCAGGCAGAACCAGTCAACCCCTCAGGTACCTGGATGGCCTTCCTCAACAAGTGCTGTGTAGAAGGACCAGGCCTTCCTATGCCTGACCCGACCTGCTGAAAGGTCTATGTATACTAGGCTGTGTAGACCACAGCTAACAAAATAGGAGGGTGTATCGGACTGTACACTTCCTAGCAGATCTGAAAAAACTCAGAGGAATGCACCCTTGGCCTGGCCAGGGATCTAATTCCAGCCCTGTCAGTTCCAGCTGAGTGACTCTGGAGAGCCCAGAGCCTCTCCAGAATTTGTGATCTCTGGGTCTCGATTTCTGTATTGGTAAACGAACATTATACCTGCCCTGTTCCCTTCACAACTAGGATGCCGTCAGATCAAAGGCCATAACGTTCACAAAAGGGTTTTAAAAAGCAAAAGACGTGACACAAAGGTCAAGAGGTGATCACTATTAGCTGGTCTATCTTCTGACTTCCTGAGCCCTAGTTGGGTCACTGCCTCGGAGCAGCCTTAGATAAGCTGGGGTCTGTTTCTAAGGCGCCCAGGGACAAGCATTCCATTAATTCCTCCCAGGTCTGGGTACTAATCTGGAATCTCGCCTCTTGAGGCCGTTCTCCCCTTAGACAAAGATGACTCCAGGGATAATGAGAGGTCCTCTCTCACCCTCCCGGCCTGATGCTGAGAATCCCAGAATCCTTGAGTTTGTCCCAGACCCTGGGCATCAGCAGCACACGGAAAGAAGGACAAGTCCTTGTTCCAACCAACCTGGGAACCTGGATTCTGGTCGTTTCCCAGCCCCCCTGGGGTGTCACTCACGCTGTCATCCACCAGGTAGGCATTGATGAAGTGGGCCAGCAGGTTACAGCCCCACAAGAAAACCACATCGCCCAGGAGGTGAGGGATTAATCCACTAAAAAACAAGGTAAGCAGAGATGAGCAGGAGAGGGAGAGGAGCAGTTCCTGGGGGCTCCACACCCAGGAAGCAGGCAGGGATGTTCCGAGCTCAAAATCTTAGCATATCCAATGGCACAGCCTTAGAAAGGAGGCCTGCAGGGTCCAGCAGCTATGCACACTGGGAAGATAGTGCTCCTTTTCCCATGGGGAGGTGTTCTATGCCGCTTTGGATGCCATAAATTAGCTAATAGTCTCAAGCAGTTTTCAAACCACAGAAGCCAGGGATCAAGATGTGAATACTGCCAAATTTGGAATTTCCAAATGCAGATAATAAGAGTGCCGACGTGTTGGTAATTTTCTCCTGGCCTCTTTACCTAACCAACTCTCAGAAGACACACTGCTCAATGCATCTGTTCTCTTTGCCCCTGAAAATATTCTATCAAAAAGATTCTATGCAAGCATTTACAAGGAGGGCTAACTTTTTAAGTGATGGCCTTTAGGATAAACAGCTCTATAAACTGCTAAGGAAGGTTCCCCAAGATGCAGTGCTGAGGGCAAAAGGCCAGTTTGAGGTCAGTGAGTCCCATGTGCCTCTTGTGTTTTTTACAATGTGTTTGCTTGTTTAGGTACAGAGTGCCCTGGGAGGCTCGCCAGGAGAAGGATGGCTGTCTCCTGGGAGGAGAAGCAGAATTTTTGTTTTTGAATTAAAAAAAAAAATCTTATATTTGAAAAACTCAAAAGAATATATGTAATACATCTATGAAGAGTATTAATAAAAGGAACCTCTGTGAATGCAATTTCTAATCTTGTCGTCCCTGCCTGTGCTCAGATTGACTTTGTGCTATACCCTTTGGTGCTTTCTATGCACTGTAACATGTATGAGTATCACCTGTTCCAAAATCACATGGGGAGAAAGAACCCAAAGAGTAGGCATCTGTTGTGCGGGAATCCTATTCAAACACCAGAAGAGAACTACGCAGTGTGAAAAATGCCAGAGGTGGTCATGTGCAGTGTTTCAAGATGGGTGGCTGTTTCTGTAGAGCAGCCATTGGCTGGGGTCCCGGGGCTGCCCCTTTGGCAGGGCACATGGTCCCTGAGGGCCACAGATGCCCTGCACTTTGTCACCTCACATCCAACTTACTTCACCTCTAAAGAAAGCACATACTGAAAAGACTATGTTCAGAAAGAATAAAGCACAGACAGAACCCAGAAGCCAGGCTTGATGAGTTGTTTTTTGACTTGCTGTTTTAAGGTCTAGGCGGTGACATACATGCTGATAGGTATGTCACAAATGTTGGTTTGTTACCAGGTACATGTGCAAATATATGTATGTATAAATACTTACACATACATATATGTGTGTGTGTGAATATAAATCAGAGTTTCTCAACCTTGGCACTATTGACATTTTGGGCTGAATAATTTTTTTTTTCCCCAAGAGACAGGGTCTCACTCTATCACCCAGGCTGGAGTGCAGTGGTGCAATCATAGCTCACTGCAGTCTCCAACTCCTGGGCTCAAGCCATCCTCCCACCTCAGCCTCCCGGGTAGCTAGGACTACAGGTGCATGCCGCCACGGCCAACTAATTTTTAAAAACATTTTTGTAGAGACAGAAGTCTCACTATGTTGCTCAGGCTGGTCTTGAACTCCTGGCCTCAAGTAATCCTCCCGCCTTGGTCTCCTGACAGCTGCAGAAACCACTGAGACTAATCCCAACTAACTGGGATCACAGATGCAAGCAACGACACCTGACTGAATAAGTCTTTGTTGCGGGGCTGTCCTGTGTACTGTAGGATGTTTAGCAGCGTCTCTGGCCTCTACCCACTAGATGCCAGTTGTGACAACCACAAGATGTCTCCGGACACTGCCGATGTTCCCCGGGGAGCAAAATCACCTCCTGCTGAGAACCGTATATATATTTCTATATCATATACACACACATGCACCTACAAGTAGTCACTAATTGGTTAAACAAGGGGCCATAAATAAAAAACATCTCACAAACCGGAAAACCATGATATAAAGACTTCTTATGAATAATATGGAGCCCTGTATCTAGTACAGCGGATACTGTTGTATACCATGTGTCTACCACGTTTGTGACATACTTATCAGCATGTATGTCACTGCCTAGACCTTAAAACGGCAAATCAAAATACAACTCATCAAGCCTGGCTTCTGTCTGCACCTTATTCTTTCTGAACTTAGTCTTTTCAGTATGTGCTTTCTTTAGAGGTGAAGTACACTGGATGTGACGTGACGAAGTACAGGGTGTCTGCGGCCCTCGGAGACCATGTGCCCTGCCAAAGAAGCAGGTCCTGGGTCCTGGCCGATGGATGCTCTACAGAAAGAACCGCTCAGCAGGACAAGATTTTCTGGCTTTTCAAGAGATGCCAGACATGTGGATTTTTGTGCAACATATCTTAAATGTTAACGGCAACAACTAATTTGTCAGAAAAGCAATGTCAAACAGAATCCACTGGCTGTGGTCAGCCTGTGAGCTTCCAGAGCTCCACCCTCAGTCCAAGTCAGATTTTCAGTCATGTTTTAGCAGTGAGGCCAAGGACTATGCAGTGACTTAGCTCATGAAGACCAGCCCCACACCCACCACAACTGGATGAGGCCCAGTGGGGCTGGTCAGTTCATCTCCCCCATGTACTAGACACACAGTTCCACTTTTACATGAGCCATGGCCTGAAAAGGGCTAAGCAGCTTGGACACGCTATGGAGCTCTGGAGAGCTGGCTGCAGCACTCAGGCTAGGGCAGGGCCATGTAGTGAAGTCCCAGGCCAGCAGCTGCGGTCTGAGAGGTTGAGGACACACCTGTTAGCAGAGCCATGCCCGTGGCCAGTTATGGGGTGTATAAACTCACGTACACGAAGAATCCCAGCAGCCCTTCCTCTTTGAAAATCTTCCCAATGGAGCTCAGCACACCACTGTGAAGAAGGCAAGACAGAGATACAGGGTCATGCAGTCACCTACCAGAAGCCCACCCGTTGGTGTGGGGCTGAGCCCACCAGTTCTGCTCAAATCCAGCCAGTCCTGGCAGGGATGGGGAGGACTATTACCATGAAGAACCAAGTAGAAAGGCAAAGAGCGCTTGTTCAGGGTGAGGAGGAGTTTACACAGTTCATGGAGACTGGGGAAGCCCAACCACCCATGGGAGCAGCCCACTAGCAGTCCTCTACTGGTGTTTTCTGGGAGATAGGAGTTTAGGAATGCATCTCCTAACTTGGGCCACTGCTGCAGAGGCGGCAGGCCCTTCTCTTACCCGGCCCTCACACTTATCTCTGGTTAAACAACCCTCTAGCAGAGGAGCCCACAGGCCCGCCCAAGAGTAAGAGTAGGAGGGGGTAGTAAGCAAAGAGAAGTACTTTCCCAGAGGGCAGAGAAAGAATACAGGGCCCTGCAGGAGGAGGCACTGGAACCAGCCTAGGAGAAGACATCTGGCACTCCTCAGCAGGGAGCCGGGGACTCATGCCCTGGCCACTGCACCCTGTTAGAGATGAGAGGACAAGCTGGATGAGAGGACAGGCTGTGGGTTCTTGGGTGTGAAATGCCAAGGAAGCTCAATAACAACCTACTAACAGAGGGAGCCAGTGGAAGGCAAAGCCCTGGGTAGCCCCGGTCCCAGATCATCCCAGCCCTGCCAGGCCCGGCCCCACCACTCAGAACAGTGGTGGCCAGATTATACCCTTCTGGTCCCAACTACCAACCTCATAATCAGTCTAGGGGAATGGGCCAATTTCCCATTAATGACCCCAAAATGAGGCACCATGGCAGCTGAGCTTCCTGGGATGGTGGCCCCGCAGGACAGCTGCAAAAAACACCGACCCCAGGAAATGAGAATCTTAAGAGAGGAAGGGCAACCCAGGTGTGTCCTTCACACATGCCTCCAAGACCCACCTCCGTGTCAACACATATGCCCCTGGCACCTACCCAGGGCTGCACGCAGCAGATCTAGGTGAGGGTCTGGTACACAATGGAAGGGATGAGCCCCAAGCCCATGGGGTGGATGGCTTCTTCATAGGGGATAAAAAGAGCTATCAGCCTATGAGGGCCGGAAAAATCGTTAGAGCATTACTTCGGGAGTCCAAAAGGAGACCCCAGCTCAGTCCTAAGTGGCAGAATCAGCTCTGGGGCCAGAAATCCTAATCCAAGCTGACTACAATCCCACTCACCCCTCTGCAAAGGCATCTAGGCTCATCTAGGGCTGCCCTTGATAAGAGATGACGAAGAGAAAATGACCCTGGACAGACTATTGAAGCCACTGCCACATTCCTCAGAAGCCAGGCAGCAGGCTGAACTCACACAGCACTAGGGCAGAAAAGGTGCAGCAACCAATCCCAGCACGGCCTGCCCTGGCCGACTCTGAAAGGGTAACAGGGCCACTCTGCCAGTCCCAAGAGTTACCCACCTGTACTTGGCCTCCCGTCCCACAAACTGGACCATGCAGCGCATTGAGATGACTGAGGAAAAAAAAGAAAACACACACAGGTGATGTGGTGGGCCACACTTCATAATGCTCCAGCCACCGGGTGCCAGGTGCAGAGTGGCCACTGAACAACGTGGCCTATTCAGAGAGCAGGAGAGGAAGAGGGCCTTTCGGATTCCCTGTTACACCCCATGACCACAGCATGCCATTTCTACTGCCTGGGAAGAGCCCCACCTCCCTTTGGAAAGAATTCCAATCTCTCCTCAGTGAGGTGGGTTCCAGTAGAATACCCCCAACCCCACTACCACTTCCCAACAGGTCTACGGCTGTCTATGTACAGTCCACGAGGGGGCGCCCCTCACCCCACGCCCCCGACGCCAGCTTAGATACAGTCTCGGGGGAAGGGGGGTGGCTTACCATGCAGGGGGTGGGCCAACATGCGGGACACACACTGCATCATCATCTCGTAGGAGGTCTGGAAGAGAGCATGGGGTGGGGACTCGCCACCCTCGGCCTGTCTCTGGAACTGGCCCTCGAGGGGAGCTACAAGTGCTCAGGAGGGAGAAACCTGTCCCAGGGACTGCACATGGGGTCGGTCTGCCAAGGATGGCTCCACCTGTTGCCCACTCCCCAGTCCCCCACCCAGGAGTGCTGTCGGGTCCCAGGCTAGGCCCAACAATGGCTGAGAAGGCTTTCCGGGGTTCCCGGCACATCCAGGCCAGGGCTTCTTCCCTTACCATCCCACCCATGCATACACAAGGACCCAACTCTTCGACTTGTCAATGACCCGCCCAACTTGGGGGTGAGAAATCATCAGGCTCCCCTCCACGCACCTCTCCCTCTCCAACTCTCAACACCCACCTCCTTCACAACTTTCTTCAGGGAAGTCTTCATATCATCCTTGTTGGAAACCTGCTCAATCTCATCTGGAGGGAAAACCTGAAACAGAGAAGGGAAAGAACCAAGTTCAGCTACGCCTCTTCCATGGAACTCTTCGGGGACTTGGGCGGCAGGAACCAGCTCCAAATATTTCCTCTGCAGTGTCTATTGGCTGGGCCCACCTCAGGTAACCTCCAGGTCTGGAGCTTGGGGGGAAAAGAAAGCCACTATCTGGTGTCACAGCTGTGGGAAAGCAGAACTGTGGGGTGGGAGCTCCCCCATGGGGCTGGAGTGAAGCCCCCAATGGTCTGGGAAGGAGGAGGCAAGACCAGGGTAACTGGCTGCTGCAGGGGTGGCTGGGAGTATGAGGAAACCTCGGGCGACTGTTCCTGGCTTTGTGTGGGCTCACCTTCTTCATGCTACCCCGAGTCACAGTAGAGAGGGCGTTGGACATCAGCCGGGGACTCAGGCCTCGGAACAGCCCTATCTTACCATCCACTTGCACGATGTACTTGGCTGTAAGAAAACAGAGGTGGCAGAGGAGTCACACCCAGTTCAGGGGCACCCACTCCTGGGTCACACACACCCAGACCAGGCTCGGCTTGTCCTTCAGGTAACTGCTGACTACAGGCACAGAAGGTAACATCTGTCCAGGACCTGGAAGCAGTCAGGCCCTAACCCCCAAATGTCTTCTAGCCCATTTCTTTTAGTAAAAGCCTCAAAATGTATTTCTGACAAACAAGTTCATATATTTTCTTCCTTCCTTCCCTCCCTCCCTCCTTTTTTTTTTTTTTTTTTTTTTTGCTTTAAAAACTTTACTTGGCAAACTCAGCCATGATTTCTCAACTCAGCAACTTAAATGCTGCAACACAGAAAACAATTCTGTTACTTAAAAATTACATTTTTCTTGAGGAAAAGAAAATAGGAAAAACAGAGAAACTGCCCGCAGGGAATGATGAAGTCTTCAACCTAAAGGAGGGAAAAAGGAAAAGAAAGGGCTCCCAGAAGACAGGCTCAAGAACGCCCCCTGCACATGCCACGGCCAGGGCAGTCTCCACCCTGTCACTGTGCTACACCCAGGATACCACCTGGCACCAGATGGCATTGATTAGTCAAGGGAAAAACAAGTCTATGGAGAAGTAACTAAAACAGGAGCACCAATGAACAATTCCATAGAATAAACTTAAATGTTATGGAAGCTAGACCCTACCTGTGTGAGTTAGTGTTTCTTTCACTAGGGTCTGTCTTTCTAAGGATACGATTCATTGTTTTCTATCAACATTTTAAACATGTTTTAAATGGCAGGGTGGTATTTTTATAAACCTGTGCATCTGGAAGCTAGCAGAACATTCTCTCAGACAGCATGCTCCCCCTGTTAGACCATGACTTTAGCTCTCTGGCACCGCGCAGAGGCAGGAAGAAGCAAATATGCCTTTTGCTCCTCCGCAGATGTCTGCCAGCCCAGCAATTCAATGTCACAGCTAGCATGGGTTTTTCATGAGGCTGAGAACACCTGTTACCTGTATATGTGATTGCCTGAGATGAGGGTGGGCTGGAAGGAGAGGAGGAGGAGGGGAGGGGATGCTGGGTGACTTGGCAAGGAGCCCTCTTCACAGAGTGAACAGGCAAAAGGAAAATTTGCTTTGGGGGAGGGTGGATCCTAGTGAGGAGAGGGAGCCTCAGGACCTCTGTTTGTGATCCTGAGCAAAACATCGACCCTCTTCCATCTGCCCACCTGTAAAAAAAGAAGGAATAAGGACCGTCATTTCTCTCCATTTCTGAGAGAACTGAGGAACAAGTGAGAGCGGAGGGAGGCGTGCTGAAATGCCTGCAGGGGCCTCTGTGGGTCCCAGGGCCTCCCTCATTCTGGGTCTTTCTGCAGTGCCAGGAAACCCTCTGGGAAGTTCTTTCTTCTACACCAGAGAATGTCATGACAGCTGCAGTACTTTCAGCCATGACAAGTAGAGGAGCAGACACTGTCCACACTGTACCAGAGAGCCAAATGGCGGGTCCCCTCTCTGACTCCAGAGTAGGCCTGGTGTCCAGAGATCCCCAACAGACATCTGCTCACACCTAGATTAAAGCTACATTTATATAAACCAGGCTGGGGGCACACCTGAGAACTCTGCTCATCCTCAAAAGAGACAGTTAAGATGGGGGTCAAGTTCCCTCTGCTCTAAGTCCTTTTGGGAATGGCTGTGTCACATGAATAGAGATGATCTGGGCTCTAACCTCGCCTCTCAGAACACAGCACGTGCAACCAGATCCAGAAAAAGCCCCGTGCAGGGCCGCAGCCATCTGCCCCGGCTGCCTTACCTCTCTGTATACTGCCTCACTACACAATGGTGGGGTGCCTTCCTACTTCTGTCATTCCCCTCTCCACTACGCTGACAATTTTTAAGTAAAAAACAACACAAACACATTTCCTCACAAGATGACACATTCCACCTGGCCCTAGACTCTGCACTCAACAACACAGGGACAAAACTGGAAGAGAAATATGACACCCAATTCTGCCAACAGCATGTGAAATGGAAAAGGTAAGACAGAGGCCAAGCCCCAAGTTACTCAACAGAAAGATAGATTCTGGAGAATATTCTAGACAACCAAACAGGTAAGAGCAGAGGTGCAGGAAACTGGAGGGGATTTGCCTGCAATGGAACTCCAGCTGTGAACACGGAGAAAAAGGGCACATTTAAAGAAGGCCTTCATCATGGTCATCTGGTGAGGGTAGGGACTGGGAGAGGGACAGTGAGGGTGAACATGAAAAGGCCCTGGCCAGACGGCACCTGTGGGCCAGGTGATGGGCAGCAGAGGCAGCAAGGTGGGCTTCTTGATGACAGTTGGGGAGCTTGCAGGAAGGCCTGGGCAGGAGAAGCTGACCTTACTTTGCAGACAAGGGGTGCAGCCAGGCCACAGCAGGTAAGTGGCCCACCCAAACTCACGCAGCACACAGAAGTGAAGCTGCAATTCACTGCACACCATTCTGTAACCAACAGATGGAGACACCAGAGTGAGTGAGCACCACTCACTGCCTGAGGAATGCAGGGGAAACAAGACACCCAGGTGGGATAAAAGAAAAAAACTCAAGAGGACCCCCCGGGCCTCCTGCTGGAGTAGCAGGGCCAGGCTGCTCACAGGACAAAAGGAAATCACCCCCACGCATGTTCCAGGCACAACCCGGGGCAGCAGAAATAATAGGGACCAGTGTCCTAGATTGGCTCCTCTCTCAGGCACCTGTGTCTGTCCCCTCCTGCTGTCTGGGCTGGCAGCTGGCAGCTACAGGCAGAGGAGCTGGACCAAAGCTGTATGGTTCACCTGCTCGCACCCCGACACCATGTCCTCTCTGTACACGCTTAGATCCCCTCCTCCATGCCAGCTCGACTGCGTGCCATGCTGCGCAGTGAGTTCCCCGGGGCCAGCTGGTCCTGCTCCCCACCTGAGGCCTCTTTTCTGTTGGTGTGGGCTTTCCTGCTTGGGAGGCACACTCACCGTAGGTGAAGAAGCTCGGCAGATAGAGGACCTTCCTCCCCAGCACATTGGTCCCAAGGGTGGGGGGCATCGGCTCATGACCCACCTTCAGAATTAACAAAGACAAAGGGACGCTCAGAGTCTCGTGGTGATTCAGCCTCACCACCTCTCCTCACACCTCTTGCCCCCTTTGCTTAACTCTTCTCCCACAAATTCTAATGTGGCTCTTGTTCATGTTTTCCCCATCAAAGCATACCAGAAAGCTCGTCAGTGTCTCTAACCATTGGCAGCACGTAAACTCCCAATCAACAGAAATGCCTGGTCCCAGACACTGTCCAACCACAATCCAAGTCACACCCACACCCCAACATTCTTACATTCAAATCCCAAATATTCCCAGTAGAGAAACCTCCATTTGTATGTACTGCAAACCCTACTCCCATCTCAGAACAAATCTCAGTTATTCTCATCTCCAGATGAAAAACTTCATTCCAACCTCAATTCCAAATGTGGCAATAAGAAAATACATCATACCCAAACCTCAGACAGGTCAGCCATTAAGTCATCTATTCCAAAGTGCACCCCAAACTCAAATTTCTTACCAAATCTACTGCAGACACCTCCATGTCTATTCCTCCCATTCCCAGGCTTAGCAAACTGTTACCTCAAATTCCAGCTACTCCTCAAACATATCCTTAGCTGCGTTCTCACCTCAATCACCCTACATCCCTGTGACAAAACGACCCCCTCATTTCTGTAGGGCTATGATAGTTCTTGCTGTACAGATGCTTCTTATATCTGAAATATTTATTTATTTATTTTTTTTTTTGAGATGGAGTTTCACTCTTGTTGCCCAGGATGGAGTGCAATGGCGTGCTCTCAGCTCACCGCAACCTCCACCTCCTCCACCTCCCGGGTTCAAGTGATTCTCCTACCCCAGCCTCCCAAGTAGCTGGGAATACAAGCACCCGCCACCATACCCGGCAAATTTTTTGTATTTTTAGTAGAGACGGGGTTTCTCCATGTTGGTCAGGCTGGTCTCGAACTCCCGACCTCAGGTGATCCACCCGCCTCGGCCTCCCAAAGTGCTGGGATTACAGGCATGAGCCACTGCGCCCAGCCTGAAATATTTATTAAACCCGCGGGTGGGTGAAGGACCATCCATATCCATGTGAGGAGCAGGAAGTCTCTGTCGAGGGGTGAGAGCCCCTGCTGCCAGGGAGGAGGCAAGGTGTCAAGGAGACCAGCACCTAGGTGGGGAGTGAGAAGGCTCCTTCCTCCCTTGGCAAGGGGCCAGGATACCAGCCCTGTGCCCTCTAAGCAGGCCAGCTGGGCCCATGGACCAGAGCGATTCCTCTGACATGTGGGAGAGGATTTGGCCTGCAGCTGTGGGAGGCAGTAGAAGTGGCAAGTTAGAAAGCGCTACCTTGTAAACTGGATTAGGTATGCTTCCAGTGCTTTTTGGGATCAACCCTGTCCCCTTTTGCCTTTATCAAGCAAGTGCTTTTCAAAGTTCAGGCTATCTCCTATGGATCTGATTCTGAGATGCCTAACAGATTAATGATTGTAAATTTAAAAACTCCTCTATGATGGGGACTGTCTTTAAAAGAAAAAAATTTTGACCCAGTGGAGCAAAGGAGGAAAGGGGTGAGTCAGCTGACCCAGGCAGTGAGTACTTCCCTTCTAGACCTTTTCCCTTCTGGGTTAAAAGCTCCAAGGTTGTTCTGAATTAAGTTTTGTCTTGATCTGTGTTCTCTTAAATACAGGTGGTATTCCTTTATTCCTCCACTCCAAATCGCCACAACTGCTCTTTTGCTGTCCTTATCCAGTTTAGTCAACACTATTTGGGAGTCCCACTGACCCCAATTTCATACTTAAATTTGTAACGTTATCCCATATCCCCATGGCTCCCAAATCTGTTGAATCTATTTTCTTAACTTCTATTGGGTTATCATAGGCACACTGGCTGTATCTCACCCCCATTCCTCCTGCCTTCAAGTTTTAATTATTTGTTCCCAAGTCATTAAACCCAATTTCAACCTCAAATCTGTTAACCCAGTCCTAACTACGGCAAATGCTGTGGCCCTATATCAGATACCAGCAGGGACAGTCTGTCATCTTAAAATCTCCGACTCCCAAACCTGACAGCCACATGCACTAATCTAAGGCACTGCATTCTTACGCACCTAATCTAGACAATCCCCAAATCTGTCACTCCACTCCTGACACCCCCACTCCCAGTAATTTGCCTTTCTGCAAGTTATTACTCTGATTCCCAAACTATACCCATTGAAGATCTTACCCTAATATATGTTACACTCAACACCAGCTGGGTTCAAATCAGACAGGCACCTCTGGTCCTTCAACAGGGCTCATCCATCCTTACCTGCCCACCATCTAGTTCTTCTCACGCTTTGGTGTCCTTCATTCCCCCATTCCCTTCCCAAACCACCCTCATTTCAATGTTCTTTCAAACCAGATCTGCCATCATCCAAATGATGAAGCCACTTCTTCATTTCCCTCACACTGAGCCCTTGTGCTCCAGTATCCTTCACTCCACAGACTCTCCCACCTGTGCCCTAAAATCCTAGCCCTCACTCAGTCTCATTCCATCAGTTTCCAGAACCCTCACTTCTCAGGTCCAAAGCACCAATTTATCTCCCAAACTTCAAGTTCAACTGCTGTAAATACAATCTTAACCCTGTAAGACAGCCCTCATTCCCAAATCACAACCAAATGCCAGTCTGGTCTACACCTTCCGCCATCAACAATTTTCAAATCTGTCACAATTAGGGTCTAGTCAGGCACCTTGATGCCCCTGACTGAATCTCCTCATTCCTTGTCATATTCCTGGTCACACCCACAAATCTATTACCATTCCTCGGATCCCAGATTTCAATTACTCTCATTCTCAAGGCCTTCTCATTCCAGTTGTATTTTGCATTCTCTCGGTTCAATTATAAAGATGGTAAAATCTGACACCCACCTGCCTCAACTCAAATCTTGGATGGGTCTCCAATTCAATTTTTACCTTCCTCCCCCCAAGCTTCTTAACTGGAAAATTCTGGCCTAATGACCCCCATCAAAACTGTACCCATCCCAGCCACACCCACCTAATTCTCACACCTCCACACGCCCTTCATTCCAGCTCACTCCTCAAGCAGCACACTTCATCTGTACCGCATTGCTGGCCACCACCAAATCTGCCAAGTGCCTATGCATCCCTCTGTTCCAGAGACATCCCTACCTCGGTCTCAATTTCTGGTAGTCCCTACCTATCCTGCCACCTATGTCTCCACTGTCCCTTCTGCCCAATTTCAATACTCCCGTGCCCCTTCTCCTCATCTGCCCAGATACAAGCACTGTGATTCCTCTCTCTGACCCCAACTATGACTTCCATTTCCTCCTCCAAATGCGTCATCCCCCTTCCCCGCTTAAAGCCTCCTCCTAGCTCCCCTCTCTAGACAAATCGCTGCCACTCCCCTCCCCCAATGCTGGCCCTATCTGTTCCCCTCCCCCCATACGCGTCACCCTGTCCCCTCCTCCTACCAAATCCGTCGTCGCCATCAAATCCAGAGCCCCCATCTCCGGTAAACCGATAGCATTCCCCTGCAAAAGTCTTTGCCTTCGCACTCTCCCACCAAATTAAATCACAATGCAACCCAAGACCTCCGTCTCCTCTGTCCACCCCCAGTCTGGTGTCCTTCTTTCCCTCCTAAATTTCTGGCCCTGGCGCCCACTTTGTCCCCACCCCAAGACGTTTTAAATCCATCTCTATCAAATCCAGAGCCTCCGTTCCCCTCTACCCCAATTATGTGCTCCTCATTCTCTAAACACTTTGCCTGGGCCCCCAACCTTCCTCCCCATCTCTTCACCCAAACTTCTTGCCCCTCCCCCAATTCTATTGCTTCTTCCCTCGCCCCAAATTCGCTCCCTTCCCTATCCCAAGTCCATCGTCCCCACTCCTTTATCTCCCAAATATGTTTTTCCAGCCCATCGCTCCCTCCTTGGCACTCCCCCAAATCGCTTGTTCCTTCCACCCTCTCCCGTATCTGTTATTACTCTAACCCCTTGGTCTCCTTTCTGTATCCTAAAACCCGTGACCCCTGCGTTCCCAACTCCCTCACGGCTTCCCTCCCATCCCACCCACTCGGCCCCCCAAACCCGCCGTCCCCACCCCTCTCCCCAAATCCGTCGCCATTGACTGCCCGCCCCAATCCTCCAAATCCTGGCCTGTCACCTTCACATCAGCCTCCCATCTCCCTACGGCGCCTCTGGTCCCCCACCTGGATGAGCAGCTTCACGTAGAGCAGGGGATGGCTGAGCGCCGTCACGCCCGCGCCCAGTGCCACGAAAAGAGCCTCAGTGGTCGGGGCGTTGTCCCCAGACCCCAGGCCCCCTGACCCGCCATCCATCCTGCGGGCCGAGGGCTGAGCCGCAGGCCGAGGGTGGCGAGGATGTGCGCGGTGCGCGGGCGGTGGATCGCGAGCTCGAGCCTCGACCCCCGCCGCCGCTCCGCCGCGAGCTCCGGCTCCAGCTCCGGCTCCCGCCATCCCCGCGGCACCGCCGCGAGCCCAGGGCGCCACTTCCGGGTCCGAAGCTCCCATGGCGCCCGGCGGCGAGGTCACTCCCCGTCACGTGACGGGGCCACGCCCCCTCACCGGCGTCAGGGGGCGGGGCCGGGGCGCACCACTCCAGGCCGCGGGGGAGCTCGGGAGCGTGGTGCGGCGGGTGGGACACGCCGGATGTGGCTCCCCGGCCGGTTGGAGGCCTAGCAGGACACTGGGCTGCGGGCCGGGGGTCAATGGTGGCGGGCAGCCGGGGCCCCGGGCTCGGGAGCTGTGGCGGCAGCCGCAGGCCGGGGCGCTCCCCCGGGATGCCCAGAGCACGCGGGGGCGGGGTTCGGCGCCTCTGGCTGCCAGACGTCCCCAATATGGTCTGAGGCGCTTCCAAGCCACCTCCCTGGCTTCGGGAGTTTTCTCTGCAGTTCTCTGCCCGCCCCTTTGCGGCCCAGATCCCAGTCGCCGCGGCCTGCGTGGAACTCTGCGCGAGCTGAATCTCCTGCTGCAGGACGAGCCCCGACCCCGAGCCCGATCCCCTCCGCGGTCCCAGCCTCTTTGTCCGATCGCATTTTCCATCTCCTCTGCCAGGAATGCTCTCCCAACCAGAGCAAATCCAGATGTCCCCTCGGCGACTGTGGGCACCCTCCCCAGCTGTGGAGCCTTCGCACGCCTTCCTCAGAGTCCGTGGTTGTAAAATTTGTTTTGCTCTAAAGTATTTGACTGTCTCCCTCACTAGATCCTGAGGGTTTTAGTGAGTGCCTCAGTGTGAGCACATGCAGGCACTGCTAGGCGCCTGTAGTTGATTCTTAGTTAATACAAGTGAATAATCACAACTAGACCTTAAATTGCAGGGACTATGTGACAGGCACTTTTTAAAATGCTTTATACGTGTTGATTTAAGTGTAATCGTCACAAGAACCCTGCGAGGAAGATAGGACAGCAAGTGCCCTGTTCCTGTTTGTAAACGTGCCCGACACTCTGCAACAACACCTACAACAGAACCGTGCTAGTTTTGGGGGTTCGCAATAAAAGTTTCTGTTTGAACGGATCCTAGAGTGTGCAGGGACACAGCAATGGAAGACCTGGTCCCTTTGTCTGTACTTAGTCTATAGCCAGTTCATTGTGAGAAATTTCTTTAGATCGACACCTGCCACTGTTAGTCCGGGTTTCCCAGTCTGTCCTTTCTAACTCCCTTCCTGCCTTACCCCCTAAAAAGCTACCTCCCCTCTTCCCACTCCTGATAATGAACACTATGTACTTTCCACGTTCAAAGCATGCCACACTCCCTCTCTCCCTCACCTTGGCCTCCCTAACCCAGGCTTGTCCTAGTGAAATCACTTGCAAAGCCTGCTAACCCTTTCAACTTGCTGTGTTTTCTCCATCAAACACAATTTTCATCAAACATCCCCCAGGAGCACCTTAAATGACTTCCTTTTGCCTAGGTTCTGATTTAGCTTTCTCAATAAGGACCTCAAAGTCAAGTTCCTAGTGCCACACTAACTCTCTACCCAGAAGAGGCGATAGGTTTTAGTTTGGGGGTGGGGGGTGGGGGTAGGGGAGGATGATTTACTTCCCCATCCTTCTGAAACTTCCTCACAGGAACCTTTTCCTTCTTTGGGCTTTTCGTCCCCATTTTTCTCCAACTGTCTGTTTTTCTTTCTGAACTTGGCTGTTCACCGTTGAGCCTTTTACTCTGCCTTACATGGTCACCTAACTTTGGGCCTATACTGTATTTGGCCCTTTCAAACTGTAGTTTCATGTGAAGCAGCAACTTTGTGTTGTCTTGCATTGTTTTGTATCTTCCACAACATCAGATATAGGACTATGCACATAGTACATGTTCAGTAAAGTATTTCTAAATGATCGAACAATTTCTCCAAGTGAAGAAATTGAAGGAAAAATAGATCAGCTAAACCAGTTAGACCCGTAGGGTACCAAGCAGAAGCAAATGTTAAACTGCACAATAGCTGTATTTCTACAACTCAGGGCTCACAGAGACTCCAAGAGGAAGAAAAAAAGAATCCTCACAATAAAAAATGTATGAGCCGCTCAAAGAAACGTGCCATCATGAGAGAGAATGGGCAAAACAGGAAGAACTTGAGATAATAGAACCATCTCAAAGAAAATTAAAAGGAAAGAAGTAGGTTTCAAATGAAGGCAAAGATAAATAATAGGAAGTACTAGTAAAAAGAACAGGAATTGTAAAGGAAAAAAAAAAACAGGTGTATTTGAAAAGGTGCCAAACAGAACATCTAGAAATGAAAAGTATACTCACTGAAATGATTGAATGAAAGAAAATCTTCCTCAGCAGTCAAGCTACTGAGCAACCTGGCAATAAACCTTTAGAGCTATAAAGGAGTTAGCTCTGGCCAGGCGCGGTGGCTCACACCTGTAATCTCAGCACTTTGGGAGGCCGAGGCGGGTGGATCACCTGAGGTCGAGACCAGCCTGGCCAACATGGTGAAACCCCGTCTCTACTAAAAATACAAAAATTAGCTGGGCATGGTGGCGCATGCCTGCAGTCCCAGCTACTCGGGAGGCTGAGGCAGGAGAATCAGTTGAACCCAGGAGGCACAGGTTGCAGTGAGACGAGATCACGCCACTGCACTCCAGCCTGGACGATAAGAGTGAAACTCCATCTCAAAAAAAAAAAAAAAAGGCTGTAAGCTCTGGGCTTGGGTAGTGCCCCCCACTTCGGTGCCACCACCCTCTGCATATGCCACCTCACATATGCAGTGCTGACCACACTGCACTGTGACTGCCTGTTTTCTTGTCAGTCTCCCTTGTTAGACTGTAAGCTCTTTGACAGCCAGGACTGTTCTATTCATAGTTGAACCCCAAGCCTGGCTCAATGCCTGGCACATGATAGGAACACAACAAATATTACTAGAAAATGAATGACTGAGCAAAAACACTCTCCAAAATTGTACAGTTTTTTATGGTAGCACTAATTACAGAATCAAAACTTTAGGAAGATCCATGTGCCCGATAGGATCAAGCAAAAGGAAAAAAGTTAACAGGAAATAAGACTCGTAGATCTTGAGAACTGCCAAGAATACAGACCATCCCAGGTCCCTGGAATCCTGTGGGATATGTTGTAATGAAAAGTAAATGCAAATTAGTAAGTACCCACCATTGCAATTAATTTGACATCATACTGATCCAGTCAGGAGGGAACTAAGGTGATGTCAAGGGCGGCATCAGAGTTCTGGCCTCACCTGATGTTTTCTGCTGTTAACAGAATACTACAGACTGGGTAAGTTATAAAAAAAGAAACTTATTTCTCACAGTTCTGGAGGCAGAGAAGTCCAAAAACGTGGCATCAGCGTCTGGGGAGGGTCATCCCATGGCAGAAGGTGGAAGGCGGAGTGAGCACACTAGACAGAGAGATCAAACGGGGGCTGAACTTGTCCTTTTTTCTGAAGCCCATTCTTGAGATCACTAATCCACTCCTGAGATAGGAGCATTAATCTCCTCTTAAAGTTCCCATCGTTAATACCATTACATTGACAGTTAAATTTCAACTTGAGTTTTGGCAGGAACATTTAAACCATAGCTCCAGGGAAGGTGCACAAGGTGTAAGGAGAATCAACCTTGGTGTAAAGAAGATGGGCTCATTTCGATGTAGGATTCCTGTTTACTAGTTTTGGGTGAGAACTAGTTCCGGTTGCTGCCTCTGATCACCTGCTTGTCTGGGGTGAGGGCGAGGTGGGAGTGGAAACACTGGCTTTTCTTCTGTCTTGGATCCCTGGGGTCCCACCCTCAGACATCAACCCCACCCAGAAGCCAAGCTGCAAAAGGAGCCGACTTTAGGTCCTGGTTCCAATTCCACTTGCCTCTGCCTCTCCCCACCCTCTTAAAAAGAAAACAACAAGGCTGGGCGTGGTGGCTCACGCCTGTAATCCCAGCACTTTGGGAGGCCGAGGTGGCTGGATCACCTGAGGTCAGGAGTTTGAGACCAGCGCTGGACCAACATGGAGAAACCCCGTCTCTACTAAAAATACAAAATTAGCCGGGCATGGTGGCGCATGCCTGTAATCCCAGCTACTCGGAAGGCTGAGGCAGGAGGATCGCTTGAACCCGGGAGGCAGAGGTTGCGGTGAGCCAAGATCATGCCATTGCTCTCCAGCCTGGGCAACAAGAGCAAAACTCCATCTAAAAAGCAATAAATAAATAAATAAAAAGAAAACAATGACAACATAGGATTATACTGAACAATTATGTATGTATGTATGTATGTATTTATTTATGAAAGTCTTACTCTGTTGCCCAGCCTGGAGTGCAGTGGCAAGATCTCAGCTCACTGCAACCTCCACCTCCCAGTTCAAGCAATTCTTGTGCCTCAGCCTCCTGAGAGCTGGGATTACAAGTGGTTACCACCACACCTGGCTGATTTTTGTATTTTTAGTAGAGAAGAGGTTTCACCCTGTTGGCCAAGTTGATCTCAAACTCCTGAGCTCAAGTGATCCACCTGCCTTAGCCTCCCAAAGTGCTGTGATTATAGGCATGAGCCACCGTGCCCAGCCTGAAAAATTTTAATACGTAAATTCAATTAATTGTCTTATAGTCAGGGACTCTTCTGCTAAGTGAAGTGAGGCAGC
Source organism: Homo sapiens (assembly GCF_000001405.40). Lineage (NCBI taxonomy): Eukaryota > Metazoa > Chordata > Mammalia > Primates > Hominidae > Homo > Homo sapiens. Next base: position 36,990,730 of record NC_000006.12, read on the forward strand.
CTGCACAGGTGTTCAACTCTGCCTGACACTGTTGTTTGCTTTACAAGTATTAACTCCTCTTACTATTACAGTATGGGGCCAGGGCTACGATGATTATCCTCATTCTACAGATGAGGAAACTGAGATCCAGAGAGGCTAAGTAACTTCCTCAGGATCACACAGCTAATAAGAGGTGGAGCCGGGGTTTGAGTCCAGCTCTGCCTGAATGTGATGCCCTACACTCTTGAATGGAGGGCAAAGACAGAAAATGGACAAGCATGCAAAGTGATGACCCTGGACCTCCAGCTTCTGCTGGCAGGCAGGCCAGTGACTTCAAGGGTATTGCTGACACAAAGGTCTTCTGGATGTACAGGCTGTGAAGAGAGCAAGATTTCAGCAGTTGAGACACACATCCTGGTGGCTCACATGTACTAATGACACCCAAAGTGGGTACCATGTATATGCGAGCCAGAGGACACCCTGATGCCAGCCTCACTCTGGTCTTCCTTATTCATGTCATCATACCACCTGTGGAGACAGCCCCTTCTTTTTTTGTTTTTTTTGGGTGGGGGGGGGAATAGAATTTCGCTCTTGTCACCCAGGCTGGAGTGCAATGGTACAGTCTCGGCTCACTGAAATCTCCACCTCCTGGGTTCAAGTGATTCTCTTGCCTCAGCCTTCTGAGTAGCTGGGCTTACAGGCTTGCACTGCCACGTCTGGCTAAGTTTTGTATTTTTAGTAGAGACGGGGTTTCACCATGTTGGCCAGGCTGGTCTCCAACTCCTGACCGCAGGTGATCCGGCTGCCTCAGCCTCCCAAAGTGCTGGGGTCACAGGCATGAGCCACTGAACCTGGCCTGAGACAGCCCCTTCTTAAAGGGTCATTACTTTCCCTTTGAAATTACACTCTGCAGCCATGTCTGTCCTTGGGAGCTCTGCAGTTGCTCACTTCTCTAGAAACTCTACCTGGTGAAGGAGACTTGGGAATGGGAGTCAACAGCAGCTTGCTCTGAATCCTGGCATTGCTGCTCACAGCTGTGTGGCCCTGAGAGCCTCTCTGAGCCTCTCTTTCCTTGGATGTGCAGTGTGAACAGGGGATAAGGGAGGCAACAGAGTGGCAAAGTCACCACTCAATACATGCGTCTAAAATGCTGCAAAAACATCCAGGGGGAATGCCTCATCTTTGGATTTGAGAATTTCCTCTGTAAATTGCTTTAAATATTTCCCCAGCCTCCCATCACTCCCTTCTTTGTGGATGGTTCTTTATTTGTACAACCCAGCCCTTTTCTGCACAAAGCAGGTTGGTTAACTTGCCGGTGTGGGACCACTTCTACCCAAAGAGTAATAGGGACTTCTTACTAGCTGGTGATAGCCCTGGCAGTTCTTCCCCACCCCCACCCCCACCAAGACAAAGTCTTGCTCTGTCGCCCAGGCTGGAGTGCAGTGGCGCGATCTCGGCTCACTGCAACCTCTGCCTCCCGGATTCAAGCAATTCTCCTGCCTCAGCCTCCCAAGTAGCTGGGATTACAGGTGCCCACCAACATGCCTGGCTAATTTTTTAGTAGAGACGGGGTTTCACCATGTTGGGTAGGTTGGTCTCGAACTCCTGACCTCGTGATCTGCCTACCTCGGCCTCCCAAAGTGCTGGGATTACAAGCGTGAGCCACTGCACCCAGCCCAGCCCCAGGAGTTCTAAGGGGACACTGAATTAAAGAAGCAGAGAATTATTATGAGATAGAGCCATTCAATTAAAAAAAAAAAAACACCTCTTATCCTTATTATGCTAAAAGAAGGTACATTAGAATTGCAGTCATCTCAGGAATTCTGGCATATCATGCAGGTCACCAGAAGTGTATTGGCATGAGGAATTGCTAAGCCAAATAATTGCCAAGTTTTTATTTATTTATTATTTATTTATTTATTTATTTATTTTTGAGACGGAAATTCGCTCTGTCACCCAGGCTGGAGTGCAGTGGCATGATCTTGGCTCACCACGCAAGTTCCACCTGCCAGGTTCAAGCGATTCTCCTGCCTCAGCCTCCTGAGTAGCTGGGATTATAGGTGCCCACCACCACACCCAGCTAATTTTTGTACTTTTAGTAGAGACAGGTTTCACCATGTTGGCTAGGCTGGTCTCGAACTCCCGACTTTAGGTGATCTGCCCGCCTCAGCCTCCCAAAGTGCTGGGATTACAGGCATGGGCCGCCACGCCTGGCTAATTCCCAAGTTTTAATGGGGAAACACAGAAGACAACTTGGGACTGAGAGGCCCAAAGGCTTTGGCATGAAACTTACAAGAGCAAAGAGGGGAAGTGAGGGCCTTTAAACTCCAAGGAGATGTGGTACGTTGCAGTGAGTCCAATACTGTCCCCATGTCAGAAAGGATCAAATGCCTGGTTTGTGTTCTGCTCTGTCATTCTCTTCGTGGAAAAAGGCAAGTCCACCTAAATCTTCTGTGACCCAGTCTGTTTATCCTAAGAGGTGAAAAGATGTTTTCCTCTTTTGTGGCAATCAGTAAAAATCAAATTTTAGTGGGCTCTTGCATGGCATTTGGGTGAGTTTCAGGATTAAGATTTTATCAGGACCATTAATTCAAAGGGAGACTATTCAGCAATAAAGAGGAATGAACTATTGATATGGGCAACATTATTCTGAGAGAAAAAAATCCAGACACAAAAGAGCACTTGCTGTGTGATTCCATTTATATAAAATTCTAAAACAGGCAAAATGAATCTATCAGGATAAAATCAGAAGAGTGCTTGCCCATGGTGGAGGACTGACTGGAGAGGAGCATGAACAACTTTCTGGAAGGATGGAAATGTTCTTCATCTTTATCAGCGTGGTGGTTACATGGTGTGTGTAATAGTAGAAGTCCATTAGACAGTACTCTTAAAATCTGGGCCTTTTTCTGTTTTGTTTTGTTTCTTTTTTTGGACAGAGTCTCGCTCTGTCACCAGGCTGGACTACAGTGGCGCGATGTCGGCTCACTGGAACCTCTTACTACCTGGTTCAAATGATTCTCCTGCCTCAGCCTCCGGAGTAGCTGGGATTACAGGCATGCGCCACCATGCCCAGCTAATTTTTGTTTTTTTAGTAGAGACGGGGTTTCACCACGTTGGCCAGGATGATGGTCTTTATCTCCTGACCTGGTGATCTGCCTGGCTCAGCCTCCCAAAGTGCTGGGATTACAGGCTTGAGCCGCCACGCCCAGCCAAATCTGGCCATCTTATTGTGCAAACATTATTCTTTAATTAAGGAAGAATATATTTTAATGTATTATTAAAATTTAACAATTTTAAGAATACATTTTCACATTTTAGTGGGCATCTGGGGGTTTTAAAGGGAAGGGACTGCACACATTCATGTAAATCCTAATGTAATCAGAAAAATGGACTACTCTCTTCACTGCTTCTCCACAACTCCTTGGCAAAGAGTCTGAATCCTTATAAGCAATGCTGTGCTGGTAAGCATGTAACAACGGGCTCTCTAGGGGGGAAAATGTTCTGGTTTACAGCACTTACCAATTCATCTGGTATAAATACTCTCGCCATGGCTGATTTCAAGCTGCTGATGTGATGTCACTGAGCATGAAGTTGGGAAGAGCTGGGCACAACTGAATTTTGCAAGCCAGTGTGAGCCAACTCTGGCACATCACTGCAACAACCCTTTATTTTGAAGGTTCAGGGATTCTTGGCAGAGCTGAGAATACATTAAACAGTGTCTTACTCTGGAGCAAATAGCCATTTCCTATTAGTCTGAATGTTAAGGATGATGTAAAGAAACTGACACTGCCCTAAAGTGATAATATGAGGCCGGGTGTGGTGGCTCACGCCTGTAATCCCAACACTTTGGGAGGCTGAGGTGGGCAGATCACTCGAGGTCAGGAGTTCGAGACCAGCCTGGCCAACATGGTGAAATCCTGCCTCTACTAAAAATACAAGACTTAGCTGGGTGTGATGGTGCATGCCTGTAATCCTAGCTACTTGGGAGGCTGAGGCAGGAGAATCACTTGAGCCTGGGAGGTGGAGGTTTCAGTGAGCTGAGATCACACCACTGCACTCCAGCCTGGATGACAGAGCGGGACTCCATCTCAAAAAAATAAAGAAATAAAGTGGTAATATGAAATACCCCACTGTGGGGTCAGCCTTGCCAGGTGTGGCAGTTTGGTTGAAGTTAGCAACCCATTCACAGGATCAGGATTTTTAAGAAAAAAAATATGGGTTATTTCATTTAAAATTCCTGAATCCTGATTTCTCCTGGGGAGAGCAAAGGGCAAAATCAGGCACCACAAGATCTGCATCCCTTCTTGGTAACAACAGGTTGTAACAGGGTAAAACCTGCCCCCATGAGAAGGGCATGGATTCTCCACCCATAGTATCCACGTCTTAACAATGCACCTGCTGCAAACTGGTACATTTTCTGTGTGATTCTAGTCATCATTTGAGTTTGCAAATCCTGGCTTAAACTGTGTCAACTGTGAGAGCTAGTTTGGGGTGTGTCTGTGTGAACAGTTAACTTTTGGGTGAGCTGAAGAATACCCATGCACACCCACAATTTCCCCAGTTGGAGGAATCAGACTTGGCATCTTGGGGTACTCATGCTCACTCTGGGTGCTCCATGGGACTTGGGACACAAAAGATCGCCACCCTCCAGCCAAGGCATTGCCTGGACCCCCGATTCCCAATCCTGGCTGAGCATTAGAATCACCAAAGGAGTTGGTTTCTTTGTTGTTGTTGTTATTGTTTTTAATTTTAAATAAGCCCGCTCCTCAGCCCAGAGAGTTGACTAAGCATCTCTGGGGACGAGGTCTTAACTAAAATGTTTGAGTAAGATTCTCCGGATGATTCCAATATGCTGGAGGGTTGGGCCGCACTGTTCCAGACAGAAAACAATGGCGTGCTCAGAGGCAAGGGCTAAAGTGACCAGGATGCTGGCTTGCATCTGGCTGGCATCTTGCAACCTGAGAGTGATGTTTCCCAGGTTGGGGGAGTCATAGACCCACAGAAGATAACACTTTCAAAGAGAGACCAAGGAAGGCCCTCCCCCTTTTAGGAAGGTACAATTTAAGGTGCCTTTTCCTTCAGATTAAGGGAAGAGTCACATGTAGCATCCAGTTTTAAGTTCGTTTCCCTCGCTAGGTTGTAATCCCTACCTCTAATAAAGGGGCAGGGCAGGAAGGGAAGTGTGGCTTGCCATACCTCAACCCCCACTGGGTACCAGGTAGAAGCTGCATCCTGTCCAGGAGACTTGAGCCTGCGGTTCAAGCAGAGACCAGAGGCAGCATGAGCCTCGGCTCACAGTGAAGCTGGGTGTCCTGGAGCCTCTGTCCTGTGAGAGCTTAGGAGAGAGAGAAAGCAAGAATTCTCCCGCAATTCCTTTGACCAGTATTCACCGAGCACCTACCACGTGCCAAGCACTGTTATAGATGCTGGGGAAAGAGCAGAGAACAAAATAGACAAAAGTGCCTGCCCCCATGGAGCTGATATTCCAGTGGGGAGACAGACAACAAATATAATAAATAAATCAATATCTCGGAAAGTGATACATGAGAAAAATTAAGCAGGGAAGGGACACTGGGAATGTGCGGTGCTGCTGCAGCTCAGGGAGTCTCCGGGGGAAGGGAAAGGCCAGTGAGATGGTGACATTTAAGCAAAGATTTGAAGGTGACCAGAGGGTGAGCCACGCAGATATCTCATGGAAGAGAGTTCCTTGTTTTGGGGTGTTTTGAGATATAATCTCACTCTGTTACCGAGGCTGGAGTGCAATGGCACAATCATAGCTCACTGCAACCTCAAACTCCTGGGCTCAAGCGATCTCCTACCTCGCTAAGTAGCTTGGACTACAGGTGCTGACCACCACACCCAGCTAATTTTTAAATTTTGTGCCAAGATGTCTCACTATGTTGCCCAGGCTGGTCTCGAACTCTTGGTCTCAAGTGATGTTCCTGCCTTGGCCTCTCAAGGTGCTGGAATTACAGGTGTGAGCCACTGTGACTGTAGAAAGACAGTTCTGGATAGGAGGAAGGACAAGAGCAAAGGCCCTGAGGTGGGAGTTTGGTGGGGTGGAGGGCAGAGAGGAAGCCATGGTCCTGGAGCCAAGAGAAAGGGGAGAGTGGCCTAGATGAGGTCAGGGAGTTGGACTTTGCAGGCCATTGGCTGTGGACATGGCAATCACACCCAGTAAGACACCAATCAGACCATCCTGATTCAGACTATCCCTAATGTCCTATAATCCCAGCACTTTGGGAGGCCGAGGCAGGTGGATCACCTGAGGTCAGGAGTTCAAGACCAGCCTGGCCAACGTGGTGAAACCCTGTCTCTACTAAAAATACAAAAATTAGCCAGATGTGGTAGCAGGTGCCTGTAATCCCAGCTACTTGGGAGGCTTTACAGCAGGAGAATTGTTTGAACCCGGGAGGCGGAGGTTGCAGTGAGCCGAGATTGCGCCACTGCACTCAAGCCTGAGCGACAGAGCGAGACTCTGTCTCAAAAAAAAAGACATATCCCTAATGTAGACCAGAAGAAGGGACCCTTGAAAAGAATGGGGAAACTGAGGCTAAAGTAGGGCCATCCAGCCAGCTTTCTTCCTGAATTGCCCTGCAGAGGACTGGGAATGTCTGGGGGTTCTTTTGTTTTGTTTTTTCTTTTGTTCCCTAGGAATCAGACGGAGGGAATGGGGCATGACAGAAGGGAGGGTGGCTCACTCACGTTGGAGCCCTGAGGCCACAACTGGTGGGAAACTGAGGTGCATTTGTCAGGTCAGAGGGCCCAGGCCCTGGGTTGGGGTTGGGGAACAGGGCCGGAGCTTGGCTTGATAGGAGCTGCTCCAAGGAAAGACCAAAAGCCAAACTCAGGGAAGGCAAGAGGCGGAGGAAAGAGAACCTTCCACAACCCCCTCCCGCATGCTGGAATGTGCTGCTCCCCACTCAGAAAGGATGTGTGGAGGGCCTACTGTTTGGCAGGCACTGTACTAACTTCTGGGGACCCAGAGACAAATGAGCCAAGGTCCTGCCCCTTCTGGATCTTGTGAGGACTGAGGCCTCGGATGGGATTTGGGTTTCATTTCTCCTTGTTTCCCAAGGTCCCAGCACAGGGGCTATTTGCTGAGAGCAAAGAAGGAAGGGACCTGGTGGGAGGAGGGGCGGGAACTCGGCAGCTCCTTGATGGGAGCAATGGGCTGTTAGTGGGCTCCTGTGTGGTTGTTACATAACAGCTCCCTGGAAGAAGGTACAAGAGGAGCCTAGTAACAAGATGCATTCATGCAGAAATCACAGGCAGAGAATAAGTCGTGCTATTGTGTGGGAAGATAGCGGAGAGGTAGCACAGGTGGGGGAATGGGTCGTGGGAGAAAGGTCGTCAGTGTGGAGGGCAGCGGGCTGGCTGTGCAGGAACAATGTGTTCCCTTTCTCCACTTGGAAACCTGTCAATTCTCTCCAAGCCACTCATGTTTCTGTGTGAGCGCTGTGAAGAACCAAGCAGTCAGGGCCTCGAGAAAGGCCTACAACTATTTGGATAGAGAAGGAGCCTGTCGCTGGGTGTGAGGCCCCTGCATGGTGGCTGAGTGCTTGCACTCTGGGTGCCTTCTCAGGCACAGCCTGGCACCACTCCTGGGCTCTGGCCTTGCTTTACTGGCTCCTTTCTGGTGCCTCCCTGCCCAGATCCCGGCCCTGGCTCTGCCAGGCCCCCTCTCCTCCCCTAGAAACACAATCCTTGCCTCTGCCGTCTCCCAGTGTCCCGGGGGCGTATCTCCTGCCAGCCTGCACATTCACTGTGGGTTCAGCCCGCCTGCGATTTCACTCTTGGTTTCCCTCCTTGGGCCCCACCTGATCTCTGCTTCTAGTGACCTTGAGTTCTTCCTGAATAGTGGGGTGGGTGCCAGGGCCTGGCACAAGCCTTGCCCAATCCTGGCACAAGCCTTGCCCAATCCTTGTGAATGCCAACTTTGAAACTAGATAGTTCACACGCTGAAGAAGAAAGAGCTGTTTATGTTCTTCACTGACGTCCTCTGGCCACCCACGTCAGGCCTGACACCCATCTGCCCCCCACGTCAGGCCTGACACCCCTTTGCTATCTGGGCTGTGCTCTCAGAGCGGATCCTCCTGGGCAGTGAGCCGCAAGGAGCCTGTATTGAGAGAGGTGGGTTTTGCCTCCCGGTATTCCTCACAGGGCTGAACCAACTCGGAATAATTCCACTCCTCAGGTTGACAGTAACATTTAGGAACACCCAGGCCACAGAGGGTCAGGGGCATATAGCAGGCAAAATATAGGGAGGTTCCTGGAAAAGGTGAAAGCGGGAAGGCCGGCGGGCCTTCCACAGAAGGGGCCAGCACCCTTCCAGAAGAAAGCCTCGGCAAAGGGTGGAATTTCCGGCAGAGGGACAGAGTGGAACAATTCTGGCTGCTTGGAGGAGGGGACAGATGAGACGAGTCTCCAAGGGAGCCCAGCTTTGTTCAGCTTCCTCCCTCCAAGCCAGGGATCGGAGGCCCTTGGCGCCCATCCCTCCCATCGGCAGTGTGGCCTCTGCCCACCATGTGACTACCCAGACAGCGCCCTCACTAGGGCCTTCCAAAAGCAGGGGGTGGGGGTGGGCAGGAGGAGGGGGTGAGGCGGAGACCGGGAGGGGTGGCAAGGGTCACGGCAGCCTCTGGCACAGGTTTCAGCTGGCTGCCTGCATCCTCTCTAGAGCCGCATCATCCCAGCTCACAGGCCTGTCTGTCACGGGCCATTAAGCCCTTGGCAGGTGCTGTGTGCTTGACTGAGGCTGGAGGTGGGATGGCTGGCAAGGGGGAGCCTGGGAACATGCCAGCCTGTCCCCTCCAGTCCTTGTCACCCTGAAGATAAATGCTCCTTTGGGGAGTCCTCACTGTCCCCGGAAAGGCTACACCTGGTGAACCCCTGCAGATTTGCTACACACACACCGTTCATACACACAATGCACACATACATACATGCACGTGCACACACGCCAACCTACACACACACCAGATACACACATGTCACATACACACCCCACAAATACACACATATACACTCATAGCATCCTGATCCTAAGTTGTGACACTTCCTCCCTGGCAGCCTCTAAATGCCCCTTCTGCTTTCCCAAAGTTGCCCCAAGAGGTCCTCTGGGCGCCTCCAGTCTACACACAAAGCCGCTCTGCATGCACCCCAGGGTAGAGATCCCTCGCCAGCCGAGTCCCCACCTGGCCCTGCAGTTCTGCTTGGGCATCCCTCCCTCACCCTCCCTCCCACCTTCCCCCATCTGAGCTGTAGGGAACTGAGCTCTTCCATCTTCCCTTGGGCTTGAAAGCAGAGAAGAGGAGAAAAAAAACAAGAGGTTTATTCATGCCAAAGACCCCAAGAGCCCTGAAATGGAGACATTGCCCCTGCTCAGAGGGAGATCTGTAGACTGGATCAGGGGTTACTCTGCTGAAAACGCTATACTCACTCCCCTAACCTTCTAAGCACCTCAGTTTGGCAGACAAAGCCTAGCAGGCCAGGCTTCCAGGACCCCTTCAGCTGCGGGTTCCACCATTTCCCAGGCCCTGGACACCCACGTGTGCGAGGCCCTGTGTTCTTCCCAGTCTAGCCATGGTAGCCATGGTCTCTCAAGCCCATATCCCTTTGCACATGCTGTTCCTTCTGCTTTGAATGCCCCTTCCTGTCTTGTCCACACAGAGTTAACTCATCCTTCATCCTTCATCTTTTTTTTTTTTTTTGAGACTCTGTCACCCAGGCTGGAGTGCAGTGGTGCAATCTCGGCTCACTGCAACCTCCGCCTCACAGGTTCAAGCAATTCTCCTGCCTCAGCGTCCTGAGTATGTGGGACTACAGGCACCTGCCACCACACCTTGCTTTTTTTTTTTTTTAATTTAATGGAGACGGGGTTTTACCATATTGGCCAGGCTGGTCTCAAACTCCTAACCTTGTGATCCGCCCGCCTCAGCCTCCCAAAGTGCTGGGATTACAGGTTTGAGCCACCGCACCCAGCCCATCCTTCATCTTTCATACTTCAAGTCACCTCTGCCACAAAGCCTTCTGATGACCCTTCTTTGGATGTTCATAACTCCCTTGTTCAAAGCTTTCATCACATCCTATTTTAGTGGTTAACAGGCCCATCTTCCTTATTAGAGTTTGAGCTAAAGGGCTGGGGACTGTGTTTTATCTACAACCTCTACTATGGTATTGACACATAGTAGGTGCTCAAGAAACACTTATCTACTGAATGCGTGACTTAATGAATAGGGCGGAAAAGACAAAATTAAACAGAGAGGAACACCAGGTCTCTGAGGAGGAAAATGAATTTCCAGCAGTAGGTATAAAGGAAGGCTTCCTGGAGGAAGTGAACCGGCTGTAGACAGACTGAAGACACTCTAGGCCAGGGATCCCGTAGCCTATTAGGAACTGGGCCGTACTGCAGGAGGTGAGTGGCGGGTGAGCATTACCACCTGAGTTCTGCCTCATGTCCCATCAGCAGTGGCATTAGATTCTCATAAGAGTGCGAATCCTATTGTGAACTGTGCATGTGAGGGATCTAGTTTGCTCACTCTTTATGAGAATCTAATTCCTGATGATCTGAGTGGAACAGTTTCATCCCAAAATCATCTCCCCACCCCCCGCAACCCCAGAAACCAGTCCCTCGTGCCAAAAAGGTTGGGGACCACTGCTCTAGGCAAAGGGAACTGATTGGTCAAGGCAGAGCGGAGCTATAGCAAAGGCTTCTCTCAAAAGTAAGAATGCTGGTAGCCAACAGTCACCGAGTACCTACTCAGTACCAGGCCTTACTCTAACCTCTTCTATATATTATTATCCCATTTAATCTTCATAACAACCACAGGAGGTTGGCAGTATAATTATCCCCATGTGGCAGAAGAGGAAAGTGAAGTTCTGTTACTGGTCCAAGGTGCTACAGAGAAGCAGAAGGACCGGGAGTGACACAATACAGAAGATGGAAGAGCTCAGTTCCCTGCAGCTCAGATGGGGGAAGGTGGGAGGGAGAGAGTGTGAGGGAGGGATGCCCAAGCCAGAACTGCAGGGATCCAATACAGAATACAGAATTTGACCTTATACAGTGTGGGAGCTTCTTAAAGAGTTAATGCTTCTGAGTCTAAAGTAAGCAGGGCAGGCAGTGGGGAGGAGAAGCCGGCAGGGAGGTAGGGGGAGCAAAGAGGAACTGAACTAGTCAGGAAGAGCTGGGACTCTGGAGGACGGACAGGTGGCCACCTCCAAGCCATCAACTTTGATGACACAGGTTATCTTTGTCCTGGAGCTAAGCATGCACCTGGCCCAGGAGCTGGACAAGCTGAAAAGGAAGATCAGTGGAGAAGCAACAGACCCACATCAACATGTATGATCTGCAACAGGGCTGGAGCTCTGCACTGACCCAGGAACAAAACAGGGCTGCTATATCCCCTCCTGCATCCATGGCTAACAGTAGTCCAGACCATGCAGGGAAGGGGATTCTGGGGCTGTGGCTCAGCGTGGCTCAGCTTAGCTCAGCCACAGTACCCGGCAGGTTTGGATCCCAACACAGATTAGGTGTGTGCAGGCAAGAAGTAGCTGAGAGTGTCAACCAGGAGGATCTTGATGGCTGCCCCAGTGAGTTTGAGATGACTTCAGTGCAATAATGGTGCTGGCTTTAGAGAGTTGTGTGTTGAGTTGGAAGCAAAGGTAGGCATCTACCTGGTGATATCCTGAAGGTGTTGGACATATCCACTGGGTAGAAGGGCAGGAAGAGGTACCAGTGGGACCTCCAGGATAAATTCTGAATTGGGTGGGAGGTGTGTGTGAATCAGGAGACCAGAAGGCCGAGGCTGAGTCTCAGGTGATGCCTGCAGGTACAGGCAGAAAGCCTGGCAGACTGTGAGGGGCCCAAGTCAGAGTGGTAGGGGACAGGGGAGGCAGAGCCTTGGATGATGAGGGAAGGTTGTTTTGGGGGTGTAGACATCTTGGCCTCTTTTTCCTGGAGGGAAGCAGCTCTGATGGTGCCTGTGCCATCTTCAGGGTTAGGGTATTGGAGGCCTCTTGAAGGCCCACCTACCCACCCTCCAGCCCCCATGGGAGGGGCAGGTCCCATTGTTCAGGCTTGGATGCTCAAAGCACTGGCAGCTGAGGGGTAAGACAATCCTCTGAGGCTTGGGGTGTGATGTCTGTCCATTCCACATGCCTTCTGAGGCCCCACTGTATGCGGGAAGGGCGCTGGGGTTGGGGACCCACCAGGAAGTGCACGTACTCAGGTGTGCCCTGCGTGGAGGGAGCAAGCCAGCCAGTGAGCAGAGAGACTGGTGGGAGGCAGAGGAGGAAATCCAGGAGAGGAACACCAGGGAGGGAGGCGCCCCCAGGCCAGGGAGGGCATCGGGAAGAAGTGGCATTTAAAGGTGATTCTGATCGAGCCTCTAGACCTAACCACCATCGACAGGAAATCCAGGGTATGGCGCTGCAATGGGCTAAGTCCTGGCTGTGGGACCTACAGGACAAACAACCCAGGGTCCCTCCACTATGCTGTGTGGGAAAACGGAAAGGACCAGGGGAACGTGTGGATGAAAAGTGAATTCATCCACGTGACAGCTCAGGGAATGTGTGGACCTTATTTGGATTCTGATTTTTTTTTTTAATTTAACATTTATAAGGAATTGGCACTTGGAATGTTTTCTGGATATTTAATTATATTGAGGAATTATTGCTAAATATCTCTTGGGGTATGATAACGGTAATATTATTTCATATGTATATACACATGGATATAACATGTAAAACATGTATGTCTATATAAAACAATATTACTATTATACATGTGTATATATGCATATACATTTATGTGTGTGTATATTTAGTTATTTAAAGGGTTCTTGGCTGGGCGCGGTGGCTCATGCCTGTAATCCCACTACTTTGGGAGGCCGAGGCAGGTGGATCATCTGAGGTTGGGAGTTCGAGACCAGCCTGGCCAACATGGTGAAACTCCGTCTCTACTAAAAATACAAAAATTAGCTGGGTGTGGTGGCACACACCTGTAGTCCCAGCTACTCAGGAGGCTGAGGCAGGAGAATCGCTTGAACCCAGTGGGGTGAAGATTGCAGTGATCCGAGATTGCAGCACTGCACTCCAGCCTGGGTGACAGAGTAAGACTCAGTCTCAAAAAAAAAAAAAAAGAGAGAGAGAGTTCTCATCTTCTAGATACACACTAAAATGTTTATGGGTAATGTCATCTGACATCTGGGATTTTCTTCAAAATGACATGAGAAGGCAGAGTCGATGTGGCTGCAGCAGGGACAGGGGACTGGCTGTGAGCTGAGGTTTGTTATGGTCTGGATTAGGGGTTCATGGGATGCATTATATGATTCTGTCTAGTTTTGCATATGTTCTAAATTCTCCATAATAAAAAGTAAAAAACAAAAATGGAGGTTTGTGAGACTTAGGGTTTGGGGCAGGGGGCCCGGCATCTGGTGGGAGAAACCACTCAGACGAGGCTTGGGGTGAGGGCGGCTGTTGGGCATGTGAGGCCCCAGGGGTTCACAGTTACTGGAGCGTGAAGCTGTTCCAGGCACTTCACGTACCAAGAGCACCGAGGCTCAGGCCCTGCACTCCAGGACACAGACCAGGTTCAGTGGAGAGCCCTGGTGGGACCAGAGCCCAGTGGGAGGGCCCTGAACGGCCTGTGGGGCTTGAAGGAGGGGAACAGAGGCAGCGTCCATTTGTTCTGTAAGGGCCGGGAGACCAGGTGGTAAAGGAGGCCTCAGGCAAAGACAACCCAGTGTCCTGGGATCAGGGAGGCCTGGGGATGGAGCAGCAAGAACATGGTCATCCAGGCTCCCAACGAACCTTTGCTGGAACTGTAGGACACCCACTTTTGCTTTGGAAATCCAACTTCTCTTGTATTCTTCCTGGGTGACCTTGGGCAAGTTACTTAACCTCTCTGATTCTGTTTCTTCCTATGTAAAGTGGGGATAGGAATAGTACCTACCTCATGAGGTTGTTATAGGATTAATAAGAAAATACTCATAAGCATGAAAAAGAGTGCATGTTAGCTATTATTATCCTCTGAGTTTCAGGGAGGAAACTGCCCTCCCTTGGGGCAATGAGGTGATGACAGCAACAACTAAAATGAGAGAACCCCAGTGGGGAGGTGGGAACATCACAGTACTCCCTGCCACCCTTACCAGGTTTGTGATTATTTTAAATAAAACATGCTGTTTCCTGGCCAGGCACAGTGGCTCACATCTGTAATCCCAGAATTTTGGGAGGCCGAGGCAGGAGGATCACCTGAGGCCAGGAGTTCAAGACCAGCCTGAGCAACATGGTGAAACCCCATCTCTACTAAAAATACAAATAATTAGCAGGGCGTGGTGGCAGGCCCTGTAATCCCGGCTACTCAGGAGGCTGAGGCAGGAGAATCGCTTGAACCGGGAGGCAGAGGGTGCAGTGAGCCGAGATCCCACCACCGCACTCTGTCTCTAAAGAATAAAAAAGACATTATTTCCTTACAGCTGTGAGCAGGGGCAGATGCAGAAAAGAAGGTGCTGGGAAAGAGGCCAAGTAAAAGCCACTGGACCTTCTGAAGGAGAAAGTGTGGTTGGCTGGAACCACTAGGCCAAGAAACCAGCCAAGGGTCTGGCTCCGGGTGGCCTTTTTTTTTTTTTTTTTTTTTAAGAGACGGTGTCTCACTATGTTGCCCAGGTTGGTCTTGAACTCCTGGGCTCAAGCAATCCTCCTGCTTCGGCCTCCCAAAGCACTGGAATTAGAGGTGCAAACCACTGCACCAGCCCAGACTGGGCTCCAGAAGCTACCTCTGGGCCCTGTTGCCACCTCTTAGGTGGCTTCTGGAATGGGGGTCTACAGGTGTGAAAGGTCAGCCCCCCTGAGGGAGAGGTGGGGCCCGAGCAGGCTCCTCCCACTGCGGGAGTGCTGGCCTTTCCCCTGCAGGGCTGTGGCTCTGGGACCACTTCCTCTTTCTTCACTCTGAAGCCAAGAGCCGACCTTCTGAGCCCTCAAGAAAGATCAGAACAGATTCATGGGTGATTTAGCCTATCTGTCCCAGGCCAGCGTGGCTGAGTGTGCTGGCTGGAGGCCTCTCTCTCTGCTTCGAGGGTAGCTGAGATCCACCCCGGAAACCGGCAGGATGAAGGGGGCAAGTGAGGAGAAGCTGGCATCTGTGTCCAACCTGGTCACTGTGTTTGAGAATAGCAGGTATGGGCAGCTGGGGTGGGAGGGTCACCATGGTGGGCTGGCAGCCACCCTCCAGCCTTTCTGGCAGCTCTCTCCCTGGGCCCTGCCCCGGACCCTCCTCCTGCAGGGGCAGCCCCGCGTTCCTCGGTCACGGATTCCTTGGAGCATGGGAGAGTGTCGGTGGGACACCAGGAGCCAGGCAGGGGTGAGAGTGCCAGTGTGTGTTGGGAGAGTCCAGACAGGTGTGGTTACGAGCAAGCATGGGCAGACCAAAGCCTGTGTGTGGGCACAGGACCCCACCCAGTGCCTGCCAGCACCTCTCAGAAAAGGTAGCTGATACTCACCAAGAATTTACGCCCTATGATTAGGATAACCATATAATTTATCATTCAGCACACAATTGAAACTGAAAGTAAATGCCAAATAAAATGTGGTGGTTGTGGGGGAGGCATTACAGGTAAAGCTGGGACCGTATGAGGCAAACCAGGATGTACGGGCAGCATCCTGATGGGGTACTCCCTACTCTAAGTTCATGTCCTTACTTATTTAATTTAGTCATCGAACAGCCTAATAGGGGTAGATTCTGTTTCTGTTCCCGTCTTATAGATGAGGAAATGGAGACACAGAGAGGTGAGGATGCCAAGTGCTTTAAGTATCTGGGGCAATGCTGGGGCGTCTGTCTGGAGGGAAAAGGCTGGGCCAGATGCGTGGAGTCATTGGTAGCCCTGGGAGCATGTGTGTTTGTGTGTGTGCGCGTGTGTGTATGTGTGTGTTGTGTGTTATGTGTGGCATCAATCCATTCTGCAGGCATTTCTTAAGCTCAGGACTGTGTTAGGGGCTGTCCCAGGTAGGGTTTTCTGGAAATAGACTCAGACAGAGGTTTGCCTCAGGTGATTTATCAGGGAGAGCTTTTGGGAACAACAGCTGTGGGTGTGAGGGAAGCAGGGCCGGGCAGGGGGAGATGCTGAACTGCAGTGCACCTGCCACAGAGGCCTCAGCCTGTCCCAGGGAGCTCTGGAGCTGGGATGCCTCTCGGTTGTTCCAGCTGAGGAAGAGGGCTGGGTATTTGTATCTCCATGTGGACTGGACAAGAGACTCTGGGTGAGGCAGCTCTCTCTTCCAGAGAGTGATTCCCAGAGAGGGACTCAGCCAATAAATTACCCGGCAGCCCCCAGTACTACCAGTAGCTGGTGGGGATGGTGTGGGGAGGCCTCATTCCTGAAGGAGGGACATGGGTGGCACAGCACAGCATCCTACAGGAACTGTAGAGGATGAAGAAGGGTTTCAGTATTTGGATGCTGAGCTCATCGAATAACTATGATGCAAGGTCATAGACAGTAGATGTCCTAGGAATGGCCCGGATGCTGTATTGAGGG
This sequence comes from Homo sapiens, assembly GCF_000001405.40. NCBI lineage: Eukaryota > Metazoa > Chordata > Mammalia > Primates > Hominidae > Homo > Homo sapiens. Next base: position 37,007,241 of record NC_000006.12, read on the forward strand.
CACTCATGGCAGGCAATGTTTCCTGTAGGCTTCAGGGTGGAGATGGCATAGATGTAGACCTAGAAGTCTTCAACTTCCTGAGCTGGGTGATTCTCCCCTGCCTCTCCCGGGATCTTTGCCAAGCTCGTCCTGTTCAGCACCAAAGACAGCTCTTGGGTGCCGCCTTCCTGGCCCACCACCCCCTTGGGTGTGGGTGGATGGTACCACCTCACTCAACATGCTTGACGTGGACTAGGCACACCTGGGTGGAGCCCCTCAGCATGCTGTGCTCTGCCCAGGCAATAACCCTGGCAGGAGTGGGCAGCCCTTAGACGGGAGTTAGGTCCCAGCAGGCATCAAGAGGGTGAGAGCCACTCCTTACTGAGTGAGGGGACCCATACCAACTGCCTTGGCCTGGGCTTCCTTATGAGGTCTCCAGCACCTCAGCTGATCTGAAACTGAGGGGCAAAGAGGAAACAGAAGCTGGCCAGGGGCCCTAGAACAGAAATGCAGAACCTGAAACCAAATGTAGAACAGAAAGCCTGAGAACCAGCTACGCCCATGAGCTGCAGACCCATGGGCTGAGAAACCAGGGACTGGGGTGCCAGGGAGGGGTGGGAGAGCCTGGGAGTAGCCACACAGCACTAGGTCCCAATGCTTTCGCTGCCACAAACCCAATTGTGTCACTTGGGGCAAGTCACTTTGACTCCGCGGACCTGTTTCTCCTTTACTCAAATGGGGAGGGGCAGGTTAGAGTGAAGGCTCAGGAAGCAGTCGCCTGATTTGAATCCCACCTCTGCCACTTCCGAGCCGCATGTTACTCATCCTGTCCAGACCTCAGTTTCCTTGAGTGCAAAATATGGGTAATGAAAACCTTTCTCACGGAGTTTTGGAGATTTCGTATTTGTTTGGCCTTCCATTTCCTGGCCTGTCTTTCTCATAAGGATGCCTGCCCTGTTCTGTCATCACAAGCCCTTCCACACCAAGGGCAACGTTGGGTGTATTCATCAAGGGTGGGCCCTGTTGTCTAAGGAATTTGACTGGCTTGCAGAACCCAGTACACAGGGTAATAAAGGTGACCTACGAAGGCCCGTCCCTGGGAGAACAGAGCATCTGCTGCTGGGCTGGCTCTCCCTGCTTCTGGACGTGTGGAGGATGTCGATCCCATTGAGAAGCCCCAGCTTTTGCAGGCCTGCTCTCACTTTATATTGTTCTGTGGCTCCTACCTTCCCTTGATGTATAGGTTACTGATGTGGAAACTGAAAACAGAGGTGAGGTCCAAAGGTGAGGATAATCCAGGGGGTACCACTCAAAAACCCCTATATACAGAAAGGATTCCTGGACACTGTGGCTTCATTTTAAACAAGGAAGTATGCAGTTCCCCAGAAAATAAAATATAGTCCACCCTGACTCATTTTGAACACTGAGTTCCCTCCAAGAATGTGTTGGGAGAGAAGTGAAAGTCTTACTCAGCATGTTCCCAAAGAAAGCCAGGCACCCAGGGGCCCCTGCACTGGGGATTTGCACCAGGCAACCCAAATCCACACCAGGGACTTGCTGCTGTTTTCCCTGTTCTCCAGGGAGGAAGCCCTCAGGTCTGTCTCTTCTCCTCAGGACCCCAGAAGCAGCACCCAGAGGCCAGAGGCTAGAGGACGTGCATCACCGCCCTGAGTGCAGGCCTCCCGAGTCCCCAGGACCACGGGAGAAGACGAATGTCGGGGAGGCCGTGGGGTCTGAGCCCAGGACAGTCAGCAGGAGGTACCTGAACTCCCTGAAGAACAAGCTGTCCAGCGAAGCCTGGAGGAAATCTTGCCAGCCTGTGACCCTCTCAGGATCGGGGACGCAGGTGCCTGAGGGCTGAGGTAGAGGTGTGGGGTGCTGGGGTGGGGAGCTCTCCCTGACCTCCCCTCCACACATGCTTTCCTAGCCAGAGCCAGCAGTTCCCCAGGTGGGGGTATGGTGTGATCAGAGGTCAGCTGGGAGCTAGATTTCCCCATGCTTAATGGCCTTTGATTCACTAACTGCCTGCTACGCACCGTGCTGGATTACTTCGCGAGTCCCTCGTGTAGGAGTTTTTTGGACAAGGAAGTTGAAACACAGTTTTAAGGAACTTATTCAAGGCCACACAGCTTGGAACAGTCTCCATCTTGTGAACCTAATACTCTTCTCAGGTGGGGCCTCAGTTTACCCACTGGAGGAGACAACAATCTCAACCTAGAAATAGAGGTCTGAGTGTGAACTGTCCTGCCCTTAGACTAAAGCCCAGTCTGATCTCTTCTGTGGCTTGCAGTTTTCTCATCTGCAGAGTTCAAGGGTTGGCATGCAGATACTGTGCACCCAAATTCCCTGGAGTCACATCCCAGCACGTCTGCTTACTAACTGTGTGTCCTTGGGCAAGTCACTTGAGTCTCTTTGTGCCAGTTTCCTCATTTGTAAAATGGGGATAGTGGTTATAGTAATGCGTCCTGGTTTTCAATCGCTGCTGAACAAACCTATCAAAAATGTAGCGGCTGGCCGGGTGCAGTAACTCACGCCTGTAATCCCAGCACTTTGGGAGGCCGAGGTGGGCAGATCACCTGAGGTCAGGAGTTCAAGACCAGCCTGGCCAACATAGGGAAACACTGTCTCAACTAAAAATACAAAAATTAGTTGGGCATGGTGGTGGGCGCCTGTAATCCCAGCTACTCAGTAGGCTGAGACAGGAGAATCACTTGAATCCAGGAGGAGGAGGTTGCAGTGAGCCGAGATTGCGCCACTCCACTCTAGCCTGGGTGACAGAGCGAGACTCTGTCTCAAAAAAAAAAAAAAAAAATGTAGGGGCTGAATGTAACTGTTTATTGTTTCTCACATTTTGTGAGTTGACTGGGATGCTGCCGGGAGGTTTTTCTACTGGCCTCACTCGGGGGTCTGTGTGATTCTGCTTGGGCTGCCGTAACAAAATGCCCCAGACTTCAACACCAGACATTTATTTTCTCACAGTGCTGGAGGCTGGAAGGCCAAGTTCAAGGTGCCAGCAGGTTTGGTTTCTGGGGAGGTCTCTGTTCTTGGCTTGAAGACAGCCACTTTTTCAGTGTGTCCTTACATGGCCATTTCTTTGTCATCCCTGGTGTGTCTTCCTCTTCTGACATTAATCCTACCAGTTTAGTGCCCTACTCTTATCATCGCATTTAACCTCAATTACCTCCTCCAAGGCCTCATCTCCAAATACACTTACATTGGGGGTTAGGGCTTCAACACAGGAATTTGGTTGGCGGACGCAGTTTAGTTCCCAGCGGGATCTCTCAAGTAGCTGCAGTCAGAGGATGGCTGGGGCTGGAATGCCCAAGACAGCTCAGCTCGCAAGTCTGGCATCTGGGCAGGGACAGCCGGAAGACTGGGCTCAGCTGGGATGCTGGCAGGGCTGGGCTCTTTCTCCGTGTATTCTCCAGGCCTCTCCTCTCCACGTGGCCTGTCCATGAGGTCTCCCTATCAGAGCTGCCAGACCCCTTGATGTAGTGATTCACAGCTCCCAAGACAGCACAGGTGGAAGCTTCCAGGCCTCTTAAGGCTAAGGCAGAGAACTGGCACAGCCTTACTCAGCTGCATTCTGTGAAAGCCACCCCAGGGCCGGCCCAGATGCACTGCGGGAGGCCATGAATCCCGGGAGGCATGCTTCACTGCAGCAACTTTGGAGACTGAACCGAGGTCCCCATCAGAGGAGACCAAAGCTGTCTTCCCCCTTTTTCTCCTTCTCTCCCCTCCAATCCTCCGCAGGAGCCAGAGAAGAAGATCGTCCAGGAGCTGCTGGAGACAGAGCAGGCCTATGTGGCGCGCCTCCACCTGCTAGACCAGGCCAGTGACCAGGACACCCCCCTCTAGAGCCCCAGCCCTGGGTCTCCTCACCTCACCCCTTCTCAGCCTTCCCACCCTGCTCACCAGAGCTGAGTCAGGAGCCCTGGCTTTGACTCCAGGAAGCCTTGGCCCTTTAACCTCAATGGCTGGGGTTGGGGTAGAATCAGGAGGTCTTGTTAGCAGTACTCCCCATTCTGCCTGTGGTGCCCAGGCTGGCCCCTGTATAGCAGAGAACACACCAGCTGGCCCTTGCTGGCCTACACGGTATCTTCATCTGTCATCTCAATGCCCACAACCTCACAACGATCTTACCTTTCATAGTTTTTCAGGAGCCCTAAGGCTAGAGGGTTATTCATCACCGCAGGGAGCTCTAGTCTGATGAAGTCCAAGACCTCCACAGTTTGGGCCTGTTTATGGCATTCATCAGCTGCCAGCCTTTGGCCAAGTCCCTGCATCTCTAGGCTTTGCCTTGCTCATCTGTAAAGTGGCCAGAACACAACCTCCCCTGCCTTCTTTTCCCGGGGTTGCTGTGAGGATGCCGGGAGATCAGGGAGGTGGAAGCATGCAGTAGGCTTGGTGGGACCCTAGTTCCCCCGGGCTGATGTGTGGGTGGCTCCCTGTCACTGCAGTGAGTGACCTGTCGTGGCGGCTACAGGTGTTTTTCCAGGAGCTGCTGAAGACAGCCCGCAGCAGCAAGGCCTTCCCAGAGGATGTGGTCAGGGTCATCTTCTCCAACATCTCCTCCATCTATCAGTTCCATTCTCAGTTCTTCCTCCCAGAGCTGCAGCGGCGCCTGGACGACTGGTGAGGTCCACCAGGAGCCCCTGAGGCCTCAGACCACAGCCCTGGCCAGGTGGAGGTGGGGAGACCCCAGGGCGCTAGGTTCAGCCTCCTAGGCCCAGGCCCTTATTGTGTGGCCATGCCTCCCTGGGGCTCGGTCTGTCTGCACAGTGAAGGGCTTGGGTGAATGAGCTCTGAGAGGCTGTGTGTGTGCAGACTGCTTCCTGGGGAAAGGGGTGGATCAGGTCCTGGCCAAGCCAAGTGACCAAGTGACTTTGGGACAGTGAAAATAGCCAGTGCCAACTGAGGGCTTCCTACACGCCTGGCCTTGGGCTTTCCCTCTATTAACTCCCTCAATCTTCACATCAGCCTGCTGTGTGATGACGGCATCATGGTTATGCAAGAAACCCTCTTGTTTTCACAGATGGCCACTAAAGCATTTAACAGTGAAGTTACTTGCCTTATATAGTTTGCCACGAAGTCTAGGATGTCCTTTAAGATCTTTGGCAAAGAAGAATGCTAGTAATTGTTAAACCTAGTGATGTATTGATTGCTTAAAACATTTATAATAAACTGTTGTTTTTTTTTAAGATAATAATAGCCAGGTTCGGTGGCTCATGCCTGTAATCCCAGCACTTTGGGAGGCCAAGGTGGGTGGATCACTTGAGCTTAAGAGTTTGAGACCACTCTGGGCAACATGGTAAAACCCCATCTCTACCAAAAATACAAAACTTAGCCGGGCATGGTAGCAGGCACCTGTAGTCCCAGCTACTCAGGAGGCTGAGGTTGGAGGATTGCTGGAGCCCGGAAAGTCGAGGCTGCAGTGAGCCATGATTGTGCCACTGCACTCCAGCCTGGGTGACAGAGAGAGACCCTGACTTAAAAAAAAAAAAAAAAGAAAGAAAAGAAAAGAGAAGGATATAACCCTATGAGATCGCCTGCCATCATTCCAATTTTTTTCAATGAGAAAATCAGGGTACAAAGATGCTAAGTGACTTACCTGGGAACACAGCTAGCATGATTTGTGCATCCCAGGAGTCAGGCTCAGGAAGCCTCACTCCCAGGCCATGGCCATGGCTCCCTGCTGCTCTGCTCTAGCAGGCCCTGCCATGGGATGATCCTGGAAAAGTTCTGTGTGTGTGTGTGTGTGTGTGTGTATACATATATATACGTGTATATATATGTATATATATTATTTTTTTTCAGTGTGAGGGGCATGGAATGAGGTTTCACCATGCTGCTCAGGCTGGTCTTGAACTCCTGGGCTCAACCTGCCTGCCTGCCTCAGGCCTTGCAGAGTGCTGCGAGTACAGGTGTAAGCCACTGTGGCTGGCCAATCCTGGAGAAGTTCGTACCCCTCTGAGCCTCCACTTCCTCACCTCTATGATGGGCTAGTGGCTGCCCCCACCTACAGGGTTGTGAGAATTACATGGAATGAGACATGCATCATGTCCTGGGTAGTGCTTGGTAGGTAGCCCTCGTTATTGTTACATAATGAAGCACTGAGCAGTTACTGAACACCTGCTGTGGGCCCAACACTGTGCCGGGCCTTGTGGATGAGGCCAACCTGGGACCAGAACAGCCTTTGGCCTCAGGAGGCTCACAGTCTAAGGAGTAGAGGGGCGCATGTGAGGATGACACCCCCGTACCCCGCCCACACCCAGAATTGCCGTGGAAAGTTTGCTTTGGGGGATTCAGGGAGCCTGGCCTCACCTGGCCCTATCTAGAGTCGAGAGGAGGTCTCTAGGCTGAGGGCAATCCCTGTGCCCCTCCTGCAGGACAGCTAACCCCCGCATCGGTGACGTGATCCAGAAGCTGGCCCCCTTCCTGAAGATGTACAGTGAGTATGTCAAGAACTTTGAGCGAGCGGCTGAGCTGCTGGCCACCTGGACCGACAAGTCTCCACTCTTCCAGGAGGTTCTCACTCGCATCCAGGTGAGGCTGGGGGAGGGCTGGAGTCAGCATTGCCACTCCCAGCATGCAGTGGCTCAGGTTGCCTTGAGTGATTCCGGGCATCTCCCAGGCTCAGCTGCTTCCATAGGCCCCTGCCTACTCGTCCGGCCCTCAGGAGCAGCCTGACCCACCTCCCTTCTCTCACCCTCTCCGTGTTGCTCCCCCATCCCTCCCCAAGAGCAGCGAGGCTTCGGGCAGCCTGACCCTGCAGCACCACATGCTGGAACCAGTGCAGAGAATTCCACGTTACGAGCTGCTGCTCAAGGAGTACATCCAGAAGCTGCCAGCCCAGGCCCCAGACCAGGCCGATGCCCAGAGTGAGGACACCCCCAGGGGTCCCAGGGGGCTGAGGAGGCCTAAGCCATTCCCATATACTTACTGAGCTCCTGCTAAAATGGTTTTGACGACCATCAGTCATCAACATCAACCACTGGCACTTCATAGACATCATCCATACCATTAGCCATTTTTCACAGATGAGGACACTAAGGCCCAGAGAGGTTTAGTGACTTGCTCAAGGTCACGCAGCCAGAGAGTAGCAGAACTGGGATTTGAACCCATGCCTATGTGATACCAAAGCCCATGCTCCTTCCATTATACCCTCTAGGTCTGGCTTGTTTTGGGAAGCAGTGAGAGTCACCAAAGCCAAACACCTAATGGCTAACGTTCAGTGGCTTCCAGTCTCTCAGCCCTGGGGGGCTCCCGCCATTCAGACACCCCATGGCTGGGCTGCACAGGCAGGGCTGCTCCTGGGGGCTGTCATGGCAGGTCCTGAGGGCCCTTTGTTGAACTTCAAGGACCTCCTGCCCCAGCCACCAGCCCTAGATTCTCAGGGAATAAACTCCGGCCCTGCCCCTTTCAGAAGCCCTGGACATGATCTTCTCAGCTGCCCAGCACTCCAATGCAGCCATCACTGAGATGGTAAGCAGCCCGCCCTCTCCTGGAGCCCTGTCCCCCTCCCTGCAGGTCTCAGCCTGGTCCCACCCATGACACCTATCCCACTGCTGCCCTCACTGTTACCCCCCAGTCCCCGTCCCCACAAGGCAAGCCTTCCAGAAGCAGGTGAGCCCTGCCCAGACTTGGCTGAGGATGCACCCCAACCCCCTAGGAGCGGCTGCAGGACCTGTGGGAGGTGTACCAGCGCCTGGGCCTCGAGGACGACATAGTAGACCCCTCTAACACCCTGCTCCGTGAGGGCCCGGTCCTCAAGATCTCCTTCCGCCGCAACGACCCCATGGAGCGCTACCTTTTCTTGGTAAGAGGGTGCTGGGAGCTCCTCTCCACACTGGGGAGGGAAGTCCATGGGCCACTCTGGCCCGAGTCATACTGCCTGGCCTCTACCTGGCACTGCAGGGGGACAGGGAAGAGAACGCTTCTCTGTCTTTTTCTGCTTTGGCACCCAGATGACTTTGGACAGGTCACCTGCTGCCTCTAAGCCTCAGAGATTTCCAACCCACAGGTTTCCCAGACATGTCCTAGGAAGCAACAGAGTCAGAGTTTGAACCCAGTCTGACTGCAAAGCCTGTGATATTAATCTGTGCTCTAGAGAGCGCACAGCAGGAAGGAGTAAGGTTAGCTACTAGGAAGAACTGCCCTGGGTTTGCACGGAAGAAGCCGGGGGATCTCCTGACACCTGGAAAGGTGGTCCTGCCTGGAGGTCTGGGGAACAGAGATATAACCTCTTGTAAACCCCTGCCATCCTGAGCCCCTGTTGAGAAAGGCCTTGTAGGTTTCTGAGGTCTGCTATGGTCCCTTGTAGGGTGACCCTTCAGTAACCATCCTAGGGGAATTGGGAGCTTGACAGCCCCTTCCTCATCACCTACATCATCACCTGTGATGTCCTGTGAGCAGGCTGGCCAGAGTGTGTTCAAAGGGGAGCGGGTCCAGTGGTGCTCAGCCCATGCTCGGCCCACCCTCGGGGAAACCCCACCTAGCCATCCTCCCTGCCCCTGCCACGGGCCACTCACGCCTGTGTCTCCTGCAGTTCAACAACATGCTGCTCTACTGTGTGCCCAGGGTGATCCAGGTGGGCGCCCAGTTCCAGGTGAGGACCCGCATCGATGTGGCCGGGATGAAGGTAAGAGGCCCCCTAAACACCACTGGGCTCCACCTCAAGGGTAGGACTGAGTACAGGGAGTAAGAGGAGGGGCCAACCAGGTTCTCAATCACAGAACCAAACCCTTGCAGGGCCTGGGCAAACATGGAGATGGAAGAGTGTGGGGCTCTCCCCTCTGGGATCCTAGCCCTCCTGCCCTGTCCTTCCCAGCTTCCCACAGGTTTGGCCCTCCCTTCGCGGCAGTGCATGAGCCAGCTTGGCCTTTCTGTGCTTTCCCTACTGTTTATACCACTGCTTCAAAAACTTTCATGTGTGCGCGAATCCTCTGGGCATCTTGTAAAAATGCAGGTTCTGAATCAGGAGGTCTGGGTGGGGGGGTGCCTGAGATCCTGCATTTCTAACCAGCTCCCAGTTAAGATGGGCTGACAACTGACCCCACCTGCAGGATTGTGAGAATTAAATGAAATGAGACATATCCTGGGCAGTGTATGCTGATACTGTAGGAGCACAGAACACGTTTTGAGTAGGAAAGGTCTCCAGTGTCAGCTCAGCGGCTGGCTTGTGTGTGTCCCCATCTACCTCATCCAGAGATTATGGCAAATGAGCAGGGCCAGTAGTCCATGATGGAGCCCATGGGGGGACCACAAGATCCTCCTAACAGCCCCATGATGCAGGGGCTGTTAGAATCTTCTGGATTTTTTTTTTTTTTTTTGAGACCGAGTCTCACTCTGTTGCCCAGGCTGGAGTGCAACAGCAAAATCTCGGCTCACTGCAACCTCCACCTCCTGGGTTCGAGCAATTCTCCTGCCTCAGCCTCCCAAGTAGCTGGGACTGTAGGCGCGAGCCCCCATGCCCGGCCAATTTTTGTATTTTTGGTAGGAGAGATGGGGTTTCACCATGTTGCCCAGGCTGGTCTCAAACTCCTGACCTCAAGTGATTCACCTGGCTTGGCCTCCTAAAGTGCTGGGATTACAGGCATGAGCCACCACACCCAGCCTGTTTTTTATCTTTTAAAAATATTTTAATTTTACTACTTAAAAAATACAGATTATACACATTCTAAAGTCAAACAATATAAAAAATATATACAATGAAAGTCTCCGCCCGACTCTATCCCCTAGTTCCCCTTCCTGAAGGCAATCCTTGCTTCTTGTGAGGCCTTCCAGAGGTGGTCTTCGCCTAGCAAACCAATAACATATAATAGGATTGTTTCCTCATTTATGCAAGAAGCAGTGGTATACTCTACACATTTTTCTGCACTTTGCTTTTTTTTTTTTAACTAACTGCAAATGCTGGAGACTGAGGTGTCCCTGTACTTGAGAGCTTCCTCATCCTCCTGCCCAGCTGCATTGCGTCCCACTGTGCAGATGCACCGGAATTTCTTCAACCAGTCTTCTGCTGAGAGACACTTAGATTGTTTTCAGTTGTCAGCAGCTGCAAATGAGGCTGCAGTGAATAGCCTGGTACAGCCTGCCTGTGTGTGAATGTATCTGCAGTTAATCCCATTTTTAAACATGAGAAAACCAAGGCCCTAGAAAACCTTTCTAACTTAAATAACTTGCTTGAAGGTCATATCGCAAATGCTAGTTCGAGTGACCAAGCCAGGATTCAGATGCAGGTGTAACAAAGGCTGGCGCTTCTGCGTCTAACCACCACGCTCTGCTGTCGCCTATTAAGGCTTCAATCCAGAGGGTTCAAGACTATGGTGGAATTTCTGGCATCGTGGAGGACACAGCCAGAGAAGCTTCCTGACCACCCCTCTCTGCTGGCTCCTGAGTCCTGGTGTGTCCTGAGGGCTGGGACTGGAAGAAGCAGAGGTCTGGTCTGGCCCATCTTGTCACTCTCCTATTCAGCATCACCCCTACCCCCTTCAGCCCCAGAAGGGAGCTGCAGGCAGGAGTTGAACCAGAATGCTCTACCCTCTAGAGCCCCTGGGGCCTCCAGAGACCCCAGCAAAAGAGCCCCACCCCTGCTCCTGACTGGGGTTGCCTGGCATCTGGAGCAATCCAGGGCCTGGGGGTGGGGTGCAGCCTGGGAATGATGAAAGCTGATGAGGGAACATGGGTTCACAGCTCACCCCGACACCTGAGCTGACTGAAGTCTTTTAGGAGTGCAGCCCCGGCCCTGGCATCTAGCTTTCCATCCTGAAGGGGCCAGAATGTCACATAGACCAGGGCGTGTGCAGGCTTGTATGTCTGGAGTCCTTGGTGAGTGAGGCTGAGAAAGGCAGGTTTATAGAGAGCTACAGACAGAGAAATGGAGACGGGTGGCCCTGCCAAAGGACTGTCAGAGACCCAGGCATAGAAAAATAGAGATCGACAGATAGGAAGGCTAAGAAATATAGAAACCAAAACAGAGTCATAGAGAGAAAACAGAGAGAGCCGAGCCTGAGAGCATCAGATGCTTTGGGTGTGTGTTGAGAGCTCACCAGCCCTGTGTGTGCCGGGTCTCTGGAGTCTGCTAGTCTCGGCTAACATGTCTGATACTCCAGCAGCCGCACAGCACCCTCTCCTGGACGGCATGGGCTTGGCAAGTGCAGAGCTGTCCACTCACCCTACTTCTGTGCAGGAACCATTTTCTGAGTCTGTGATTTGGAGGCAAATCTTGCCTTTGACCATCATGATGGTTCCTATTGGCCTATGACTCCCTGGCCTCCTCCTTCCTAGGTGTCAGGGAGGCCTAGTTCACAGCAGCTGATTCTCTCCAAGGTCTGACTTGGTCTTAGTATTTTGCCATCCCCCACAGGGCCAGCCTGGGAAGAAGGAAGGGGTGTGGACACACATACCTAGGGGCTCCACGTACAGTTGTGCAGGTTGTACACTGCACAAGGATACCTCATCTAAGAGGATGTCTTCTGCAGCCAACTGCAGATTAGCAGACTATGATATATCATAGATGGTATATTTATAGTGAGAATTGTCCGGCAGATGGCAGTCAAATGTCTTGTTCCAACAATATCTAGGTATTATGCCAGTTTGCCAACAGATGTCAGTAAAGTGTTTTGAGGAAGGCTGTCCTTTTCTAATTACTACAAACGTACTGTATGGACTAGCAGGGGACTGAATTGACCTAGCCCTGGGGAAAGTGGTTGAGGCTCAGCTCAGCACAGTTCTGGAAACTCCTCTTGAAACCTGCTGGGGAGCTGGAAGCCTCTGTATGAACATCCCAGGGGCAGCCTGGACCCTCAGGTCAGGAGCCCCCAGTTCCCTTTTTTCTGTCAAAAGCATGATATTTCTTCCTGCTTCTGGACTGCAAACCTTGGATTTCTCCCTTCTTTTCCCTTTCCCCTCTCCCTGACCCAGTTAGAAACCTCTTCTGTCTCTCCAGTGCACCTGGGCAGGCCAGGACCATTTATGATGTTGCTTCCTAACTGGCCTTTGGGCTACAGGTTTGTCCCATTTGGCCCACATCCAGCCTGTCATCCCTTGCACACAAAGAGGTATTTGGCTCTTTCCCAAATACCTCTTTCCACATGACCGCCTCCTCATTGCCAAGGGCATCGAATCCAAATCACATCAGCCCCTTCTAAGGCAAAGACTGGGGAGTGAGGCTGCAGACTAGGCCTAACCTGAGGAAAGATGTGCTTGTACTCAGTGCTGTCTGGGTTATGGTGAGCTGCCCTGGAAGTGTGCAAAGGCCTGGCCACCACATGGGAGGCAGCAGAGGAGCTCAAGTGTTTGAGGAATTTAATGGCAACAAAGTTGCCCCACACAGAAGCTCTTGTGCTCTCAGCCTGTGTCTTAGGTTCTCTTTGCAAATCTCTCTCCACACCGTCTGAAGGAAGTGTGCTTACAGGACTCTGGGGGTAGGATGGAAATAGATGTTCTTCCATCTCACCCTTGGGGGCTGAAAACCTGGGGTGGAATCCTTCTTTTGCCCCTTAGGTGCTGTGTGACCTCAGGCAGCTCTCTTGCCCTCTCTGAGCATCCATTTCCTCATCTCCTAAATGAGGATGATAGTATCTGCTTCCCAAGATTGCTGTGAAGATTATTTTCTTCTTCTTTTCTTTTCTTTTCTTTTTTTTTTTTTTTGAGACAGAGTCTCCCTCTGTCACCCAGGCTGGAGTGCAATGGCACAATCTCAGCTCACTGCAACCTCCACCTCCTAGGTTCAAGAGATTATTGTGCCTCAGCCTCCCGAGTAGTTGGGATGACAGGCATGCGCCACCATGTCCAGCTAATTTTTGTACTTTTAGAAGAGATGGGTTTCACCATATTGCCCAGGCTGTTCTCAAACTCCTGGCCTCTAGTGATCTACCCGCCTTGACCTCCCAAAATGCTGGGATTACAGGCGTGAGCCACTGCACCCAGCCAAGGTTATTTTCTTTAATGTTTTATTATGAAAATTTTAAAGCCAAGAAAACGGTATAATGAACCTCATATACTCATCCAGTTTTGAAATCTAATTTCCTTTTTTGTTGAATCCATTGTCAAAAATTGTCATCTCCACGTCACACTGGGTCAACTTAGCTGCTGCTAAAATTCCAGGAGCCATAGGTTCCATTTGCTTGGAGCGAGGCCCAGTTGCAGGGGCATTTGCTTGGCTCAACAGGATTAGAGAGGTGGCGAACAAGCTCTGCATCCCTGTCTCTCGAATTTGAATTGTCCCTTGGGCACAATCCACCTCCCTCCCCTCCACAGTGCTGTGCCTGGGACCCGGGCTATGATGAGTCTGAACTGGTTGCCTCCCTCCTCTTGGCAGGTGCGGGAGCTGATGGATGCTGAGTTTCCCCACTCCTTCCTGGTGTCCGGGAAGCAGCGCACCCTGGAGCTGCAAGCCCGGTAAAGGAGCTGGGGTGGCGGCCCAGGGCCAGGCGGGAAAACTGGGAGGGGCTGATCTCCTCAACACCTGTGTTCACTTTCCGAGCAGGTCCCAGGAGGAAATGATTTCCTGGATGCAGGTATGGGAACGCTCCGAGGCTTCTGGGAGTCTTTTTCCTTTCTTTCTTTTTTCTTTTTTTCTTTCTTGGTACTAGACTACCTTGATGAAGCTCCTGGGATTCTCCCTAGCCTATTTGGGCTGAAGGGGAGGGAGTGGTGTATGTATGCATGTGTGTGTGTGTGTGTGTGTGTGCATGTGTGTATGCATGTGTGTGCATCTGTGTGTGCATGTCTGTGTCTGTGTGTTTGTGTGTGTGTTTGTGTGTATGTGTGCATGCATGTGTGTGCGTGTGTACATGTATGTGTGTATGTGTATATGTGTGTTTGTGTGCATGCATGTGTGCATGTGTTTGTGTGTATGTGTGTGTTTGTATGCATGTGTATGTACGTGCTTGTGTGTATGTGTCTTTGTGTGTCTGTGTTTGTGTGTGCGTGCGTGTGTGTGTGTGCATGCTCCCACACCTGCGTGTGCTCAGCTGCTCCCTGCTCTTCCTAAGGAGCTGCTCTGTGGTAGTTTGGAGACCGATCTGGGTTCCTATCTTGCTGCTTCTCATTGCCTAGCTGGGCAGTCCAGGGCCAGTCACTTACCCTCTCTGAGCCTCAGTTTTTACATCTGTAACCTGGGGCTGGTAGTTTCTCCTCCGATAAGGCAGCCCGCGTGTGTGTAGAATCCAGCGCCTGGTACCCAGTGGGCTTTCAGCCCTGTCTGTTGCATGCACGGAAGGATGGACAGAGGAGCAATCCCTCCCTTCCACACCTCAAGCCCCGACCCTCCCCCTCCCTGCACCCCAGGCCTTCCAAGCAGCCATTGACCAAATCGAGAAGCGGAATGAAACCTTCAAGGCTGCGGCCCAGGGGCCTGAGGGAGACATCCAGGAGCAGGAGGTAAATGAAGGCTTTTTCATCCCTTGCTGGAGCCACCAACCCAAATAGAGCTTGTTCCCTCTCTGTTCTGCCTATACCAGCTCAGAGGGAGAGGGAGTGTCATCTGCCAGGAGAGACTGAAGGGACCAGGGGAAGCCTTCCCAGCGCATCCCCCGACTCAGGGCCTGAGCATTCCCCTTTAGCAAAACTTCCTTTGAGAGCCTGTCTGCACAGCTGTCTTGGGGAAGTGTTTCACGTCTCTGCAGCTCCAGCTGCAGGGGGCAGTAGGGTTTTGGGTTTGAAAGTATCTGAGAAATACAAAGTCTCAGGGAAGATGGAAGGTGAGTGAGGTGGGGGCTGGGGAGGATATCTGTGGTTTGAGTTCAGATTTGAGCTGAACTCTGGCTTGCTGAGTGACTGCTGAGTCATTTGACCTCTCTGGGCCTCAGTTTCCTCACTTATACAATAGGAATAATGGTAACTAACGTATCATAAGGTCTCGATCAGGTCAGTCAGCTTGCTGTAGAAGCCCCAGGGAAGCCCAACACAAAGAATCCCTGCTACAGCAGGTGGGCACAGGGCCCCAGGCCCTGGGAGGATGGGCGGAAGAAGGTCACCAAGGGCCCATTCCTGCCCAACTCCCCTTAACCCACAGCTGCAGTCTGAGGAGCTGGGCCTCCGGGCACCGCAGTGGGTCCGGGACAAGATGGTGACCATGTGCATGCGCTGCCAGGAGCCCTTCAACGCTCTGACGCGCCGTCGCCACCACTGCCGGGCCTGCGGCTATGTGAGTACTCCTGCCAGCACTCCTGCCTCCACCTGCGTCACCCAGGCCTCCACCTGCATCACCCAGGCCTCCACCTTTCCTACCTAGGCCTCCGCTTGATCCACCTAGGCCTCCACCTGCCCCACCTCGGCCTCCATCTGTGTCACCTCCACCTGTCCCTCCGAGGCCTCCACCTGTGTCACCCAGGCCTCTATCTTTCCTACCTAGGCTTCCACTTGATCCACCTAGGCTTCCACTTGATCCACCTAGGCCTCCACCTGCCCCACCTTGGCCTCTACCTGTCCCACCTCGGCCTCCACCTGCCCCACCTTGGCTTCCACCAGTGTCACCCAGGCCTCTACCTGTCCCACTTAGGCCTCTACCTGCCCTACCTGGGCCTCTACCCACCCAGCTCAGGTGCTGCTGTCCCCATCTTGGCCAAATCTGCTGGCTTCAACCAATGCAGCCCAGTGGTGTTGGGCACTAGCTCTGAGCCAGGTGTGTGTATTACTACCTCATCTGGCCCTCACAGCACACCTCAGGAGGCTGCTGTTTCCCATTTTTTAGATGGGAAAATGAGACCCATTGAGGTTAAATTACTTGCTGAAGGTACCCCTGAAGCTGATCCTATGAATTTACCTGCATTCTTATCATCATTTTCCACGACCCTGAGACCCAGAGCTAGGAAATGGTCCCCAGTTCTAGTGGAGGGGCATCTAGCCCCG
This sequence comes from Homo sapiens, assembly GCF_000001405.40. Classification (NCBI taxonomy): domain Eukaryota; kingdom Metazoa; phylum Chordata; class Mammalia; order Primates; family Hominidae; genus Homo; species Homo sapiens. The sequence continues at coordinate 37,023,075 of NC_000006.12, forward strand.
CACCCCCTCAGGCCTTGCCCCACCACCTCACCAGGCCCATGCCCACTATGCACTCACCCACCCCGTCATCCTCTCTTTACCCGCTTCGGCTAACTGTCCTCTCTTCTCTGCAAGCCCTCAGCACCCTGGCACCTGATGGATTCTGTTGTTAACTCTGCCTACTGGTTCAGGCCTCAGTCTCCTTAACTCCGCCATGGGGATCGTGAAACCTACCTCCAGTGTGGCAGTGAGGATTCCACCAAAAAACATTCTTTCCCTTCCCTCTCCTCTTTTTCTTTCCCCCTCCTCCATAACTCAGGCAGGGCATCCAGTGCGGGTGAGCTACCAGCTTCTTGAGGAGGGTACTGTGTCCACTACAGTTTCTCCTCTTATCAATCCAGGCCCAGTTACCAGAGGTAGATCTCGCTTTGCTTTTTAAGCACTCCTGTACTTGAGCTGTTCTCTGTTGACATCACAACCCCCTCTGTTTACTCTGCAAACAGAGAAGCCCTTTGCAACCTCAGTCTTTGATGACCTCCAGAGGACAGGAGGAGTCTAGCTGGACAGGTTGGGGCCAGTCAGGGAGGTGTCCCCAAAATGTGTTCAACTGCAATCAGGACAGAGTCAGTTTCTAGGACCTGGGAACACACCTGCCTTCAGATGTCAGTGATGAGTTACATCCCGAAGCCAGGTAGAAAGGATGTGGGGATTGGCTACTGTTCCTGGTGATTCACTTCTGTAAATAAGAGTTGAATTGATTCACACTTGTGAGTGAAAGTAGTTCTTTAAAAATTACTTAAAATAGTGAAATACAAAGAGGCACAAAGAATAACAACACCTGTGTAGCTGCCTTCCAGCTTAAGATAGAAAATATTCTGACAACTAAATTAAATGTATGATCCTTGCTTGGATTCTTTCTGGGGTAAAATAAAGCTATCAAGGTTGCTCTTGGGACCATTGGGAGAAATTTGATGATGCAACATATCTAGATAATAATATTGTATTGGCTGGGTGCAGTGCCTCACACCTGTAATCCCAGCACTTTGGGAGGCCGAGGTGAGCGGATCACCTGAGGCCAGGAGTTCGAGAACAGCCTGGCCAACATGGTGAAACCCTGTCTCTACTAAAAATACAAAATTAGCCGGGTGTGGTGGTGTACACCTGTAATCCCAGCTACTCGGGAGGCTGAGGAGGGAGAATCGCTTGAACCCAGGAGGTGGAGGTTGCAGTGAGCCCAGATCACCCCACTGTACTCCAGCCCAGGCAACAAAAGCAAAACTCCATCTCAAAAAAATAAAAATAATAATATTGTATCAATAAATTTCCTGAGCGTGACTGTGACACCGTGGATAGGTAGAAGGATGCCCTTGTTCTTAGGAGACCACCAGCTACATATTTAAGGGTGAGGTGTCATGATGACTGTAATTTATCCTCAAATGGTTCAGAAAAAAATAAAATACATACATATAGAGAGAGACAGAGAGCAAATGTGGCACAAATGTTAATAATTAGTGAATCTAGTGGGTGGTATCATTGTATTATTTGTTCAATTTGTCTGTCGGTAGGAAATTTTTCAAAATTAAACGTTGGTAGAGGAAAAAATATTTACTAATTATATTTAAACATTGAAATCGCTCAATAAAAAAAAAATGCTCCTGAGGTAGCTGAAGCCCCCGTGTGGGGCTGTGCCCTGACCGTGGGTTTCTCTTGCCTGTGCAGATCTTCGTGCCTGCTGAGCCAGTGAGTCATCCTTTCGGTGGTTCGGGTGCCAGTTTCTGTCTCCCCTGCCTGCCAGACGGGAATCCTTGTGAGGGTGGGGCAGGGCCAGGCCTTCTTCTCCAGGTCCCTGCCAGGCCACACTCTGTGCTGGGCACACAGAGGAGCTCCCTGAAGGCTGGTGCCGCCTGATGAACTACACTCCCTCTGCCCCTTTCTCCTGCCCTCCATCTCCACGCCCACATCTGGGCTCCCCATAAAGCCAAGTCTTCCTCGCAGTCACACCTTGCGGCACCCAGTGTTCCTCTCTGAGTCTTCCCAGGCCCCTTTTACCCAGCCTCCCGGCATGATCCATGTCAGCCTTTGGGGGGTGTCTTCGTGGTGAGCTGAGAGTGGGCCCCGCTCCACAGAGTACCCATGTAAAAACAACCAGCCTATCATTTTTAGGTGAAAACACACTTGACTCCATGATGGCGCAGAATACAAAGTCTGCCTGAATCTTAAAGCTAAACTGTGGGACTTGAAAGACACACCCTGTGTGTGGAGGGCCTGTCTGCCAGGTAACAGTGTGGCTCTCAGGGTCAGGAGAGGACAAAAGCTGGGCCCTGCTTGCCTGGTGGGGTCTTTGGGAGAGTCAGGTGAGATGGCGGAGAGGACAGCATTTGGAAAAGTGAATCAGATGCCAGTGGCCCGTCTGGGGCAAGCCCCTTGGGTTCACAGCAGCCCTCACTCGGAGGGAACCTGGAGGGGAGAGAAGTTACGGCCCTCGCGGTGGGGGCCGGGTCTTGAACCCTCAGCCTAAGAGCCCCGAGCCCGAGCTCCCCCATGTGTCGCAGCCTCCAGGCAGTTGGGCCTCACCAGCATGGGGGAGCATCCCCGCTCTGCCTCTATTCCTCCCTCGAAGCTTTCTTTTCCTCCCCCAGTCCCTGGTTGCTCTCATGCCCCCACCTGCCCACCAAGGCAGGAGCCCAGCCCTCCGGTGCCTGGTCTCAGCCCCATGCCCCCTTATGTGTCCTCCTCAGGTGGTGTGTGCCAGGTGCTCCGACTACCGGGCCGAACTGAAATACGACGACAACAGGCCCAACCGAGTCTGCCTCCACTGCTACGCATTCCTCACTGGAAATGTGCTGCCTGAGGCCAAGGAGGACAAGAGGCGGGGCATCCTGGAGGTGAGGGCCACTGTCCCCGCGCTCACCATCCGTCCTCTGTTCAGGGAATGTGTGCCCGGCAACCATGCTGGGCTGACACTGTCCAGTGCTGAGGAACAAGCCAGCCATGGTCACACCCTCCCCCCTCTCCCTCTTCCTCTCTCTGCCCACAGACCCCAGGCCTCTCGCCACAGCCCAGGCAGTGTGGAGCCTGTCACCAAATGGAGGCACCCTTTGGCTGCAGGCTGTCGTCCACATTCTTCTGCACTTCCTCTATGTCCCCATCCGATAGTACGGCCCCTCTGGACAGCTCATGTTCACGTCCCCATGTCCTGCCCCGACAGTCCCAGGGTGCCAAGAGCTGGTGTCACCGCTTCCATTTTACAGATGGGAACACTGACGCTCCAGGTCAGACAGATTGGAGACTCCATTCTAACTGGAAGGGACTCCAGGGGCCAGTCGGTCTTATCCCATGGAGACCCAGGGCTGGAGGAGTGACTTGCCCAAGATCACACAGCAAGTTAGGAGCCAGCTCTCTGATCTCAGTCACAGATGTTCTTTCTGTTGCCCTGGGGGCCTCACTGAGCCACACTTGCCCCCACAGGTGCTCCCCTGTGGGGGTACAACTGTGCTCAGCTAGGCAGCACAAATACAATGTCAACCAGCTCAGCATCAATACCACTGTCCACTGCCCCTCCCTCACGAAGGCCAGGTTGACATCCCACCGTCCCTGGGAGGTGGGAGAAGGTCCCAGCCTGTGCCAGCTGAGATTCACTCCCAGGTTCAAGTTGGCCTCTTTTGGCCAGGCGGGAAGGCTCATGCCTGTAATCCCAGCACTTTGGGAGGCCAAGGTGGATGGATCACGTGCGGTCAGGAGTTCGAGACCAGCCTGGCCCACATGGTGAAGTCCCGTCTCTACTAAAAATACAAAAAAAAAAAAATCAGCCGGGCATGGTGGTGCATGCCTGTAATCCCAGCTACTCGGGATGCTGAGGCAGGAGAATCTCTTGAACCCGGGAGGTGGAGGTTGCAATGTGTTGAGATTGCACCATTGCACTCCAGCCTGAGCAACAAGAGAGAAACTATCTGAAAAAAAAAAAAAAGTTGGCCTTTTTCCACGGGCATCCACCCCGTTTCCAATCCTCCCCATCCTTCCAGGCCCAGGACCCCCTGACCACTAGGCAACACAGCCTGCCCCTGGAGATGCTCAGCCCCTTCTCAGGGCCCAATTCTGTTTCCTGGAGCAGCTCCAGGCACCCTCCCGGCACCTGCCCCTTGTGGGCACACACGCGACAGGTTCAGGCAGGCTGGGGTTTGACTGCAGCTCTGCCACTGGCCAGCTAGCTGTGTGACCACAGGCACTTGATGGGACCTCTCTGAGCCTCAAGGACCAAGGACCCCTCCATTCAGTACTGCTGTAAGGATTGGAGATAGTGATTGTCAAGCCCCCAGACCAACATCTGGCACTTGCGGCTGCTCTGCTCCCTGACAGTCCCTCCTTCTGGTTTTAGAAAGGGTCCTCAGCCACGCCTGACCAGAGCCTGATGTGCAGCTTCCTGCAGCTCATCGGGGACAAGTGGGGCAAGAGCGGCCCCCGGGGCTGGTGTGTGATCCCTCGGGATGACCCCCTCGTGCTCTATGTCTATGCTGCCCCTCAGGTAAGGCCACCACCTGCCCGCCCCCCGTCAGGCCCTGGCCTTCCCACAGCGTGTGTGTGAAGGGGGTCAGGGGTGAGTATTGCTAGCTCCATATGTCAGATAGGGAAACTGAGGCCCAATGAGGATATGGTATCCTGGAGTCTCAAGGTTGGTAGGTTTCAGAATTGTGCCCTGACTCTAGGTCACCACTGCTTTGCCCTCAGAGGCAGCCAGTTCTTCTGTCCTCTTCCTCGATGGCCTTCACCAGCCCACCCCCAACCCATGGGGGTTTAGGGTGTGAGCTGTGCGTGCGTGGCTGTTGCCTTCACGATGGCTATCTGGGGCAGTAGGACTGAGAGGGGACAGTGGCCCACTGCTCTCTCCTCCCCCCAGGACATGAGGGCTCACACCTCCATCCCCCTGCTGGGCTACCAGGTGACTGTTGGGCCCCAGGGGGACCCTCGGGTCTTCCAGCTACAGCAGTCAGGCCAGCTCTACACCTTCAAGGCCGAGACGGAGGAGCTGAAGGGCCGCTGGGTGAAGGCCATGGAGCGGGCGGCCAGTGGCTGGAGCCCCAGCTGGCCCAACGATGGGGACCTGTCCGACTGAGCCACTGCCAGCCGCTCTCCTGCCCACCTCTCCCCACCCTGAACCCAGCTCCTGCCACAGACTGACCCTGTGGCCTCAGTGACCCACTGCCCCAAGTGGTGCTTTCAGAGAATTGATTCAGCCATCTGCGCCCAGGCCACGTGTCCCGATCTGGGATTAGAAAATATGGGTCCATTCCTTTCTAGAAAGGGGACAACCAAGTGTCTCAGTTTGCCTTGCGGGGAGGGGGCTCCTGGGCCATGGGACTTCCAGTGCTAAAACTGGGAAAGCCCCAGGTAACCCCGGACTGGTGGTCACCATAGTATGGTTTTTCATTTGTATCTCCTGGGGAGCTTTTAAAGAGTACTGGTGAAAAACACATAGTAAATTAATTTTAAAAATGTAAAAAACAATGCCTGTACTGAAGTACCACCACCGATTTAAATGGGCTGAGTTGGGGGAGGCATGGGGTCTTTTTTTTTTTTTTTTTGAGACAGAGTCTTACTCTGTTTCCCAGGCTGGAGTGCACAAACATGGCTCACTACAGCCTCGCTCTCCCGGGCTCCAGTGATCCTCCCGCCTCAGCCTCCCAAGTAGCTGGGATTATAGGTGTGTGCCACTGTGCCAAGCTAATTTTTTTATTTTTTGTAGAGATGGGATTTCACCATGTTACTCAGGCTGGTCTCAAACTCCCAGCCTCAAGCGATGCTCCCACCTCCACCTCCCAAAGTGCTGGGATTACAGGCGTGAGCCACCATACCTGGCGCATGCATATTTTTTAAGAGTACCCACTGGAGTCTAATATATAGCCTGGGTTACCTGGGATGAAGAATAAAGAGAGCAAACTACCACAACCAATGGTTGAGCCCCTGTCAAGTGCCAGTCATGATAGTAGTAATAATAATAATAAACATCTATTGGACCAGGCTCTGTGCAAGGTGTTTTATGTGGATTATGTCATTTTACCATCCAGAGTTATCCCCATTTCCAGATGAAGACACCGACTCAGAGAGGTTTAGTAATTGGCTCAATTGGTCATGTAGCTCGTAGATGCCAGAGCCAGGTTTTAACCCGGTGAACTAAGGTCAAAGCTCTTTCTATCATGGAGCAGAACAATAAGACAAGCAGAGAGGGGAGGAGAGTGAGGAGAAGCAAAAGAGAGGGAAAGAGAGTGAAGAAGCTGGGAAGACAAGAGAGAAAGGTGAATGGTGGGAGGAAGGGTGACGGGAGGAGCATCCCTGTCCCCTCATCCCCACCTCGCTGGTGGGTGAGGATGCTTTTTCATAAGAGACCACCAGGGGGTGGCAGTGGTCAGCAGGCCACATGCAGTGGCCCCAGCAGTGGCCAGAACACCCTCAGCTGCTCTCAGCAGGTCCAGCCATTGCTGGGCTCTGCCCTGAAAGGAGGAAGCATGGATGAGTCACAGGTTTTTGTCCCATCACAGGCCCAGCAGCTTTGCCTGCCTCCAACCTGAGGCCACTTCCCTCCTGTAGGGTGTTTGTTTGTTTATTTGAGACAGGGTTTTGCTCTGTCATCCAGGCTGGAGTGCAGTGG